>NC_000016.10:37956525-38265669 GCF_000001405.40 Homo sapiens
AGAATTCTTAGTAACTTCTTTGTGTTGTGTGTATTCAACTGACAGAGTTGAACCTTCCTTTAGACAGAGCAGATTTGAAAGTCTCTTTTTGTGGAATTTGCAAGTGGAGATTTCAAGCGCTTTGAGGCCAAAAGCAGAAAAGGAAATATTTTCCTATAAAAACTCGACAGAATCTTTCTCAGAAACTGCTCTGGGATGTGTGCGTTCAACTCACAGAGTTTAACTTTTCTTTTCATTCAGCAGTTTGGAAACACTCTGTTTGGAAAGTCTGCACGTGGATATTTTGACCTCTTTGAGGCCTTCGTTGGAAACGGGTTTTTTTCATGTAAGGCTAGACAGAAGAAATCTCAGTAACTTCCTTGTGTTGTGTGTATTCAACTGACAGAGTTGAACCTTCCTTTAGACAGAGCAGATTCGAAACACTCTTTTTCTGCAATTTGCAAGTGGAGACTTCAAGCGCTTTGAGGCCAAAGGCAGAAAAGGAAATATCTTCGTATAAAAACCCGACAGAATCATTCTCAGAAACTGCTCTGTGATGTGTGCGTTCAACTCACAGAGTTTAACTTTTCTTTTCATTCAGCAGTTTGGAAACACTCTGTTTGTAAAGTCTGCAAGTGGATATCTTGGCCTCTTAGAGGCCTTCGTTGGAAACGGGTTTTTTCATGTAAGGTTAGACAGAGGAATTCCCAGTAACTTCCTTGTGTTGTGTGCATTCAACTCACAGTAGTTGAATGATTCTTTACACAGAGCAGATTTGAGACACTCTTTTGGTGGAATTTGTTAGTGGAGAATTCAGCCGCTTTGAGGTCAATGGTAGAAAAGGAAATATCTTCGTATAAAAACTAGACAGAATGATTCTCAGAAACTGTTTTGTGATGTGTGCGTTCAACTCACAGAGTTTAACCTTTCTTTTCAAAGAGCAGTTAGGAAACACTCTGTTTGTAAAGTCTGCAAGCGGATATTCAGACCTCTTTGAGGCCTTCGTTGGAAACGGGATTTCTTCATATTATGCTAGACAGATGAATTCTCAGTAACTTCCTTGTGTTGTGTGTATTCAACTCACAGAGTTGAACGATCCTTTACACAGAGCAGATTTGAAACACTCTTTTTCTGGAATTTGCAAGTGGAGATTTCAGCCGCTTTGAGGTCAATGGTAGAAAAGGAAATATCTTCGTATAAAAACTAGACAGAATGATTCTCAGAAACTCCTTTGTGATGTGTGCGTTCAACTCACAGAGTTTAACCTTTCTTTTCACAGAGCAGTTAGGAAACACTCTGTTTGTGAAGCCTGCCAGTGGATATTCGGACCTCTTTGAGGCCTTCGTTGGAAACGGGATTTCTTCATATTATGCTAGACAGAAGATTTCTCAGTAACTTCTTTGTGTTGTGTGTATGCAACTCACAGAGTTCAACCTTCCTTTAGACAGAGCAGATTTGAAACACTCTTTTTGTGGAATTTGCAAGTGGAGATTTCAAGCGCTTCGATGCCAATGGTAGAAAAGGAAATATCTTCGTATAAAAACAAGACAAACTCGTTCCCAGACACTGCGTAGTGATGTGTGTGTTTAACTCACAGAGTTTCACCTTTCTTTTCATACAGCATTCTGGAAACCCTCTGTTTGTAAAGTCTGCAAGTGGATATTTGGACCTCTTAGATGCCTTCGTTGGAAACGGGATTTCTTCATATAATGCTAGAGGGAAGAATTCTTAGTAACTTCTTTGTGTTGTGTGTATTCAACTGACAGAGTTGAACCTTCCTTTAGACAGAGCAGATTTGAAAGTCTCTTTTTGTGGAATTTGCAAGTGGAGATTTCAAGCGCTTTGAGGCCAAAAGCAGAAAAGGATATATTTTCCTATAAAAACTAGACAGAATCTTTCTCAGAAACTGCTCTGGGATGTGTGCGTTCAACTCACAGAGTTTAACTTTTCTTTTCATTCAGCAGTTTGGAAACACTCTGTTTGGAAAGTCTGCACGTGGATATTTTGACCTCTTTGAGGCCTTCGTTGGAAACGGGTTTTTTTCATGTAACGCTAGACAGAAGAAATCTCAGTAACTTCCTTGTGTTGTGTGTATTCAACTGACAGAGTTGAACCTTCCTTTAGACAGAGCAGATTTGAAACACTCTTTTTGTGGAATTTGCAAGTGGAGATTTCAAGCGCTTTGAGGCCAAAAGCAGAAAAGGAAATATTTTCCTATAAAAACTAGACAGAATCTTTCTCAGAAACTGCTCTGTGATGTGTGCGTTCAACTCACAGAGTTTAACTTTTCTTTTCATTCAGCAGTTTGGAAACACTCTGTTTGTAAAGTCTGCAAGTGGATATCTTGGCCTCTTAGAGGCCTTCGTTGGAAACGGGTTTTTTCATGTAAGGATAGACAGAGGAATTCCCAGTAACTTCCTTGTGTTGTGTGCATTCAACTCACAGAGTTGAATGATTCTTTACACAGAGCAGATTTGAGACACTCTTTTGGTGGAATTTGTAAGTGGAGAATTCAGCCGCTTTGAGGTCAACGGTAGAAAAGGAAATATCTTCGAATAAAAACTAGACAGAATGATTCTCAGAAACTGTTTTGTGATGTGTGCGTTCAACTCACAGAGTTTAACCTTTCTTTTCAAAGAGCAGTTAGGAAACACTCTGTTTGTAAAGTCTGCAAGTGGATATTCAGACCTCTTTGAGGCCTTCGTTGGAAACGGGATTTCTTCATATTATGCTAGACAGATGAATTCTCAGTAACTTCCTTGTGTTGTGTGTATTCAACTCACAGAGTTAAACGATCCTTTACACAGAGCAGATTTGAAACACTGTTTTTCTGGAATTTGCAAGTGGAGATTTCAGCCGCTTTGAGGTCAATGGTAGAAAAGGAAATATCTTCGTATAAAAACTAGACAGAATGATTCTCAGAAACTCCTTTGTGATATGTGCGTTCAACCCACAGAGTTTAACCTTTCTTTTCACAGAGCAGTTAGGAAACACTCTGTGAAGCCTGCCAGTGGATATTCGGACCTCTTTGAGGCCTTCGTTGGAAACGGGATTTCTTCATATTATGCTAGACAGAAGATTTCTCAGTAACTTCTTTGTGTTGTGTGTATGCAACTCACAGAGTTCAACCTTCCTTTAGACAGAGCAGATTTGAAACACTCTTTTTGTGGAATTTGCAAGTGGAGATTTCAAGCGCTTCAATGCCAATGGTAGAAAAGGAAATATCTTCGTATAAAAACAAGACAAACTCGTTCCCAGACACTGCGTAGTGATGTGTGTGTTTAACTCACAGAGTTTAACCTTTCTTTTCATACAGCATTCTGGAAACCCTGTGTTTGTAAAGTCTGCAAGTGGATATTTGGACCTCTTAGATGCCTTCGTTGGAAACGGGATTTCTTCATATAATGCTAGAGGGAAGAATTCTTAGTAACTTCTTTGTGTTGTGTGTATTCAACTGACAGAGTTGAACCTTCCTTTAGACAGAGCAGATTTGAAAGTCTCTTTTTGTGGAATTTGCAAGTGGAGATTTCAAGCTCTTTGAGGCCAAAAGCAGAAAAGGAAATATTTTCCTATAAAAACTCGACAGAATCTTTCTCAGAAACTGCTCTGGGATGTGTGCGTTCAACTCACAGAGTTTAACTTTTCTTTTCATTCAGCAGTTTGGAAACACTCTGTTTGGAAAGTCTGCACGTGGATATTTTGACCTCTTTGAGGCCTTCGTTGGAAACGGGTTTTTTTCATGTAAGGCTAGACAGAAGAAATCTCAGTAACTTCCTTGTGTTGTGTGTATTCAACTGACAGAGTTGAACCTTCCTTTAGACAGAGCAGATTCGAAACACTCTTTTTCTGCAATTTGCAAGTGGAGACTTCAAGCGCTTTGAGGCCAAAGGCAGAAAAGGAAATATCTTCGTATAAAAACCCGACAGAATCATTCTCAGAAACTGCTCTGTGATGTGTGCGTTCAACTCACAGAGTTTAACTTTTCTTTTCATTCAGCAGTTTGGAAACACTGTGTTTGTAAAGTCTGCAAGTGGATATCTTGGCCTCTTAGAGGCCTTCGTTGGAAACGGGTTTTTTCATGTAAGGTTAGACAGAGGAATTCCCAGTAACTTCCTTGTGTTGTGTGCATTCAACTCACAGAGTTGAATGATTCTTTACACAGAGCAGATTTGAGACACTCTTTTGGTGGAATTTGTAAGTGGAGAATTCAGCCGCTTTGAGGTCAACGGTAGAAAAGGAAATATCTTCGTATAAAAACTAGACAGAATGATTCTCAGAAACTGTTTTGTGATGTGTGCGTTCAACTCACAGAGTTTAACCTTTCTTTTCAAAGAGCAGTTAGGAAACACTCTGTTTGTAAAGTCTGCAAGAGGATATTCAGACCTCTTTGAGGCCTTCGTTGGAAACGGGATTTCTTCATATTATGCTAGACAGATGAATTCTCAGTAACTTCCTTGTGTTGTGTGTATTCAACTCACAGAGTTGAACGATCCTTTACACAGAGCAGATTTGAAACACTGTTTTTCTGGAATTTGCAAGTGGAGATTTCAGCCGCTTTGAGGTCAATGGTAGAAAAGGAAATATCTTCGTATAAAAACTAGACAGAATGATTCTCAGAAACTCCTTTGTGATGTGTGCGTTCAACTCACAGAGTTTAACCTTTCTTTTCACAGAGCAGTTAGGAAACACTCTGTTTGTGAAGCCTGCCAGTGGATATTCGGACCTCTTTCAGGCCTTCGTTGGAAACGGGATTTCTTCATATTATGCTAGACAGAAGATTTCTCAGTAACTTCTTTGTGTTGTGTGTATGCAACTCACAGAGTTCAACCTTCCTTTAGACAGAGCAGATTTGAAACACTCTTTTTGTGGAATTTGCAAGTGGAGATTTCAAGCGCTTCGATGCCAATGGTAGAAAAGGAAATATCTTCGTATAAAAACAAGACAAACTCGTTCCCAGACACTGCGTAGTGATGTGTGTGTTTAACTCACAGAGTTTCACCTTTCTTTTCATACAGCATTCTGGAAACCCTCTGTTTGTAAAGTCTGCAAGTGGATATTTGGACCTCTTAGATGCCTTCGTTGCAAACGGGATTTCTTCATATAATGCTAGAGGGAAGAATTCTTAGTAACTTCTTTGTGTTGTGTGTATTCAACTGACAGAGTTGAACCTTCCTTTAGACAGAGCAGATTTGAAAGTCTCTTTTTGTGGAATTTGCAAGTGGAGATTTCAAGCGCTTTGAGGCCAAAAGCAGAAAAGGAAATATTTTCCTATAAAAACTCGACAGAATCTTTCTCAGAAACTGCTCTGGGATGTGTGCGTTCAACTCACAGAGTTTAACTTTTCTTTTCATTCAGCAGTTTGGAAACACTCTGTTTGGAAAGTCTGCACGTGGATATTTTGACCTCTTTGAGGCCTTCGTTGGAAACGGGTTTTTTTCATGTAAGGCTAGACAGAAGAAATCTCAGTAACTTCCTTGTGTTGTGTGTATTCAACTGACAGAGTTGAACCTTCCTTTAGACAGAGCAGATTCGAAACACTCTTTTTCTGCAATTTGCAAGTGGAGACTTCAAGCGCTTTGAGGCCAAAGGCAGAAAAGGAAATATCTTCGTATAAAAACCCGACAGAATCATTCTCAGAAACTGCTCTGTGATGTGTGCGTTCAACTCACAGAGTTTAACTTTTCTTTTCATTCAGCAGTTTGGAAACACTCTGTTTGTAAAGTCTGCAAGTGGATATCTTGGCCTCTTAGAGGCCTTCATTGGAAACGGGTTTTTTCATGTAAGGTTAGACAGAGGAATTCCCAGTAACTTCCTTGTGTTGTGTGGATTCAACGCACAGATTTGAATGATTCTTTACACAGAGCAGATTTGAGACACTCTTTTGGTGGAATTTGTAAGTGGAGAATTCAGCCGCTTTGAGGTCAATGGTAGAAAAGGAAATATCTTCGTATAAAAACTAGACAGAATGATTCTCAGAAACTGCTCTGTGATGTGTGCGTTCAACTCACAGAGTTTAACCTTTCTTTTCCAAGAGCAGTTAGGAAACACTCTGTTTTTGAAGTCTGCAAGTGGATATTCGGACCTCTTTGAGGCCTTCTTTAGAAACGGGATTTCTTCGTATTATGCTAGACAGAAGAATTCTCAGTAACTTCCTTGTGTTGTGTGTATTCAACTCACAGAGGTGAACGACCCTTTACACAAAGCAGATTTGAAACCCTCTTTTTCTGGAATTTGCAAGTGGGGATTTCAGCCTCTTTGAGGTCAATGGTAGAAAAGGAAATATCTTCGTATAAAAACTAGACAGAAATGATTCTCAGAAACTCCTTTGTGATGTGTGCGTTCAACTCACAGAGTTTAACCTTTCTTTTCACAGAGCAGTTAGGAAACACTCTGTTTGTGAAGCCTGCCAGTGGATATTCGGACCTCTTTGAGGCCTTCGTTGGAAACGGGATTTCTTCATATTATGCTATTCAGAAGATTTCTCAGTAACTTCTTTGTGTTGTGTGTATGCAACTCACAGAGTTCAACCTTCCTTTAGACAGAGCAGATTTGAAACACTCTTTTTGTGGAATTTGCAAGTGGAGATTTCAAGCGCTTCGATGCCAATGGTAGAAAAGGAAATATCTTCGTATAAAAACAAGACAAACTCGTTCCCAGACACTGCGTAGTGATGTGTGTGTTTAACTCACAGAGTTTAACCTTTCTTTTCATACAGCATTCTGGAAACCCTCTGTTTGTAAAGTCTGCAAGTGGATATTTGGACCTCTTAGATGCCTTCGTTGGGAACGGGATTTCTTCATATAATGCTAGAGGGAAGAATTCTTAGTAACTTCTTTGTGTTGTGTGTATTCAACTGACAGAGTTGAACCTTCCTTTAGACAGAGCAGATTTGAAAGTCTCTTTTTGTGGAATTTGCAAGTGGAGATTTCAAGCGCTTTGAGGCCAAAAGCAGAAAAGGAAATATTTTCCTATAAAAACTAGAGAGAATCATTCTCAGAAACTGCTCTGTGATGTGTGTGTTCAACTCACAGAGTTTAACTTTCTTTTCATTCAGCAGTTTGGAAACACTCTGTTTGGAAAGTCTGCACGTGGATATTTTGACCTCTTTGAGGCCTTCGTTGGAAACGGGTTTTTTTCATGTAAGGCTAGACAGAAGAAATCTCAGTAACTTCCTTGTGTTGTGTGTATTCAACTGACAGAGTTGAACCTTCCTTTAGACAGAGCAGATTCGAAACACTCTTTTTCTGCAATTTGCAAGTGGAGACTTCAAGCGCTTTGAGGCCAAAGGCAGAAAAGGAAATATCTTCGTATAAAAACCCGACAGAATCATTCTCAGAAACTGCTCTGTGATGTGTGCGTTCAACTCACAGAGTTTAACTTTTCTTTTCATTCAGCAGTTTGGAAACACTCTGTTTGTAAAGTCTGCAAGTGGATATCTTGGACTCTTAGAGGCCTTCGTTGGAAACGGGTTTTTTCATGTAAGGTTAGACAGAGGAATTCCCAGTAACTTCCTTGTGTTGTGTGCATTCAACTCACAGAGTTGAATGATTCTTTACACAGAGCAGATTTGAGACACTCTTTTGGTGGAATTTGTAAGTGGAGAATTCAGCTGCTTTGAGGTCAACAGTAGAAAAGGAAATATCTTCGTATAAAAACTAGACAGAATGATTCTCAGAAAGTGTTTTGTGATGTGTGCGTTCAACTCACAGAGTTTAACCTTTCTTTTCAAAGAGCAGTTAGGAAACACTCTGTTTGTAAAGTCTGCAAGTGGATATTCAGACCACTTTGAGGCCTTCGTTGGAAACGGGATTTCTTCATATTATGCTAGACAGATGAATTCTCAGTAACTTCCTTGTGTTGTGTGTATTCAACTCACAGAGTTAAACGATCCTTTACACAGAGCAGATTTGAAACACTGTTTTTCTGGAATTTGCAAGTGGAGATTTCAGCTGCTTTGAGGTCAATGGTAGAAAAGGAAATATCTTCGTATAAAAACTAGACAGAATGATTCTCAGAAACTCCTTTGTGATGTGTGCGTTCAACTCACAGAGTTTAACCTTTCTTTTCACAGAGCAGTTAGGAAACACTCTGTTTGTGAAGCCTGCCAGTGGATATTCGGACCTCTTTGAGGCCTTCGTTGGAAACGGGATTTCTTCATATTATGCTAGACAGAAGATTTCTCAGTAACTTCTTTGTGTTGTGTGTATGCAACTCACAGAGTTCAACCTTCCTTTAGACAGAGCAGATTTGAAACACTCTTTTTGTGGAATTTGCAAGTGGAGATTTCAAGCGCTTCGATGCCAATGGTAGAAAAGGAAATATCTTCGTATAAAAACAAGACAAACTCGTTCCCAGACACTGCGTAGTGATGTGTGTGTTTAACTCACAGAGTTTAACCTTTCTTTTCATACAGCATTCTGGAAACCCTGTGTTTGTAAAGTCTGCAAGTGGATATTTGGACCTCTTAGATGCCTTCGTTGGAAACGGGATTTCTTCATATAATGCTAGAGGGAAGAATTCTTAGTAACTTCTTTGTGTTGTGTGTATTCAACTGACAGAGTTGAACCTTCCCTTTAGACAGAGCAGATTTGAAAGTCTCTTTTTGTGGAATTTGCAAGTGGAGATTTCAAGCGCTTTGAGGCCAAAAGCAGAAAAGGAAATATTTTCCTATAAAAACTCGACAGAATCTTTCTCAGAAACTGCTCTGGGATGTGTGCGTTCAACTCACAGAGTTTAACTTTTCTTTTCATTCAGCAGTTTGGAAACACTCTGTTTGGAAAGTCTGCACGTGGATATTTTGACCTCTTTGAGGCCTTCGTTGGAAACGGGTTTTTTTCATGTAAGGCTAGACAGAAGAAATCTCAGTAACTTCCTTGTGTTGTGTGTATTCAACTGACAGAGTTGAACCTTCCTTTAGACAGAGCAGATTCGAAACACTCTTTTTCTGCAATTTGCAAGTGGAGACTTCAAGCGCTTTGAGGCCAAAGGCAGAAAAGGAAATATCTTCGTATAAAAACCCGACAGAATCATTCTCAGAAACTGCTCTGTGATGTGTGCGTTCAACTCACAGAGTTTAACTTTTCTTTTCATTCAGCAGTTTGGAAACACTCTGTTTGTAAAGTCTGCAAGTGGATATCTTGGCCTCTTAGAGGCCTTCGTTGGAAACGGGTTTTTTCATGTAAGGTTAGACAGAGGAATTCCCAGTAACTTCCTTGTGTTGTGTGCATTCAACTCACAGAGTTGAATGATTCTTTACAAAGAGCAGATTTGAGACTCTCTTTTGGTGGAATTTGTAAGTGGAGAATTCAGCCGCTTTGAGGTCAACGGTAGAAAAGGAAATATCTTCGTATAAAAACTAGACAGAATGATTCTCAGAAACTGTTTTGTGATGTGTGCGTTCAACTCACAGAGTTTAACCTTTCTTTTCAAAGAGCAGTTAGGAAACACTCTGTTTGTAAAGTCTGCAAGTGGATATTCAGACCTCTTTGAGGCCTTCGTTGGAAACGGGATTTCTTCATATTATGCTAGACAGATGAATTCTCAGTAATTTCCTTGTGTTGTGTGTATTCAACTCACAGAGTTGAACGATCCTTTACACAGAGCAGATTTGAAACACTGTTTTTCTGGAATTTGCAAGTGGAGATTTCAGCCGCTTTGCGTCAATGGTAGAAAAAGAAATATCTTCGTATAAAAACTAGACAGAATGATTCTCAGAAACTCCTTTGTGATGTGTGCGTTCAACTCACAGAGTTTAACCTTTCTTTTCACAGAGCAGTTAGGAAACACTCTGTTTGTGAAGCCTGCCAGTGGATATTCGGACCTCTTTGAGGCCTTCGTTGGAAACGGGATTTCTTCATATTATGCTAGACAGAAGATTTCTCAGTAACTTCTTTGTGTTGTGTGTATGCAACTCACAGAGTTCAACCTTCCTTTAGACAGAGCAGATTTGAAACACTCTTTTTGTGGAATTTGCAAGTGGAAATTTCAAGCGCATCGATGCCAATGGTAGAAAAGGAAATATCTTCGTATAAAAACAAGACAAACTCGTTCCCAGACACTGCGTAGTGATGTGTGTGTTTAACTCACAGAGTTTAACCTTTCTTTTCATACAGCATTCTGGAAACCCTCTGTTTGTAAAGTCTGCAAGTGGATATTTGGACCTCTTAGATGCCTTCGTTGGAAACGGGATTTCCTCATATAATGCTAGAGGGAAGAATTCTTAGTAACTTCTTTGTGTTGTGTGTATTCAACTGACAGAGTTGAACCTTCCTTTAGACAGAGCAGATTTGAAAGTCTCTTTTTGTGGAATTTGCAAGTGGAGATTTCAAGCGCTTTGAGGCCAAAAGCAGAAAAGGAAATATTTTCCTATAAAAACTAGACAGAATCTTTCTCAGAAACTGCTCTGGGATGTGTGCGTTCAACTCACAGAGTTTAACTTTTCTTTTCATTCAGCAGTTTGGAAACACTCTGTTTGGAAAGTCTGCACGTGGATATTTTGACCTCTTTGAGGCCTTCGTTGGAAACGGGTGTTTTTCATGTAAGGCTAGACAGAAGAAATCTCAGTAACTTCCTTGTGTTGTGTGTATTCAACTGACAGAGTTGAACCTTCCTTTAGACAGAGCAGATTCGAAACACTCTTTTTCTGCAATTTGCAAGTGGAGACTTCAAGCGCTTTGAGGCCAAAGGCAGAAAAGGAAATATCTTCGTATAAAAACCCGACAGAATCATTCTCAGAAACTGCTCTGTGATGTGTGCGTTCAACTCACAGAGTTTAACTTTTCTTTTCATTCAGCAGTTTGGAAACACTCTGTTTGTAAAGTCTGCAAGTGGATATCTTGGCCTCTTAGAGGCCTTCGTTGGAAACGGGTTTTTTCATGTAAGGATAGACACAGGAATTCCCAGTAACTTCCTTGTGTTGTGTGCATTCAACTCACAGAGTTGAATGATTCTTTACACAGAGCAGATTTGAGACACTCTTTTGGTGGAATTTGTAAGTGGAGAATTCAGCCGCTTTGAGGTCAACGGTAGAAAAGGAAATATCTTCGTATAAAAACTAGACAGAATGATTCTCAGAAACTGTTTTGTGATGTGTGCGTTCAACTCACAGAGTTTAACCTTTCTTTTCAAAGAGCAGTTAGGAAACACTCTGTTTGTAAAGTCTGCAAGAGGATATTCAGACCTCTTTGAGGCCTTCGTTGGAAACGGGATTTCTTCATATTATGCTAGACAGAGGAATTCCCAGTAACTTTCCTTGTGTTGTGTGCATTCAACTCACAGAGTTGAATGATTCTTTACACAGAGCAGTTTTGAGACACTCTTTTGGTGGAATTTGTAAGTGGAGAATTCAGCCGCTTTGAGGTCAACGGTAGAAAAGGAAATATCTTCGTATAAAAACTAGACAGAATGATTCTCAGAAACTGTTTTGTGATGTGTGCGTTCAACTCACAGAGTTTAACCTTTCTTTTCAAAGAGCAGTTAGGAAACACTCTGTTTGTAAAGTCTGCAAGAGGATATTCAGACCTCTTTGAGGCCTTCGTTGGAAACGGGATTTCTTCATATTATGCTAGACAGATGAATTCTCAGTAACTTCCTTGTGTTGTGTGTATTCAACTCACAGAGTTGAACGATCCTTTACACAGAGCAGATTTGAAACACTGTTTTTCTGGAATTTGCAAGTGGAGATTTCAGCCGCTTTGAGGTCAATGGTAGAAAAGGAAATATCTTCTGTATAAAAACTAGACAGAATGATTCTCAGAAACTCCTTTGTGATGTGTGCGTTCAACTCACAGAGTTTAACCTTTCTTTTCACAGAGCAGTTAGGAAACACTCTGTTTGTGAAGCCTGCCAGTGGATATTCGGACCTCTTTGAGGCCTTCGTTGGAAACGGGATTTCTTCATATTATGATAGACAGAAGATTTCTCAGTAACTTCTTTGTGTTGTGTGTATGCAACTCACAGAGTTCAACCTTCCTTTAGACAGAGCAGATTTGAAACACTCTTTTTGTGGAATTTGCAAGTGGAGATTTCAAGCGCTTCGATGCCAATGGTAGAAAAGGAAATATCTTCGTATAAAAACAAGACAAAATCATTCCCAGAATCTGCGTAGTGATGTGTGTGTTTAACTCAAAGAGTTTAACCTTTCTTTTCATACAGCATTCTGGGAACACTCTGTTTGTAAAGTCTGCAAGTGGATATTTGGACCGCTTAGATGTCTTCATTGGAAACGGGATTTCTTCATATAATGTTAGAGGGAAGAATTCTTAGTAACTTCTTTGTGTTGTGTGTATTCAACTGACAGAGTTGAACCTTCCTTTAGACAGAGCAGATTTGAAAGTCTCTTTTTGTGGAATTTGCAAGTGGAGATTTCAAGCGCTTTGAGGCCAAAAGCAGAAAAGGAAATATTTTCCTATAAAAACTCGACAGAATCTTTCTCAGAAACTGCTCTGGGATGTGTGCGTTCAACTCACAGAGTTTAACTTTTCTTTTCATTCAGCAGTTTGGAAACACTCTGTTTGGAAAGTCTGCACGTGGATATTTTGACCTCTTTGAGGCCTTCGTTGGAAACGGGTTTTTTTCATGTAAGGCTAGACAGAAGAAATCTCAGTAACTTCCTTGTGTTGTGTGTATTCAACTGACAGAGTTGAACCTTCCTTTAGACAGAGCAGATTCGAAACACTCTTTTTCTGCAATTTGCAAGTGGAGACTTCAAGCGCTTTGAGGCCAAAGGCAGAAAAGGAAATATCTTCGTATAAAAACCCGACAGAATCATTCTCAGAAACTGCTCTGTGATGTGTGCGTTCAACTCACAGAGTTTAACTTTTCTTTTCATTCAGCAGTTTGGAAACACTCTGTTTGTAAAGTCTGCAAGTGGATATCTTGGCCTCTTAGAGGCCTTCGTTGGAAACGGGTTTTTTCATGTAAGGATAGACAGAGGAATTCCCAGTAACTTTCCTTGTGTTGTGTGCATTCAACTCACAGAGTTGAATGATTCTTTACACAGAGCACATTTGAGACACTCTTTTGGTGGAATTTGTAAGTGGAGAATTCAGCCGCTTTGAGGTCAACGGTAGAAAAGGAAATATCTTCGTATAAAAACTAGACAGAATGATTCTCAGAAACTGTTTTGTGATGTGTGCGTTCAACTCACAGAGTTTAACCTTTCTTTTCAAAGAGCAGTTAGGAAACACTCTGTAAAGTCTGCAAGTGGATATTCAGACCTCTTTGAGGCCTTCGTTGGAAACGGGATTTCTTCATATAATGCTAGAGGGATGAATTCTCAGTAACTTCCTTGTGTTGTGTGTATTCAACTCACAGAGTTGAACGATCCTTTACACAGAGCAGATTTGAAACACTGTTTTTCTGGAATTTGCAAGTGGAGATTTCAGCCGCTTTGAGGTCAATGGTAGAAAAGGAAATATCTTCGTATAAAAACTAGACAGAATGATTCTCAGAAACTCCTTTGTGATGTGTGCGTTCAACTCACAGAGTTTAACCTTTCTTTTCACAGAGCAGTTAGGAAACACTCTGTTTGTGAAGCCTGCCAGTGGATATTCGGACCTCTTTGAGGCCTTCGTTGGAAACGGGATTTCTTCATATTATGCTAGACAGAAGATTTCTCAGTAACTTCTTTGTGTTGTGTGTATACAGCTCACAGAGTTCAACCTTCCTTTAGACAGAGCAGATTTGAAACACTCTTTTTGTGGAATTTGCAAGTGGAAATTTCAAGCGCTTCGATGCCAATGGTAGAAAAGGAAATATCTTCGTATAAAAACAAGACAAACTCGTTCCCAGACACTGCGTAGTGATGTGTGTGTTTAACTCACAGAGTTTAACCTTTCTTTTCATACAGCATTCTGGAAACCCTCTGTTTGTAAAGTCTGCAAGTCGATATTTGGACCTCTTAGATGCCTTCGTTGGAAACGGGATTTCTTCATATAATGCTAGAGGGAAGAATTCTTAGTAACTTCTTTGTGTTGTGTGTATTCAACTGACAGAGTTGAACCTTCCTTTAGACAGAGCAGATTTGAAAGTCTCTTTTTGTGGAATTTGCAAGTGGAGATTTCAAGCGCTTTGAGGCCAAAAGCAGAAAAGGAAATATTTTCTAATAAAAACTAGACAGAATCTTTCTCAGAAACTGCTCTGGGATGTGTGCGTTCAACTCACAGAGTTTAACTTTTCTTTTCATTCAGCAGTTTGGAAACACTCTGTTTGGAAAGTCTGCACGTGGATATTTTGACCTCTTTGAGGCCTTCGTTGGAAACGGGTTTTTTTCATGTAAGGCTAGACAGAAGAAATCTCAGTAACTTCCCTTGTGTTGTGTGTATTCAACTGACAGAGTTGAACCTTCCTTTAGACAGAGCAGATTCGAAACGCTCTTTTTCTGCAATTTGCAAGTGGAGACTTCAAGCGCTTTGAGGCCAAAGGCAGAAAAGGAAATATCTTCGTATAAAAACCCGACAGAATCATTCTCAGAAACTGCTCTGTGATGTGTGCGTTCAACTCACAGAGTTTAACTTTTCTTTTCATTCAGCAGTTTGGAAACACTCTGTTTGTAAAGTCTGCAAGTGGATATCTTGGCCTCTTAGAGGCCTTCGTTGGAAACGGGTTTTTTCATGTAAGGTTAGACAGAGGAATTCCCAGTAACTTCCTTGTGTTGTGTGCACTCAACTCAGAGAGTTGAATGATTCTTTACACAGAGCAGATTTGAGACACTCTTTTGGTGGAATTTGTAAGTGGAGAATTCAGCCGCTTTGAGGTCAACGGTAGAAAAGGAAATATCTTCGTATAAAAACTAGACAGAATGATTCTCAGAAACTGTTTTGTGATGTGTGCGTTCAACTCACAGAGTTTAACCTTTCTTTTCAAAGAGCAGTTAGGAAACACTCTGTTTGTAAAGTCTGCAAGTGGATATTCAGACCTCTTTGAGGCCTTCGTTGGAAACGGGATTTCTTCATATTATGCTAGACAGATGAATTCTCAAGTAACTTCCTTGTGTTGTGTGTATTCAACTCACAGAGTTGAACGATCCTTTACACAGAGCAGATTTGAAACACTCTTTTTCTGGAATTTGCAAGTGGAGATTTCAGCCGCTTTGAGGTCAATGGTAGAAAAGGAAATATCTTCGTATAAAAACTAGACAGAATGATTCTCAGAAACTCCTTTGTGATGTGTGCGTTCAACTCACAGAGTTTAACCTTTCTTTTCTCAGAGCAGTTAGGAAACACTCTGTGAAGTCTGCCAGTGGATATTCGGACCTCTTTGAGGCCTTCGTTGGAAACGGGATTTCTTCATATTATGCTAGACAGATTTCTCAGTAACTACTTTGTGTTGTGTGTATGCAACTCACAGAGTTCATCCTGCCTTTAGACAGAGCAGATTTGAAACACTCTTTTTGTGGAATTTGCAAGTGGAGATTTCAAGCGCTTCGACGCCAATGGTCGAAAAGGAAATATCTTCGTATAAAAACAAGACAAACTCGTTCCCAGTACACTGCGTAGTGATGTGTGTGTTTAACTCACAGAGTTTAACCTTTCTTTTCATACAGCATTCTGGAAACCCTCTGTTTGTAAAGTCTGCAAGTGGATATTTGGACCTCTTAGATGCCTTCGTTGGAAACGGGATTTCCTCATATAATGCTAGAGGGAAGAATTCTTAGTAACTTCTTTGTGTTGTGTGTATTCAACTGACAGAGTTGAACCTTCCTTTAGACAGAGCAGATTTGAAAGTCTCTTTTTGTGGAATTTGCAAGTGGAGATTTCAAGCGCTTTGAGGCCAAAAGCAGAAAAGGAAATATTTTCCTATAAAAACTAGACAGAATCATTCTCAGAAACTGCTCTGTGATGTGTGTGTTCAACTCACAGAGTTTAACTTTCTTTTCATTCAGCAGTTTGGAAACACTCTGTTTGGAAAGTCTGCACGTGGATATTTTGACATCTTTGAGGCCTTCGTTGGAAACGGGTTTTTTTAATGTAACGCTAGACAGAAGAAATCTCAGTAACTTCCTTGTGTTGTGTGTATTCAACTGACAGAGTTGAACCTTCCTTTAGACAGAGCAGATTCGAAACACTCTTTTTCTGCAATTTGCAAGTGGAGACTTCAAGCGCTTTGAGGCCAAAGGCAGAAAAGGAAATATCTTCGTATAAAAACCCGACAGAATCATTCTCAGAAACTGCTCTGTGATGTGTGCGTTCAACTCACAGAGTTTAACTTTTCTTTTCATTCAGCAGTTTGGAAACACTCTGTTTGTAAAGTCTGCAAGTGGATATCTTGGCCTCTTAGAGGCCTTCGTTGGAAACGGGTTTTTTCATGTAAGGTTAGACAGAGGAATTCCCAGTAACTTCCTTGTGTTGTGTGCATTCAACTCACAGAGTTGAATGATTCTTTACACAGAGCAGATTTGAGACACTGTTGGTGGAATTTGTAAGTGGAGAATTCAGCCGCTTTGAGGTCAATGGTAGAAAAGGAAATATCTTCGTATAAAAACTAGACAGAATGATTCTCAGAAACTGTTTTGTGATGTGTGCGTTCAACTCACAGAGTTTAACCTTTCTTTTCAAAGAGCAGTTAGGAAACACTCTGTTTGTAAAGTCTGCAAGTGGATATTCAGACCTCTTTGAGGCCTTCGTTGGAAACGGGATTTCTTCATATTATGCTAGACAGATGAATTCTCAGTAACTTCCTTGTGTTGTGTGTATTCAACTCACAGAGTTGAACGATCCTTTACACAGAGCAGATTTGAAACACTGTTTTTCTGGAATTTGCAAGTGGAGATTTCAGCCGCTTTGAGGTCAATGGTAGAAAAGGAAATATCTTCGTATAAAACCTAGACAGAATGATTCTCAGAAACTCCTTTGTGATGTGTGCGTTCAACTCACAGAGTTTAACCTTTCTTTTCACAGAGCAGTTAGGAAACACTCTGTTTGTGAAGCCTGCCAGTGGATATTCGGACCTCTTTGAGGCCTTCGTTGGAAACGGGATTTCTTCATATTATGCTAGACAGAAGATTTCTCAGTAACTTCTTTGTGTTGTGTGTATGCAACTCACAGAGTTCAACCTTCCTTTAGACAGAGCAGATTTGAAACACTCTTTTTGTGGAATTTGCAAGTGGAGATTTCAAGCGCTTCGATGCCAATGGTAGAAAAGGAAATATCTTCGTATAAAAACAAGACAAACTCGTTCCCAGACACTGCGTAGTGATGTGTGTGTTTAACTCACAGAGTTTAACCTTTCTTTTCATACAGCATTCTGGAAACCCTCTGTTTGTAAAGTCTGCAAGTGGATATTTGGACCTCTTAGATGCCTTCGTTGGAAACGGGATTTCTTCATATAATGCTAGAGGGAAGAATTCTTAGTAACTTCTTTGTGTTGTGTGTATTCAACTGACAGAGTTGAACCTTCCTTTAGACAGAGCAGATTTGAAAGTCTCTTTTTGTGGAATTTGCAAGTGGAGATTTCAAGCGCTTTGAGGCCAAAAGCAGAAAAGGAAATATTTTCCTATAAAAACTCGACAGAATCTTTCTCAGAAACTGCTCTGGGATGTGTGCGTTCAACTCACAGAGTTTAACTTTTCTTTTCATTCAGCAGTTTGGAAACACTCTGTTTGGAAAGTCTGCACGTGGATATTTTGACCTCTTTGAGGCCTTCGTTGGAAACGGGTTTTTTTCATGTAAGGCTAGACAGAAGAAATCTCAGTAACTTCCTTGTGTTGTGTGTATTCAACTGACAGAGTTGAACCTTCCTTTAGACAGAGCAGATTCGAAACACTCTTTTTCTGCAATTTGCAAGTGGAGACTTCAAGCGCTTTGAGGCCAAAGGCAGAAAAGGAAATATCTTCGTATAAAAACCCGACAGAATCATTCTCAGAAACTGCTCTGTGATGTGTGCGTTCAACTCACAGAGTTTAACTTTTCTTTTCATTCAGCAGTTTGGAAACACTCTGTTTGTAAAGTCTGCAAGTGGATATCTTGGCCTCTTAGAGGCCTTCGTTGGAAACGGGTTTTTTCATGTAAGGTTAGACAGAGGAATTCCCAGTAACTTCCTTGTGTTGTGTGCATTCAACTCACAGAGTTGAATGATTCTTTACAGAGAGCAGATTTGAGACACTCTTTTGGTGGAATTTGAAAGTGGAGAATTCAGCCGCTTTGAGGTCAACGGTAGAAAAGGAAATATCTTCGTATAAAAACTAGACAGAATGATTCTCAGAAACTGTTTTGTGATGTGTGCGTTCAACTCACAGAGTTTAACCTTTCTTTTCAAAGAGCAGTTAGGAAACACTCTGTTTGTAAAGTCTGCAAGTGGATATTCAGACCTCTTTGAGGCCTTCGTTGGAAACGGGATTTCTTCATATTATGCTAGACAGATGAATTCTCAGTAACTTCCTTGTGTTGTGTGTATTCAACTCACAGAGTTAAACGATCCTTTACACAGAGCAGATTTGAAAAACTGTTTTTCTGGAATTTGCAAGTGGAGATTTCAGCCGCTTTGAGGTCAATGGTAGAAAAGGAAATATCTTCGTATAAAAACTAGACAGAATGATTCTCAGAAACTCCTTTGTGATGTGTGCGTTCAACTCACAGAGTTTAACCTTTCTTTTCACAGAGCAGTTAGGAAACACTCTGTTTGTGAAGCCTGCCAGTGGATATTCGGACCTCTTTGAGGCCTTCGTTGGAAACGGGATTTCTTCATATTATGCTAGACAGAAGATTTCTCAGTAACTTCTTTGTGTTGTGTGTATGCAACTCACAGAGTTCAACCTTCCTTTAGACAGAGCAGATTTGAAACACTCTTTTTGTGGAATTTGCAAGTGGAGATTTCAAGCGCTTCGATGCCAATGGTAGAAAAGGAAATATCTTCGTATAAAAACAAGACAAACTCGTTCCCAGACACTGCGTAGTGATGTGTGTGTTTAACTCACAGAGTTTCACCTTTCTTTTCATACAGCATTCTGGAAACCCTCTGTTTGTAAAGTCTGCAAGTGGATATTTGGACCTCTTAGATGCCTTCGTTGGAAACGGGATTTCTTCATATAATGCTAGAGGGAAGAATTCTTAGTAACTTCTTTGTGTTGTGTGTATTCAACTGACAGAGTTGAACCTTCCTTTAGACAGAGCAGATTTGAAAGTCTCTTTTTGTGGAATTTGCAAGTGGAGATTTCAAGCGCTTTGAGGCCAAAAGCAGAAAAGGAAATATTTTCCTATAAAACCTCGACAGAATCTTTCTCAGAAACTGCTCTGGGATGTGTGCGTTCAACTCACAGAGTTTAACTTTTCTTTTCATTCAGCGTTTGGAAACACTCTGTTTGGAAAGTCTGCCTTGGATATTTTGACCTCTTTGAGGCCTTCGTTGGAAACGGGTTTTTTTCATGTAAGGCTAGACAGAAGAAATCTCAGTAACTTCCTTGTGTTGTGTGTATTCAACTGACAGAGTTGAACCTTCCTTTAGACAGAGCAGATTCGAAACACTCTTTTTCTGCAATTTGCAAGTGGAGACTTCAAGCGCTTTGAGGCCAAAGGCAGAAAAGGAAATATCTTCGTATAAAAACCCGACAGAATCATTCTCAGAAACTGCTCTGTGATGTGTGCGTTCAACTCACAGAGTTTAACTTTTCTTTTCATTCAGCAGTTTGGAAACACTCTGTTTGTAAAGTCTGCAAGTGGATATCTTGGCCTCTTAGAGGCCTTCGTTGGAAACGGGTTTTTTCATGTAAGGTTAGACAGAGGAATTCCCAGTAACTTCCTTGTGTTGTGTGCATTCAACTCACAGAGTTGAATGATTCTTTACACAGAGCAGATTTGAGACACTGTTGGTGGAATTTGTAAGTGGAGAATTCAGCCGCTTTGAGGTCAACGGTAGAAAAGGAAATATCTTCGTATAAAAACTAGACAGAAATGATTCTCAGAAACTGTTTTGTGATGTGTGCGTTCAACTCACAGAGTTTAACCTTTCTTTTCAAAGAGCAGTTAGGAAACACTCTGTTTGTAAAGTCTGCAAGAGGATATTCAGACCTCTTTGAGGCCTTCGTTGGAAACGGGATTTCTTCATATTATGCTAGACAGATGAATTCTCAGTAACTTCCTTGTGTTGTGTGTATTCAACTCACAGAGTTGAACGATCCTTTACACAGAGCAGATTTGAAACACTGTTTTTCTGGAATTTGCAAGTGGAGATTTCAGCCGCTTTGAGGTCAATGGTAGAAAAGGAAATATCTTCGTATAAAAACTAGACAGAATGATTCTCAGAAACTCCTTTGTGATGTGTGCGTTCAACTCACAGAGTTTAACCTTTCTTTTCACAGAGCAGTTAGGAAACACTCTGTTTGTGAAGCCTGCCAGTGGATATTCGGACCTCTTTGAGGCCTTCGTTGGAAACGGGATTTCTTCATATTATGCTAGACAGAAGATTTCTCAGTAACTTCTTTGTGTTGTGTGTATGCAACTCACAGAGTTCAACCTTCCTTTAGACAGAGCAGATTTGAAACACTCTTTTTGTGGAATTTGCAAGTGGAGATTTCAAGCGCTTCGATGCCAATGGTAGAAAAGGAAATATCTTCGTATAAAAACAAGACAAACTCGTTCCCAAACACTGCGTAGTGATGTGTGTGTTTAACTCACAGAGTTTCACCTTTCTTTTCATACAGCATTCTGGAAACCCTGTGTTTGTAAAGTCTGCAAGTGGATATTTGGACCTCTTAGATGCCTTCGTTGCAAACGGGATTTCTTCATATAATGCTAGAGGGAAGAATTCTTAGTAACTTCTTTTTGTTGTGTGTATTCAACTGACAGAGTTGAAACTTCCTTTAGACAGAGCAGATTTGAAAGTCTCTTTTTGTGGAATTTGCAAGTGGAGATTTCAAGCGCTTTGAGGCCAAAAGCAGAAAAGGAAATATTTTCCTATAAAAATTAGACAGAATCTTTCTCAGAAACTGCTCTGGGATGTGTGCGTTCAACTCACAGAGTTTAACTTTTCTTTTCATTCAGCAGTTTGGAAACACTCTGTTTGGAAAGTCTGCACGTGGATATTTTGACCTCTTTGAGGCCTTCGTTGGAAACGGGTTTTTTTCATGTAAGGCTAGACAGAAGAAATCTCAGTAACTTCCTTGTGTTGTGTGTATTCAACTGACAGAGTTGAACCTTCCTTTAGACAGAGCAGATTCGAAACACTCTTTTTCTGCAATTTGCAAGTGGAGACTTCAAGCGCTTTGAGGCCAAAGGCAGAAAAGGAAATATCTTCGTATAAAAACCCGACAGAATCATTCTCAGAAACTGCTCTGTGATGTGTGCGTTCAACTCACAGAGTTTAACTTTTCTTTTCATTCAGCAGTTTGGAAACACTCTGTTTGTAAAGTCTGCAAGTGGATATCTTGGCCTCTTAGAGGCCTTCGTTGGAAACGGGTTTTTTCATGTAAGGATAGACAGAGGAATTCCCAGTAACTTCCTTGTGTTGTGTGCATTCAACTCACAGAGTTGAACGATTCTTTACACAGAGCAGATTTGAGACACTCTTTTGGTGGAATTTGTAAGTGGAGAATTCAGCCGCTTTGAGGTCAACGGTAGAAAAGGAAATATCTTCGTATAAAAACTAGACAGAATGATTCTCAGAAACTGTTTTGTGATGTGTGCGTTCAACTCACAGAGTTTAACCTTTCTTTTCAAAGAGCAGTTAGGAAACACTCTGTTTGTAAAGTCTGCAAGTGGATATTCAGACCTCTTTGAGGCCTTCGTTGGAAACGGGATTTCTTCATATTATGCTAGACAGATGAATTCTCAGTAACTTCCCTTGTGTTGTGTGTATTCAACTCACAGAGTTGAACGATCCTTTACACAGAGCAGATTTGAAACACTGTTTTTCTGGAATTTGCAAGTGGAGATTTCAGCCGCTTTGAGGTCAATGGTAGAAAAGGAAATATCTTCGTATAAAAACTAGACAGAATGATTCTCAGAAACTCCTTTGTGATGTGTGCGTTCAACTCACAGAGTTTAACCTTTCTTTTCACAGAGCAGTTAGGAAACACTCTGTTTGTGAAGCCTGCCAGTGGATAATCGGACCTCTTTGAGGCCTTCGTTGGAAACGGGATTTCTTCATATTATGCTAGACAGAAGATTTCTCAGTAACTTCTTTGTGTTGTGTGTATGCAACTCACAGAGTTCAACCTTCCTTTAGACAGAGCAGATTTGAAACACTCTTTTTGTGGAATTTGCAAGTGGAGATTTCAAGCGCTTCGATGCCAATGGTAGAAAAGGAAATATCTTCGTATAAAAACAAGACAAACTCGTTCCCAGACACTGCGTAGTGATGTGTGTGTTTAACTCACAGAGTTTAACCTTTCTTTTCATACAGCATTCTGGAAACCCTGTGTTTGTAAAGTCTGCAAGTGGATATTTGGACCTCTTAGATGCCTTCGTTGGAAACGGGATTTCTTCATATAATGCTAGAGGGAAGAATTCTTAGTAACTTCTTTGTGTTGTGTGTATTCAACTGACAGAGTTGAACCTTCCTTTAAACAGAGCAGATTTGAAAGTCTCTTTTTGTGGAATTTGCAAGTGGAGATTTCAAGCGCTTTGAGGCCAAAGGCAGAAAAGGAAATATTTTCCTATAAAAACTAGACAGAATCTTTCTCAGAAACTGCTCTGGGATGTGTGCGTTCAACTCACAGAGTTTAACTTTTCTTTTCATTCAGCAGTTTGGAAACACTCTGTTTGGAAAGTCTGCACGTGGATATTTTGACCTCTTTGAGGCCTTCGTTGGAAACGGGTGTTTTTCATGTAAGGCTAGACAGAAGAAATCTCAGTAACTTCCTTGTGTTGTGTGTATTCAACTGACAGAGTTGAACCTTCCTTTAGACAGAGCAGATTCGAAACACTCTTTTTCTGCAATTTGCAAGTGGAGACTTCAAGCGCTTTGAGGCCAAAGGCAGAAAAGGAAATATCTTCGTATAAAAACCCGACAGAATCATTCTCAGAAACTGCTCTGTGATGTGTGCGTTCAACTCACAGAGTTTAACTTTTCTTTTCATTCAGCAGTTTGGAAACACTCTGTTTGTAAAGTCTGCAAGTGGATATCTTGGCCTCTTAGAGGCCTTCGTTGGAAACGGGTTTTGTCATGTAAGGTTAGACAGAGGAATTCCCAGTAACTTCCTTGTGTTGTGTGCATTCAACTCACAGAGTTGAATGATTCTTTACACAGAGCAGATTTGAGACACTCTTTGGGTGGAATTTGTAAGTGGAGAATTCAGCCGCTTTGAGGTCAACGGTAGAAAAGGAAATATCTTCGTATAAAAACTAGACAGAATGATTCTCAGAAACTGTTTTGTGATGTGTGCGTTCAACTCACAGAGTTTAACCTTTCTTTTCAAAGAGCAGTTAGGAAACACTCTGTTTGTAAAGTCTGCAAGTGGATATTCAGACCTCTTTGAGGCCTTCGTTGGAAACGGGATTTCTTCATATTATGCTAGACAGATGAATTCTCAGTAACTTCCCTTGTGTTGTGTGTATTCAACTCACAGAGTTGAACGATCCTTTACACAGAGCAGATTTGAAACACTGTTTTTCTGGAATTTGCAAGTGGAGATTTCAGCCGCTTTGAGGTCAATGGTAGAAAAGGAAATATCTTCGTATAAAAACTAGACAGAATGATTCTCAGAAACTCCTTTGTGATGTGTGCGTTCAACTCACAGAGTTTAACCTTTCTTTTCACAGAGCAGTTAGGAAACACTCTGTTTGTGAAGCCTGCCAGTGGATATTCGGACCTCTTTGAGGCCTTCGTTGGAAACGGGATTTCTTCATATTATGCTAGACAGAAGATTTCTCAGTAACTTCTTTGTGTTGTGTGTATGCAACTCACAGAGTTCAACCTTCCTTTAGACAGAGCAGATTTGAAACACTCTTTTTGTGGAATTTGCAAGTGGAGATTTCAAGCGCTTCGATGCCAATGGTAGAAAAGGAAATATCTTCGTATAAAAACAAGACAAACTCGTTCCCAGACACTGCGTACTGATGTGTGTGTTTAACTCACAGAGTTTAACCTTTCTGTTCATACAGCATTCTGGAAACCCTCTGTTTGTAAAGTCTGCAAGTGGATATTTGGACCTCTTAGATGCCTTCTTTGGAAACGGGATTTCTTCATATAATGCTAGAGGGAAGAATTCTTAGTAACTTCTTTGTGTTGTGTGTATTCAACTGACAGAGTTGAACCTTCCTTTAGACAGAGCAGATTTGAAAGTCTCTTTCTGTGGAATTTGCAAGTGGAGATTTCAAGCGCTTTGAGGCCAAAAGCAGAAAAGGAAATATTTTCCTATAGAAACTCGACAGAATCTTTCTCAGAAACTGCTCTGGGATGTGTGCGTTCAACTCACAGAGTTTAACTTTTCTTTTCATTCAGCAGTTTGGAAACACTCTGTTTGGAAAGTCTGCACGTGGATATTTTGACCTCTTTGAGGCCTTCGTTGGAAACGGGTTTTTTTCATGTAAGGCTAGACAGAAGAAATCTCAGTAACTTCCTTGTGTTGTGTGTATTCAACTGACAGAGTTGAACCTTCCTTTAGACAGAGCAGATTCGAAACACTCTTTTTCTGCAATTTGCAAGTGGAGACTTCAAGCGCTTTGAGGCCAAAGGCAGAAAAGGAAATATCTTCGTATAAAAACACGACAGAATCATTCTCAGAAACTGCTCTGTGATGTGTGCGTTCAACTCACAGAGTTTAACTTTTCTTTTCATTCAGCAGTTTGGAAACACTCTGTTTGTAAAGTCTGCAAGTGGATATCTTGGCCTCTTAGAGGCCTTCGTTGGAAACGGGTTTTATCATGTAAGGTTAGACAGAGGAATTCCCAGTAACTTCCTTGTGTTGTGTGCATTCAACTCACAGAGTTGAATGATTCTTTACACAGAGCAGATTTGAGACACTCTTTTGGTGGAATTTGTAAGTGGAGAATTCAGCCGCTTTGAGGTCAACGGTAGAAAAGGAAATATCTTCGTATAAAAACTAGACAGAATGATTCTCAGAAACTGTTTTGTGATGTGTGCGTTCAACTCACAGAGTTTAACCTTTCTTTTCAAAGAGCAGTTAGGAAACACTCTGTTTGTAAAGTCTGCAAGTGGATATTCAGACCTCTTTGAGGCCTTCGTTGGAAACGGGATTTCTTCATATTATGCTAGACAGATGAATTCTCAGTAACTTCCTTGTGTTGTGTGTATTCAAGTCACAGAGTTGAACGATCCTTTACACAGAGCAGATTTGAAACACTGTTTTTCTGGAATTTGCAAGTGGAGATTTCAGCCGCTTTGAGGTCAATGGTAGAAAAGGAAATATCTTCGTATAAAAACTAGACAGAATGATTCTCAGAAACTCCTTTGTGATGTGTGCGTTCAACTCACAGAGTTTAACCTTTCTTTTCACAGAGCAGTTAGGAAACACTCTGTTTGTGAAGCCTGCCAGTGGATATTCGGACCTCTTTGAGGCCTTCGTTGGAAACGGGATTTCTTCATATTATGCTAGACAGAAGATTTCTCAGTAACTTCTTTGTGTTGTGTGTATGCAACTCACAGAGTTCAACCTTCCTTTAGACAGAGCAGATTTGAAACACTCTTTTTGTGGAATTTGCAAGTGGAGATTTCAAGCGCTTCGATGCCAATGGTAGAAAAGGAAATATCTTCGTATAAAAACAAGACAAACTCGTTCCCAGACACTGCGTAGTGATGTGTGTGTTTAACTCACAGAGTTTAACCTTTCTTTTCATACAGCATTCTGGAAACCCTCTGTTTGTAAAGTCTGCAAGTGGATATTTGGACCTCTTAGATGCCTTCGTTGGAAACGGGATTTCCTCATATAATGCTAGAGGGAAGAATTCTTAGTAACTTCTTTGTGTTGTGTGTATTCAACTGACAGAGTTGAACCTTCCTTTAGACAGAGCAGATTTGAAAGTCTCTTTTTGTGGAATTTGCAAGTGGAGATTTCAAGCGCTTTGAGGCCAAAAGCAGAAAAGGAAATATTTTCCTATAAAAACTAGACAGAATCTTTCTCAGAAACTGCTCTGGGTTGTGTGCGTTCAACTCACAGAGTTTAACTTTTCTTTTCATTCAGCAGTTTGGAAACACTCTGTTTGGAAAGTCTGCACGTGGATATTTTGACCTCTTTGAGGCCTTCGTTGGAAACGGGTTTTTTTCATGTAAGGCTAGACAGAAGAAATCTCAGTAACTTCCTTGTGTTGTGTGTATTCAACTGACAGAGTTGAACCTTCCTTTAGACAGAGCAGATTCGAAACACTCTTTTTCTGCAATTTGCAAGTGGAGACTTCAAGCGCTTTGAGGCCAAAGGCAGAAAAGGAAATATCTTCGTATAAAAACCCGACAGAATCATTCTCAGAAACTGCTCTGTGATGTGTGCGTTCAACTCACAGAGTTTAACTTTTCTTTTCATTCAGCAGTTTGGAAACACTCTGTTTGTAAAGTCTGCAAGTGGATATCTTGGCCTCTTAGAGGCCTTCGTTGGAAACGGGTTTTTTCATGTAAGGTTAGACAGAGGAATTCCCAGTAACTTCCTTGTGTTGTGTGCATTCAACTCACAGAGTTGAATGATTCTTTACACAGAGCAGATTTGAGACACTCTTTTGGTGGAATTTGTAAGTGGAGAATTCAGCCGCTTTGAGGTCAACGGTAGAAAAGGAAATATCTTCGTATAAAAACTAGACAGAATGATTCTCAGAAACTGTTTTGTGATGTGTGCGTTCAACTCACAGAGTTTAACCTTTCTTTTCAAAGAGCAGTTAGGAAACACTCTGTTTGTAAAGTCTGCAAGTGGATATTCAGACCTCTTTGAGGCCTTCGTTGGAAACGGGATTTCTTCATATTATGCTAGACAGATGAATTCTCAGTAACTTCCTAGTGTTGTGTGTATTCAACTCACAGAGTTGAACGATCCTTTACACAGAGCAGATTTGAAACACTGTTTTTCTGGAATTTGCAAGTGGAGATTTCAGCCGCTTTGAGGTCAATGGTAGAAAAAGAAATATCTTCGTATAAAAACTAGACAGAATGATTCTCAGAAACTCCTTTGTGATGTGTGCGTTCAACTCACAGAGTTTAACCTTTCTTTTCACAGAGCAGTTAGGAAACACTCTGTTTGTGAAGCCTGCCAGTGGATATTCGGACCTCTTTGAGGCCTTCGTTGGAAACGGGATTTCTTCATATTATGCTAGACAGAAGATTTCTCAGTAACTTCTTTGTGTTGTGTGTATGCAACTCACAGAGTTCAACCTTCCTTTAGACAGAGCAGATTTGAAACACTCTTTTTGTGGAATTTGCAAGTGGAGATTTCAAGCGCTTCGATGCCAATGGTAGAAAAGGAAATATCTTCGTATAAAAACAAGACAAACTCGTTCCCAGACACTGCGTAGTGATGTGTGTGTTTAACTCACAGAGTTTAACCTTTCTTTTCATACAGCATTCTGGAAACCCTGTGTTTGTAAAGTCTGCAAGTGGATATTTGGACCTCTTAGATGCCTTCGTTGGAAACGGGATTTCTTCATATAATGCTAGAGGGAAGAATTCTTAGTAACTTCTTTGTGTTGTGTGTATTCAACTGACAGAGTTGAACCTTCCTTTAGACAGAGCAGATTTGAAAGTCTCTTTTTGTGGAATTTGCAAGTGGAGATTTCAAGCGCTTTGAGGCCAAAAGCAGAAAAGGAAATATTTTCCTATAAAAACTAGACAGAATCTTTCTCAGAAACTGCTCTGGGATGTGTGCGTTCAACTCACAGAGTTTAACTTTTCTTTTCATTCAGCAGTTTGGAAACACTCTGTTTGGAAAGTCTGCACGTGGATATTTTGACATCTTTGAGGCCTTCGTTGGAAACGGGTTTTTTTCATGTAAGGCTAGACAGAAGAAATCTCAGTAACTTCCTTGTGTTGTGTGTATTCAACTGACAGAGTTGAACCTTCCTTTAGACAGAGCAGATTCGAAACACTCTTTTTCTGCAATTTGCAAGTGGAGACTTCAAGCGCTTTGAGGCCAAAGGCAGAAAAGGAAATATCTTCGTATAAAAACCCGACAGAATCATTCTCAGAAACTGCTCTGTGATGTGTGCGTTCAACTCACAGAGTTTAACTTTTCTTTTCATTCAGCAGTTTGGAAACACTCTGTTTGTAAAGTCTGCAAGTGGATATCTTGGCCTCTTAGAGGCCTTCGTTGGAAACGGGTTTTTTCATGTAAGGATAGACAGAGGAATTCCCAGTAACTTCCTTGTGTTGTGTGCATTCAACTCACAGAGTTGAATGATTCTTTACACAGAGCAGATTTGAGACACTCTTTTGGTGGAATTTGTAAGTGGAGAATTCAGCCGCTTTGAGGTCAACGGTAGAAAAGGAAATATCTTCGTATAAAAACTAGACAGAATGATTCTCAGAAACTGTTTTGTGATGTGTGCGTTCAACTCACAGAGTTTAACCTTTCTTTTCAAAGAGCAGTTAGGAAACACTCTGTAAAGTCTGCAAGTGGATATTCAGACCTCTTTGAGGCCTTCGTTGGAAACGGGATTTCTTCATATAATGCTAGAGGGAAGAATTCTTAGTAACTTCTTTGTGTTGTGTGTATTCAACTGACAGAGTTGAACCTTCCTTTAGACAGAGCAGATTTGAAAGTCTCTTTTTGTGGAATTTGCAAGTGGAGATTTCAAGCGCTTTGAGGCCAAAAGCAGAAAAGGAAATATTTTCCTATAAAAACTAGAGAGAATCTTTCTCAGAAACTGCTCTGGGATGTGTGCGTTCAACTCACAGAGTTTAACTTTTCTTTTCATTCAGCAGTTTGGAAACACTCTGTTTGGAAAGTCTGCACGTGGATATTTTGACCTCTTTGAGGCCTTCGTTGGAAACGGGTTTTTTTCATGTAAGGCTAGACAGAAGAAATCTCAGTAACTTCCTTGTGTTGTGTGTATTCAACTGACAGAGTTGAACCTTCCTTTAGACAGAGCAGATTCGAAACACTCTTTTTCTGCAATTTGCAAGTGGAGACTTCAAGCGCTTTGAGGCCAAAGGCAGAAAAGGAAATATCTTCGTATAAAAACCCGACAGAATCACTCTCAGAAACTGCTCTGTGATGTGTGCGTTCAACTCACAGAGTTTAACTTTTCTTTTCATTCAGCAGTTTGGAAACACTCTGTTTGTAAAGTCTGCAAGTGGATATCTTGGCCTCTTAGAGGCCTTCGTTGGAAACGGGTTTTTTCATGTAAGGATAGACAGAGGAATTCCCAGTAACTTCCTTGTGTTGTGTGCATTCAACTCACAGAGTTGAATGATTCTTTACACAGAGCAGATTTGAGACACTCTTTTGGTGGAATTTGTAAGTGGAGAATTCAGCCGCTTTGAGGTCAACGGTAGAAAAGGAAATATCTTCGTATAAAAACTAGACAGAATGATTCTCAGAAACTGTTTTGTGATGTGTGCGTTCAACTCACAGAGTTTAACCTTTCTTTTCAAAGAGCAGTTAGGAAACACTCTGTTTGTAAAGTCTGCAAGTGGATATTCAGACCTCTTTGAGGCCTTCGTTGGAAACGGGATTTCTTCATATTATGCTAGACAGATGAATTCTCAGTAACTTCCTTGTGTTGTGTGTATTCAACTCACAGAGTTGAACGATCCTTTACACAGAGCAGATTTGAAACACTGTTTTTCTGGAATTTGCAAGTGGAGATTTCAGCCGCTTTGAGGTCAATGGTAGAAAAGGAAATATCTTCTGTATAAAAACTAGACAGAATGATTCTCAGAAACTCCTTTGTGATGTGTGCGTTCAACTCACAGAGTTTAACCTTTCTTTTCACAGAGCAGTTAGGAAACACTCTGTTTGTGAAGCCTGCCAGTGGATATTCGGACCTCTTTCAGGCCTTCGTTGGAAACGGGATTTCTTCATATTATGCTAGACAGAAGATTTCTCAGTAACTTCTTTGTGTTGTGTGTATGCAACTCACAGAGTTCAACCTTCCTTTAGACAGAGCAGATTTGAAACACTCTTTTTGTGGAATTTGCAAGTGGAGATTTCAAGCGCTTCGATGCCAATGGTAGAAAAGGAAATATCTTCGTATAAAAACAAGACAAACTCGTTCCCAGACACTGCGTAGTGATGTGTGTGTTTAACTCACAGAGTTTCACCTTTCTTTTCATACAGCATTCTGGAAACCCTCTGTTTGTAAAGTCTGCAAGTGGATATTTGGACCTCTTAGATGCCTTCGTTGCAAACGGGATTTCTTCATATAATGCTAGAGGGAAGAAATCTTAGTAACTTCTTTGTGTTGTGTGTATTCAACTGACAGAGTTGAACCTTCCTTTAGACAGAGCAGATTTGAAAGTCTCTTTTTGTGGAATTTGCAAGTGGAGATTTCAAGCGCTTTGAGGCCAAAAGCAGAAAAGGAAATATTTTCCTATAAAAACTCGACAGAATCTTTCTCAGAAACTGCTCTGGGATGTGTGCGTTCAACTCACAGAGTTTAACTTTTCTTTTCATTCAGCAGTTTGGAAACACTCTGTTTGGAAAGTCTGCACGTGGATATTTTGACCTCTTTGAGGCCTTCGTTGGAAACGGGTTTTTTTCATGTAAGGCTAGACAGAAGAAATCTCAGTAACTTCCTTGTGTTGTGTGTATTCAACTGACAGAGTTGAACCTTCCTTTAGACAGAGCAGATTCGAAACACTCTTTTTCTGCAATTTGCAAGTGGAGACTTCAAGCGCTTTGAGGCCAAAGGCAGAAAAGGAAATATCTTCGTATAAAAACCCGACAGAATCATTCTCAGAAACTGCTCTGTGATGTGTGCGTTCAACTCACAGAGTTTAACTTTTCTTTTCATTCAGCAGTTTGGAAACACTCTGTTTGTAAAGTCTGCAAGTGGATATCTTGGCCTCTTAGAGGCCTTCGTTGGAAACGGGTTTTTTCATTTAAGGTTAGACAGAGGAATTCCCAGTAACTTCCTTGTGTTGTGTGCATTCAACTCACAGAGTTGAATGATTCTTTACACAGAGCAGATTTGAGACACTCTTTTGGTGGAATTTGTAAGTGGAGAATTCAGCCGCTTTGAGGTCAACGGTAGAAAAGGAAATATCTTCGTATAAAAACTAGACAGAATGATTCTCAGAAACTGTTTTGTGATGTGTGCGTTCAACTCACAGAGTTTAACCTTTCTTTTCAAAGAGCAGTTAGGAAACACTCTGTTTGTAAAGTCTGCAAGTGGATATTCAGACCTCTTTGAGGCCTTCGTTGGAAACGGGATTTCTTCATATTATGCTAGACAGTTGAATTCTCAGTAACTTCCTTGTGTTGTGTGTATTCAACTCACAGAGTAAAACGATCCTTTACACAGAGCAGATTTGAAACACTGTTTTTCTGGAATTTGCAAGTGGAGATTTCAGCCGCTTTGAGGTCAATGGTAGAAAAGGAAATATCTTCGTATAAAAACTAGACAGAATGATTCTCAGAAACTCCTTTGTGATGTGTGCGTTCAACTCACAGAGTTTAACCTTTCTTTTCACAGAGCAGTTAGGAAACACTCTGTTTGTGAAGCCTGCCAGTGGATATTCGGACCTCTTTGAGGCCTTCGATGGAAACGGGATTTCTTCATATTATGCTAGACAGAAGATTTCTCAGTAACTTCTTTGTGTTGTGTGTATGCAACTCACAGAGTTCAACCTTCCTTTAGACAGAGCAGATTTGAAACACTCTTTTTGTGGAATTTGCAAGTGGAGATTTCAAGCGCTTCGATGCCAATGGTAGAAAAGGAAATATCTTCGTATAAAAACAAGACAAACTCGTTCCCAGACACTGCGTAGTGATGTGTGTGTTTAACTCACAGAGTTTAACCTTTCTTTTCATACAGCATTCTGGAAACCCTGTGTTTGTAAAGTCTGCAAGTGGATATTTGGACCTCTTAGATGCCTTCGTTGGAAACGGGATTTCTTCATATAATGCTAGAGGGAAGAATTCTTAGTAACTTCTTTGTGTTGTGTGTATTCAACTGACAGAGTTGAACCTTCCTTTAGACAGAGCAGATTTGAAAGTCTCTTTTTGTGGAATTTGCAAGTGGAGATTTCAAGCGCTTTGAGGCCAAAAGCAGAAAAGGAAATATTTTCCTATAAAAACTCGACAGAATATCATTCTCAGAAACTGCTCTGTGATGTGTGCGTTCAACTCACAGAGTTTAACTTTTCTTTTCATTCAGCAGTTTGGAAACACTCTGTTTGTAAAGTCTGCCGTGGATATTTTGACCTCTTTGAGGCCTTCGTTGGAAACGGGTTTTTTTCATGTAAGGCTAGACAGAGGAAATCTCAGTAATTTCCTTGTGTTGTGTGTATTCAACTGACAAGGTTGAACCTTCCTTTAGACAGAGCAGATTCGAAACACTCTTTTTCTGCAATTTGCAAGTGGAGACTTCAAGCGCTTTGAGGCCAAAGGCAGAAAAGGAAATATCTTCGTATAAAAACCCGACAGAATCATTCTCAGAAACTGCTCTGTGATGTGTGCGTTCAACTCATAGAGTTTAACTTTTCTTTTCATTCAGCAGTTTGGAAACACTCTGTTTGTAAAGTCTGCAAGTGGATATATTGGCCTCTTAGAGGCCTTCGTTGGAAACGGGTTTTTTTCATGTAAGGTTAGACAGAGGAATTCCCAGTAACTTCCTTGTGTTGTGTGCATTCAACTCACAGAGTTGAATGATTCTTTACACAGAGCAGATTTGAGACACTCTTTTGGTGGAATTTGTAAGTGGAGAATTCAGCCGCTTTGAGGTCAACGGTAGAAAAGGAAATATCTTCGTATAAAAACTAGACAGAATGATTCTCAGAAACTGTTTTGTGATGTGTGCGTTCAACTCACAGAGTTTAACCTTTCTTTTCAAAGAGCAGTTAGGAAACACTCTGTTTGTAAAGTCTACGAGTGCATATTCAGACCTCTTTGAGGCCTTCGTTGGAAACGGGATTTCTTCATATTATGCTAGACAGATGAATTCTCAGTAACTTCCTTGTGTTGTGTGTATTCAACTCACAGAGTTGAACGATCCTTTACACAGAGCAGATTTGAAACACTGTTTTTCTGGAATTTGCAAGTGGAGATTTCAGCCGCTTTGAGGTCAATGGTAGAAAAGGAAATATCTTCGTATAAAAACTAGACAGAATGATTCTCAGAAACTCCTTTGTGATGTGTGCGTTCAACTCACAGTAGTTTAACCTTTCTTTTCACAGAGCAGTTAGGAAACACTCTGTTTGTGAAGCCTGCCAGTGGATATTCGGACCTCTTTGAGGCCTTCGTTGGAAACGGGATTTCTTCATATTATGCTAGACAGAAGATTTCTCAGTAACTTCTTTGTGTTGTGTGTATGCAACTCACAGAGTTCAACCTTCCTTTAGACAGAGCAGATTTGAAACACTCTTTTTGTGGAATTTGCAAGTGGAGATTTCAAGCGCTTCGATGCCAATGGTAGAAAAGGAAATATCTTCGTATAAAAACAAGACAAACTCGTTCCCAGACACTGCGTAGTGATGTGTGTGTTTAACTCACAGAGTTTAACCTTTCTTTTCATACAGCATTCTGGAAACCCTCTGTTTGTAAAGTCTGCAAGTGGATATTTGGACCTCTTAGATGCCTTCGTTGGAAACGGGATTTCTTCATATAATGCTAGAGGGAAGAATTCTTAGTAACTTCTTTGTGTTGTGTGTATTCAACTGACAGAGTTGAACCTTCCTTTAGACAGAGCAGATTTGAAAGTCTCTTTTTGTGGAATTTGCAAGTGGAGATTTCAAGCGCTTTGAGGCCAAAAGCAGAAAAGGAAATATTTTCGTATAAAAACTCGACAGAATCTTTCTCAGAAACTGCTCTGGGATGTGTGCGTTCAACTCACAGAGTTTAACTTTTCTTTTCATTCAGCAGTTTGGAAACACTCTGTTTGGAAAGTCTGCAGGTGGATATTTTGACCTCTTTGAGGCCTTCGTTGGAAACGGGTTTTTTTCATGTAAGGCTAGACAGAAGAAATCTCAGTAACTTCCTTGTGTTGTGTGTATTCAACTGACAGAGTTGAACCTTCCTTTAGACAGAGCAGATTCGAAACACTCTTTTTCTGCAATTTGCAAGTGGAGACTTCAAGCGCTTTGAGGCCAAAGGCAGAAAAGGAAATATCTTCGTATAAAAACCCGACAGAATCATTCTCAGAAACTGCTCTGTGATGTGTGCGTTCAACTCACAGAGTTTAACTTTTCTTTTCATTCAGCAGTTTGGAAACACTCTGTTTGTAAAGTCTGCAAGTGGATATCTTGGCCTCTTAGAGGCCTTCGTTGGAAAAGGGTTTTTTCATGTAAGGTTAGACAGAGGAATTCCCAGTAACTTCCTTGTGTTGTGTGCATTCAACTCACAGAGTTGAATGATTCTTTACACAGAGCAGATTTGAGACACTCTTTTGGTGGAAATTGTTAGTGGAGAATTCAGCCGCTTTGAGGTCAACGGTAGAAAAGGAAATATCTTCGTATAAAAACTAGACAGAATGATTCTCAGAAACTGTTTTGTGATGTGTGCGTTCAACTCACAGAGTTTAACCTTTCTTTTCAAAGAGCAGTTAGGAAACACTCTGTTTGTAAAGTCTGCAAGTGGATATTCAGACCTCTTTGAGGCCTTCGTTGGAAACGGGATTTCTTCATATTATGCTAGACAGATGAATTCTCAGTAACTTCCTTGTGTTGTGTGTATTCAACTCACAGAGTTGAACGATCCTTTACACAGAGCAGATTTGAAACACTGTTTTTCTGGAATTTGCAAGTGGAGATTTCAGCCGCTTTGAGGTCAATGGTAGAAAAAGAAATATCTTCGTATAAAAACTAGACAGAATGATTCTCAGAAACTCCTTTGTGATGTGTGCGTTCAACTCACAGAGTTTAACCTTTCTTTTCACAGAGCAGTTAGGAAACACTCTGTTTGTGAAGCCTGCCAGTGGATATTCGGACCTCTTTGAGGCCTTCGTTGGAAACGGGATTTCTTCATATTATGCTAGACAGAAGATTTCTCAGTAACTTCTTTGGGTTGTGTGTATGCAACTCACAGAGTTCAACCTTCCTTTAGACAGAGCAGATTTGAAACACTCTTTTTGTGGAATTTGCAAGTGGAGATTTCAAGCGCTTCGATGCCAATGGTAGAAAAGGAAATATCTTCGTATAAAAACAAGACAAACTCGTTCCCAGACACTGCGTAGTGATGTGTGTGTTTAACTCACAGAGTTTAACCTTTCTTTTCATACAGCATTCTGGAAACCCTGTGTTTGTAAAGTCTGCAAGTGGATATTTGGACCTCTTAGATGCCTTCTTTGGAAATGGGATTTCTTCATATAATGCTAGAGGGAAGAATTCTTAGTAACTTCTTTGTGTTGTGTGTATTCAACTGACAGAGTTGAACCTTCCTTTAGACAGAGCAGATTTGAAAGTCTCTTTTTGTGGAATTTGCAAGTGGAGATTTCAAGCGCTTTGAGGCCAAAAGCAGAAAAGGAAATATTTTCCTATAAAAACTCGACAGAATCTTTCTCAGAAACTGCTCTGGGATGTGTGCGTTCAACTCACAGAGTTTAACTTTTCTTTTCATTCAGCAGTTTGGAAACACTCTGTTTGGAAAGTCTGCACGTGGATATTTTGACCTCTTTGAGGCCTTCGTTGGAAACGGGTTTTTTTCATGTAAGGCTAGACAGAAGAAATCTCAGTAACTTCCTTGTGTTGTGTGTATTCAACTGACAGAGTTGAACCTTCCTTTAGACAGAGCAGATTCGAAACACTCTTTTTCTGCAATTTGCAAGTGGAGACTTCAAGCGCTTTGAGGCCAAAGGCAGAAAAGGAAATATCTTCGTATAAAAACCCGACAGAATCATTCTCAGAAACTGCTCTGTGATGTGTGCGTTCAACTCACAGAGTTTAACTTTTCTTTTCATTCAGCAGTTTGGAAACACTCTGTTTGTAAAGTCTGCAAGTGGATATCTTGGCCTCTTAGAGGCCTTCGTTGGAAACGGGTTTTTTCATGTAAGGATAGACAGAGGAATTCCCAGTAACTTCCTTGTGTTGTGTGCATTCAACTCACAGAGTTGAATGATTCTTTACACAGAGTAGATTTGAGACACTCTTTTGGTGGAATTTGTAAGTGGAGAATTCAGCCGCTTTGAGGTCAACGGTAGAAAAGGAAATATCTTCGTATAAAAACTAGACAGAATGATTCTCAGAAACTGTTTTGTGATGTGTGCGTTCAACTCACAGAGTTTAACCTTTCTTTTCAAAGAGCAGTTAGGAAACACTGTTTGTAAAGTCTGCAAGTGGATATTCAGACCTCTTTGAGGCCTTCGTTGGAAACGGGATTTCTTCATATTATGCTAGACAGATGAATTCTCAGTAACTTCCTTGTGTTGTGTGTATTCAACTCACAGAGTTGAACGATCCTTTACACAGAGCAGATTTGAAACACTGTTTTTCTGGAATTTGCAAGTGGAGATTTCAGCCGCTTTGAGGTCAATGGTAGAAAAGGAAATATCTTCGTATAAAAACTAGACAGAATGATTCTCAGAAACTCCTTTGTGATGTGTGCGTTCAACTCACAGAGTTTAACCTTTCTTTTCACAGAGCAGTTAGGAAACACTCTGTTTGTGAAGCCTGCCAGTGGATATTCGGACCTCTTTGAGGCCTTCGTTGGAAACGGGATTTCTTCATATTATGCTAGACAGAAGATTTCTCAGTAACTTCTTTGTGTTGTGTGTATGCAACTCACAGAGTTCAACCTTCCTTTAGACAGAGCAGATTTGAAACACTCTTTTTGTGGAATTTGCAAGTGGAGATTTCAAGCGCTTCGATGCCAATGGTAGAAAAGGAAATATCTTCGTATAAAAACAAGACAAACTCGTTCCCAGACACTGCGTAGTGATGTGTGTGTTTAACTCACAGAGTTTCACCTTTCTTTTCATACAGCATTCTGGAAACCCTCTGTTTGTAAAGTCTGCAAGTGGATATTTGGACCTCTTAGATGCCTTCGTTGGAAACGGGATTTCTTCATATAATGCTAGAGGGAAGAATTCTTAATAACTTCTTTGTGTTGTGTGTATTCAACTGACAGAGTTGAACCTTCCTTTAGACAGAGCAGATTTGAAAGTCTCTTTTTGTGGAATTTGCAAGTGGAGATTTCAAGCGCTTTGAGGCCAAAAGCAGAAAAGGAAATATTTTCCTATAAAAACTCGACAGAATCTTTCTCAGAAACTGCTCTGGGATGTGTGCGTTCAACTCACAGAGTTTAACTTTTCTTTTCATTCAGCAGTTTGGAAACACTCTGTTTGGAAAGTCTGCACGTGGATATTTTGACCTCTTTGAGGCCTTCGTTGGAAACGGGTTTTTTTCATGTAAGGCTAGACAGAAGAAATCTCAGTAACTTCCTTGTGTTGTGTGTATTCAACTGACAGAGTTGAACCTTCCTTTAGACAGAGCAGATTCGAAACACTCTTTTTCTGCAATTTGCAAGTGGAGACGTCAAGCGCTTTGAGGCCAAAGGCAGAAAAGGAAATATCTTCGTATAAAAACCCGACAGAATCATTCTCAGAAACTGCTCTGTGATGTGTGCGTTCAACTCACAGAGTTTAACGTTTCTTTTCATTCAGCAGTTTGGAAACACTCTGTTTGTAAAGTCTGCAAGTGGATATCTTGGCCTCTTAGAGGCCTTCGTTGGAAGCGGGTTTTTTCATGTAAGGATAGACAGAGGAATTCCCAGTAACTTCCTTGTGTTGTGTGCATTCAACTCACAGAGTTGAATGATTCTTTACACAGAGCAGATTTGAGACACTCTTTTGGTGGAATTTGTAAGTGGAGAATTCAGCCGCTTTGAGGTCAACGGTAGAAAAGGAAATATCTTCGTATAAAAACTAGACAGAATGATTCTCAGAAAGTGTTTTGTGATGTGTGCGTTCAACTCACAGAGTTTAACCTTTCTTTTCAAAGAGCAGTTAGGAAACACTCTGTTTGTAAAGTCTGCAAGTGGATATTCAGACCTCTTTGAGGCCTTCGTTGGAAACGGGATTTCTTCATATTATGCTAGACAGATGAATTCTCAGTAACTTCCTTGTGTTGTGTGTATTCAACTCACAGAGTTAAACGATCCTTTACACAGAGCAGATTTGAAACACTGTTTTTGTGGAATTTGCAAGTGGAGATTTCAGCCGCTTTGAGGTCAATGGTAGAAAAGGAAATATCTTCGTATAAAAACTAGACAGAATGATTCTCAGAAACTCCTTTGTGATGTGTGCGTTCAACTCACAGAGTTTAACCTTTCTTTTCACAGAGCAGTTAGGAAACACTCTGTTTGTGAAGCCTGCCAGTGGATATTCGGACCTTTTTGAGGCCTTCGTTGGAAACGGGATTTCTTCATATTATGCTAGACAGAAGATTTCTCAGTAACTTCTTTGTGTTGTGTGTATGCAACTCACAGAGTTCAACCTTCCTTTAGACAGAGCAGATTTGAAACACTCTTTTTGTGGAATTTGCAAGTGGAGATTTCAAGCGCTTCGATGCCAATGGTAGAAAAGGAAATATCTTCGTATAAAAACAAGACAAACTCGTTCCCAGACACTGCGTAGTGATGTGTGTGTTTAACTCACAGAGTTTCACCTTTCTTTTCATACAGCATTCTGGAAACCCTCTGTTTGTAAAGTCTGCAAGTGGATATTTGGACCTCTTAGATGCCTTCGTTGGAAACGGGATTTCTTCATATAATGCTAGAGGGAAGAATTCTTAGTAACTTCTTTGTGTTGTGTGTATTCAACTGACAGAGTTGAACCTTCCTTTAGACAGAGCAGATTTGAAAGTCTCTTTTTGTGGAATTTGCAAGTGGAGATTTCAAGCGCTTTGAGGCCAAAAGCAGAAAAGGAAGTATTTTCCTATAAAAACTAGACAGAATCTTTCTCAGAAACTGCTGTGGGATGTGTGCGTTCAACTCACAGAGTTTAACTTTTCTTTTCATTCAGCAGTTTGGAAACACTCTGTTTGGAAAGTCTGCACGTGGATATTTTGACCTCTTTGAGGCCTTCGTTGGAAACGGGTTTTTTTCATGTAAGGCTAGACAGAAGAAATCTCAGTAACTTCCTTGTGTTGTGTGTATTCAACTGACAGAGTTGAACCTTCCTTTAGACAGAGCAGATTCGAAACACTCTTTTTCTGCAATTTGCAAGTGGAGACTTCAAGCGCTTTGAGGCCAAAGGCAGAAAAGGAAATATCTTCGTATAAAAACCCGACAGAATCTTTCTCAGAAACTGCTCTGGGATGTGTGCGTTCAACTCACAGAGTTTAACTTTTCTTTTCATTCAGCAGTTTGGAAACACTCTGTTTGTAAAGTCTGCAAGTGGATATCTTGGCCTCTTAGAGGCCTTCGTTGGAAACGGGTTTTTTCATGTAAGGTTAGACAGAGGAATTCCCAGTAACTTCCTTGTGTTGTGTGCATTCAACTCACAGAGTTGAATGATTCTTTACACAGAGCAGATTTGAGACACTCTTTTGGTGGAATTTGTAAGTGGAGAATTCAGCCGCTTTGAGGTCAATGGTAGAAAAGGAAATATCTTCGTATAAAAAATAGACAGAATGATTCTCAGAAACTGCTCTGTGATGTGTGCGTTCAACTCACAAAGTTTAACCTTTCTTTTCAAAGAGCAGTTAGGAAACACTCTGTTTGTAATGTCTGCAAGTGGATATTCAGACCTCTCTGAGGCCTTCGTTGGAAACGGGATTTCTTCATATTATGCTAGACAGAAGAATTCTCAGTAACTTCCTTGTGTTGTGTGTATTCAACTCACAGAGTTGAACGATCCTTTACACAGAGCAGATTTGAAACACTCTTTTTCTGGAATTTGCAAGTGGAGATTTCAGCCGCTTTGAGGTCAATGGTAGAAAAGGAAATATCTTCGTATAAAAACTAGACAGAATGATTCTCAGAAACTCCTTTGTGATGTGTGCGTTCAACTCACAGTAGTTTAACCTTTCTTTTCACAGAGCAGTTAGGAAACACTCTGTTTGTGAAGCCTGCCAGTGGATATTCGGACCTCTTTGAGGCCTTCGTTGGAAACGGGATTTCTTCATATTATGCTAGACAGAAGATTTCTCAGTAACTTCTTTGTGTTGTGTGTATGCAACTCACAGAGTTCAACCTTCCTTTAGACAGAGCAGATTTGAAACACTCTTTTTGTGGAATTTGCAAGTGGAGATTTCAAGCGCTTCGATGCCAATGGTAGAAAAGGAAATATCTTCGTATAAAAACAAGACAAACTCATTCCCAGACACTGCGTAGTGATGTGTGTGTTTAACTCACAGAGTTTAACCTTTCTTTTCATACAGCATTCTGGAAACCCTGTGTTTGTAAAGTCTGCAAGTGGATATTTGGACCTCTTAGATGCCTTCGTTGGAAACGGGATTTCTTCATATAATGCTAGAGGGAAGAATTCTTAGTAACTTCTTTGTGTTGTGTGTATTCAACTGACAGAGTTGAACCTTCCTTTAGACAGAGCAGATTTGAAAGTCTCTTTTTGTGGAATTTGCAAGTGGAGATTTCAAGCGCTTTGAGGCCAAAAGCAGAAAAGGAAATATTTTCCTATAAAAACTAGACAGAATCATTCTCAGAAACTGCTCTGTGATGTGTGCGTTCAACTCACAGAGTTTAACTTTTCTTTTCATTCAGCAGTTTGGAAACACTGTTTGGAAAGTCTGCACGTGGATATTTTGACCTCTTTGAGGCCTTCGTTGGAAACGGGTTTTTTTCATGTAAGGCTAGACAGAAGAAATCTCAGTAACTTCCTTGTGTTGTGTGTATTCAACTGACAGAGTTGAACCTTCCTTTAGACAGAGCAGATTCGAAACACTCTTTTTCTGCAATTTGCAAGTGGAGACTTCAAGCGCTTTGAGGCCAAAGGCAGAAAAGGAAATATCTTCGTATAAAAACCCGACAGAATCATTCTCAGAAACTGCTCTGTGATGTGTGCGTTCAACTCACAGAGTTTAACTTTTCTTCTCATTCAGCAGTTTGGAAACACTCTGTTTGTAAAGTCTGCAAGTGGATATCTTGGCCTCTTAGAGGCCTTCGTTGGAAACGGGTTTTTTCATGTAAGGATAGACAGAGGAATTCCCAGTAACTTCCTTGTGTTGTGTGCATTCAACTCACAGAGTTGAACGATTCTTTACACAGAGCAGATTTGAGACACTCTTTTGGTGGAATTTGTAAGTGGAGAATTCAGCCGCTTTGAGGTCAACGGTAGAAAAGGAAATATCTTCGTATTAAAACTAGACAGAATGATTCTCAGAAACTGTTTTGTGATGTGTGCGTTCAACTCACAGAGTTTAACCTTTCTTTTCAAAGAGCAGTTAGGAAACACTCTGTTTGTAAAGTCTGCAAGTGGATATTCAGACCTCTTTGAGGCCTTCGTTGGAAACGGGATTTCTTCATATTATGCTAGACAGATGAATTCTCAGTAACTTCCTTGTGTTGTGTGTATTCAACTCACAGAGTTGAACGATCCTTTACACAGAGCAGATTTGAAACACTGTTTTTCTTGAATTTGCAAGTGGAGATTTCAGCCGCTTTGAGGTCAATGGTAGAAAAAGAAATATCTTCGTATAAAAACTAGACAGAATGATTCTCAGAAACTCCTTTGTGATGTGTGCGTTCAACTCACAGAGTTTAACCTTTCTTTTCACAGAGCAGTTAGGAAACACTCTGTTTGTGAAGCCTGCCAGTGGATATTCGGACCTCTTTGAGGCCTTCGTTGGAAACGGGATTTCTTCATATTATGCTAGACAGAAGATTTCTCAGTAACTTCTTTGTGTTGTGTGTATGCAACTCACAGAGTTCAACCTTCCTTTAGACAGAGCAGATTTGAAACACTCTTTTTGTGGAATTTGCAAGTGGAGATTTCAAGCGCTTCGATGCCAATGGTAGAAAAGGAAATATCTTCGTATAAAAACAAGACAAACTCGTTCCCAGACACTGCGTAGTGATGTGTGTGTTTAACTCACAGAGTTTAACCTTTCTTTTCATACAGCATTCTGGAAACCCTCTGTTTGTAAAGTCTGCAAGTGGATATTTGGACCTCTTAGATGCCTTCGTTGGAAACGGGATTTCTTCATATAATGCTAGAGGGAAGAATTCTTAGTAACTTCTTTGTGTTGTGTGTATTCAACTGACAGAGTTGAACCTTCCTTTAGACAGAGCAGATTTGAAAGTCTCTTTTTGTGGAATTTGCAAGTGGAGATTTCAAGCGCTTTGAGGCCAAAAGCAGAAAAGGAAATATTTTCCTATAAAAACTAGACAGAATCTTTCTCAGAAACTGCTCTGGGATGTGTGCGTTCAACTCACAGAGTTTAACTTTTCTTTTCATTCAGCAGTTTGGAAACACTCTGTTTGGAAAGTCTGCACGTGGATATTTTGACCTCTTTGAGGCCTTCGTTGGAAACGGGTTTTTTTAATGTAACGCTAGACAGAAGAAATCTCAGTAACTTCCTTGTGTTGTGTGTATTCAACTGACAGAGTTGAACCTTCCTTTAGACAGAGCAGATTCGAAACACTCTTTTTCTGCAATTTGCAAGTGGAGACTTCAAGCGCTTTGAGGCCAAAGGCAGAAAAGGAAATATCTTCGTATAAAAACCCGACAGAATCACTCTCAGAAACTGCTCTGTGATGTGTGCGTTCAACTCACAGAGTTTAACTTTTCTTTTCATTCAGCAGTTTGGAAACACTCTGTTTGTAAAGTCTGCAAGTGGATATCTTGGCCTCTTAGAGGCCTTCGTTGGAAACGGGTTTTTTCATGTAAGGATAGACAGAGGAATTCCCAGTAACTTCCCTTGTGTTGTGTGCATTCAACTCACAGAGTTGAATGATTCTTTACACAGAGCAGATTTGAGACACTCTTTTGGTGGAATTTGTAAGTGGAGAATTCAGCCGCTTTGAGGTCAACGGTAGAAAAGGAAATATCTTCGTATAAAAACTAGACAGAATGATTCTCAGAAACTGTTTTGTGATGTGTGCGTTCAACTCACAGAGTTTAACCTTTCTTTTCAAAGAGCAGTTAGGAAACACTCTGTTTGTAAAGTCTGCAAGTGGATATTCAGACCTCTTTGAGGCCTTCGTTGGAAACGGGATTTCTTCATATTATGCTAGACAGATGAATTCTCAGTAACTTCCTTGTGTTGTGTGTATTCAACTCACAGAGTTGAACGATCCTTTACACAGAGCAGATTTGAAACACTGTTTTTCTGGAATTTGCAAGTGGAGATTTCAGCCGCTTTGAGGTCAATGGTAGAAAAGGAAATATCTTCGTATAAAAACTGGACAGAATGATTCTCAGAAACTCCTTTGTGATGTGTGCGTTCAACTCACAGAGTTTAACCTTTCTTTTCACAGAGCAGTTAGGAAACACTCTGTTTGTGAAGCCTGCCAGTGGATATTCGGACCTCTTTGAGGCCTTCGTTGGAAACGGGATTTCTTCATATTTTGCAAGACAGAAGAATTCTCAGTAACTTCTTTGTGTTGTGTGTATGCAACTCACAGAGTTCAACCTTCCTTTAGACAGAGCAGATTTGAAACACTCTTTTTGTGGAATTTGCAAGTGGAAATTTCAAGCGCATCGATGCCAATGGTAGAAAAGGAAATATCTTCGTATAAAAACAAGACAAACTCGTTCCCAGACACTGCGTAGTGATGTGTGTGTTTAACTCACAGAGTTTAACCTTTCTTTTCATACAGCATTCTGGAAACCCTGTGTTTGTAAAGTCTGCAAGTGGATATTTGGACCTCTTAGATGCCTTCGTTGGAAACGGGATTTCTTCATATAATGCTAGAGGGAAGAATTCTTAGTAACTTCTTTGTGTTGTGTGTATTCAACTGACAGAGTTGAACCTTCCTTTAGACAGAGCAGATTTGAAAGTCTCTTTTTGTGGAATTTGAAAGTGGAGATTTCAAGCGCTTTGAGGCCAAAAGCAGAAAAGGAAATATTTTCCTATAAAAACTCGACAGAATCATTCTCAGAAACTGCTCTGTGATGTGTGCGTTCAACTCACAGAGTTTAACTTTTCTTTTCATTCAGCAGTTTGGAAACACTGTTTGGAAAGTCTGCACGTGGATATTTTGACCTCTTTGAGGCCTTCGTTGGAAACGGGTTTTTTTCATGTAAGGCTAGACAGAAGAAATCTCAGTAACTTCCTTGTGTTGTGTGTATTCAACTGACAGATTTGAACCTTCCTTTAGACAGAGCAGATTCGAAACACTCTTTTTCTGCAATTTCCAAGTGGAGACTTCAAGCGCTTTGAGGCCAAAGGCAGAAAAGGAAATATCTTCGTATAAAAACCCGACAGAATCATTCTCAGAAACTGCTCTGTGATGTGTGCGTTCAACTCACAGAGTTTAACTTTTCTTTTCATTCAGCAGTTTGGAAACACTCTGTTTGTAAAGTCTGCAAGTGGATATCTTGGCCTCTTAGAGGCCTTCGTTGGAAACGGTTTTTTTCATGTAAGGTTAGACAGAGGAATTCCCAGTAACTTCCTTGTGTTGTGTGCATTCAACTCACAGAGTTGAATGATTCTTTACACAGAGCAGATTTGAGACACTCTTTTGGTGGAATTTGTAAGTGGAGAATTCAGCCGCTTTGAGGTCAACGGTAGAAAAGGAAATATCTTCGTATAAAAACTAGACAGAATGATTCTCAGAAACTGTTTTGTGATGTGTGCGTTCAACTCACAGAGTTTAACCTTTCTTTTCAAAGAGCAGTTAGGAAACACTCTGTTTGTAAAGTCTGCAAGCGGATATTCAGACCTCTTTGAGGCCTTCGTTGGAAACGGGATTTCTTCATATTATGCTAGACAGATGAATTCTCAGTAACTTCCTTGTGTTGTGTGTATTCAACTCACAGAGTTGAACGATCCTTTACACAGAGCAGATTTGAAACACTGTTTTTCTGGAATTTGCAAGTGGAGATTTCAGCCGCTTTGAGGTCAATGGTAGAAAAGGAAATATCTTCGTATAAAAACTAGACAGAATGATTCTCAGAAACTCCTTTGTGATGTGTGCGTTCAACTCACAGAGTTTAACCTTTCTTTTCACAGAGCAGTTAGGAAACACTCTGTTTGTGAAGCCTGCCAGTGGATAATCGGACCTCTTTGAGGCCTTCGTTGGAAACGGGATTTCTTCATATTATGCTAGACAGAAGATTTCTCAGTAACTTCTTTGGGTTGTGTGTATGCAACTCACAGAGTTCAACCTTCCTTTAGATAGAGCATATTTGAAACACTCTTTTTGTGGAATTTGCAAGTGGAGATTTCAAGCGCTTCGATGCCAATGGTAGAAAAGGAAATATCTTCGTATAAAAACAAGACAAACTCGTTCCCAGACACTGCGTAGTGATGTGTGTGTTTAACTCACAGAGTTTAACCTTTCTTTTCATACAGCATTCTGGAAACCCTGTGTTTGTAAAGTCTGCAAGTGGATATTTGGACCTCTTAGATGCCTTCGTTGGAAACGGGATTTCTTCATATAATGCTAGAGGGAAGAATTCTTAGTAACTTCTTTGTGTTGTGTGTATTCAACTGACAGAGTTGAACCTTCCTTTAGACAGAGCAGATTTGAAAGTCTCTTTTTGTGGAATTTGCAAGTGGAGATTTCAAGCGCTTTGAGGCCAAAAACAGAAAAGGAAATATTTTCCTATAAAAACTCGACAGAATCTTTCTCAGAAACTGCTCTGGGATGTGTGCGTTCAACTCACAGAGTTTAACTTTTCTTTTCATTCAGCAGTTTGGAAACACTCTGTTTGGAAAGTCTGCACGTGGATATTTTGACCTCTTTGAGGCCTTCGTTGGAAACGGGTTTTTTTCATGTAAGGCTAGACAGAAGAAATCTCAGTAAATTCCCTTGTGTTGTGTGTATTCAACTGACAGAGTTGAACCTTCCTTTAGACAGAGCAGATTCGAAACACTCTTTTTCTGCAATTTGCAAGTGGAGACTTCAAGCGCTTTGAGGCCAAAGGCAGAAAAGGAAATATCTTCGTATAAAAACCCGACAGAATCATTCTCAGAAACTGCTCTGTGATGTGTGCGTTCAACTCACAGAGTTTAACTTTTCTTTTCATTCAGCAGTTTGGAAACACTCTGTTTGTAAAGTCTGCAAGTGGATATCTTGGCCTCTTAGAGGCCTTCGTTGGAAACGGGTTTTTTCATGTAAGGTTAGACAGAGGAATTCCCAGTAACTTCCTTGTGTTGTGTGCATTCAACTCACAGAAGTTGAATGATTCTTTACACAGAGCAGATTTGAGACACTCTTTTGGTGGAATTTGTAAGTGGAGAATTCAGCCGCTTTGAGGTCAACGGTAGAAAAGGAAATATCTTCGTATAAAAACTAGACAGAATGATTCTCAGAAACTGTTTTGTGATGTGTGCGTTCAACTCACAGAGTTTAACCTTTCTTTTCAAAGAGCAGTTAGGAAACACTCTGTTTGTAAAGTCTGCAAGTGGATATTCAGACCTCTTTGAGGCCTTCGTTGGAAACGGGATTTCTTCATATTATGCTAGACAGATGAATTCTCAGTAACTTCCTTGTGTTGTGTGTATTCAACTCACAGAGTTGAACGATCCTTTACACAGAGCAGATTTGAAACACTGTTTTTCTGGAATTTGCAAGTGGAGATGTCAGCCGCTTTGAGGTCAATGGTAGAAAAGGAAATATCTTCGTATAAAAACTAGACAGAATGATTCTCAGAAACTCCTTTGTGATGTGTGCGTTCAACTCACAGAGTTTAACCTTTCTTTTCACAGAGCAGTTAGGAAACACTCTGTTTGTGAAGCCTGCCAGTGGATATTCGGACCTCTTTGAGGCCTTCGTTGGAAACGGGATTTCTTCATATTATGCTAGACAGAAGATTTCTCAGTAACTTCTTTGGGTTGTGTGTATGCAACTCACAGAGTTCAACCTTCCTTTAGACAGAGCAGATTTGAAACACTCTTTTTGTGGAATTTGCAAGTGGAGATTTCAAGCGCTTCGATGCCAATGGTAGAAAAGGAAATATCTTCGTATAAAAACAAGACAAACTCGTTCCCAGACACTGCGTAGTGATGTGTGTGTTTAACTCACAGAGTTTAACCTTTCTTTTCATACAGCATTCTGGAAACCCTGTGTTTGTAAAGTCTGCAAGTGGATATTTGGACCTCTTAGATGCCTTCGTTGGAAACGGGATTTCTTCATATAATGCTAGAGGGAAGAATTCTTAGTAACTTCTTTGTGTTGTGTGTATTCAACTGACAGAGTTGAACCTTCCTTTAGACAGAGCAGATTTGAAAGTCTCTTTTTGTGGAATTTGCAAGTGGAGATTTCAAGCGCTTTGAGGCCAAAAGCAGAAAAGGAAATATTTTCCTATAAAAACTCGACAGAATCTTTCTCAGAAACTGCTCTGGGATGTGTGCGTTCAACTCACAGAGTTTAACTTTTCTTTTCATTCAGCAGTTTGGAAACACTCTGTTTGGAAAGTCTGCACGTGGATATTTTGACCTCTTTGAGGCCTTCGTTGGAAACGGGTTTTTTTCATGTAAGGCTAGACAGAAGAAATCTCAGTAACTTCCTTGTGTTGTGTGTATTCAACTGACAGAGTTGAACCTTCCTTTAGACAGAGCAGATTCGAAACACTCTTTTTCTGCAATTTGCAAGTGGAGACTTCAAGCGCTTTGAGGCCAAAGGCAGAAAAGGAAATATCTTCGTATAAAAACCCGACAGATTCATTCTCAGAAACTGCTCTGTGATGTGTGTGTTCAACTCACAGAGTTTAACTTTTCTTTTCATTCAGCAGTTTGGAAACACTCTGTTTGTAAAGTCTGCAAGTGGATATCTTGGCCTCTTAGAGGCCTTCGTTGGAAACGGGTTTTTTCATGTAAGGTTAGACAGAGGAATTCCCACTAACTTCCTTGTGTTGTGTGCATTCAACTCACAGAGTTGAATGATTCTTTACACAGAGCAGATTTGAGACACTCTTTTGGTGGAATTTGTAAGTGGAGAATTCAGCCGCTTTGACGTCAACGGTAGAAAAGGAAATATCTTCCTATAAAAACTAGACAGAATGATTCTCAGAAACTGTTTTGTGATGTGTGCTTTCAACTCACAGAGTTTAACCTTTCTTTTCAAAGAGCAGTTAGGAAACACTCTGTTTGTAAAGTCTGCAAGTGGATATTCAGACCTCTTTGAGGCCTTCGTTGGAAACGGGATTTCTTCATATTATGCTAGACAGATGAATTCTCAGTAACTTCCTTGTGTTGTGTGTATTCAACTCACAGAGTTGAACGATCCTTTACACAGAGCAGATTTGAAACACTGTTTTTCTGGAATTTGCAAGTGGAGATTTCAGCCGCTTTGAGGTCAATGGTAGAAAAGGAAATATCTTCGTATAAAAACTAGACAGAATGATTCTCAGAAACTCCTTTGTGATGTGTGCGTTCAACTCACAGAGTTTAACCTTTCTTTTCACAGAGCAGTTAGGAAACACTCTGTTTGTGAAGCCTGCCAGTGGATATTCGGACCTCTTTGAGGCCTTCGTTGGAAACGGGATTTCTTCATATTATGCTAGACAGAAGATTTCTCAGTAACTTCTTTGTGTTGTGTGTATGCAACTCACAGAGTTCAACCTTCCTTTAGACAGAGCAGATTTGAAACACTCTTTTTGTGGAATTTGCAAGTGGAGATTTCAAGCGCTTCGATGCCAATGGTAGAAAAGGAAATATCTTCGTATAAAAACAAGACAAACTCGTTCCCAGACACTGCGTAGTGATGTGTGTGTTTAACTCACAGAGTTTAACCTTTCTTTTCATACAGCATTCTGGAAACCCTCTGTTTGTAAAGTCTGCAAGTGGATATTTGGACCTCTTAGATGCCTTCGTTGGAAACGGGATTTCTTCATATAATGCTAGAGGGAAGAATTCTTAGTAACTTCTTTGTGTTGTGTGTATTCAACTGACAGAGTTGAACCTTCCTTTAGACAGAGCAGATTTGAAAGTCTCTTTTTGTGGAATTTGCAAGTGGAGATTTCAAGCGCTTTGAGGCCAAAAGCAGAAAAGGAAATATTTTCCTATAAAAACTAGACAGAATCTTTCTCAGAAACTGCTCTGGGATGTGTGCGTTCAACTCACAGAGTTTAACTTTTCTTTTCATTCAGCAGTTTGGAAACACTCTGTATGGAAAGTCTGCACGTGGATATTTTGACCTCTTTGAGGCCTTCGTTGGAAACGGGTTTTTTTCATGTAAGGCTAGACAGAAGAAATCTCAGTAACTTCCTTGTGTTGTGTGTATTCAACTGACAGAGTTGAACCTTCCTTTAGACAGAGCAGATTCGAAACACTCTTTTTCTGCAATTTGCAAGTGGAGACTTCAAGCGCTTTGAGGCCAAAGGCAGAAAAGGAAATATCTTCGTATAAAAACCCGACAGAATCATTCTCAGAAACTGCTCTGTGATGTGTGCGTTCAACTCACAGAGTTTAACTTTTCTTTTCATTCAGCAGTTTGGAAACACTCTGTTTGTAAAGTCTGCAAGTGGATATCTTGGCCTCTTAGAGGCCTTCGTTGGAAACGGGTTTTTTCATGTAAGCTTAGACAGAGGAATTCCCAGTAACTTCCTTGTGTTGTGTGCATTCAACTCACAGAGTTGAATGATTCTTTACACAGAGCAGATTTGAGACACTCTTTTGGTGGAATTTGTAAGTGGAGAATTCAGCCGCTTTGAGGTCAATGGTAGAAAAGGAAATATCTTCGTATAAAAACTGGACAGAATGATTCTCAGAAACTGTTTTGTGATGTGTGCGTTCAACTCACAGAGTTTAACCTTTCTTTTCAAAGAGCAGTTAGGAAACACTCTGTTTGTAAAGTCTGCAAGTGGATATTCAGACCTCTTTGAGGCCTTCGTTGGAAACGGGATTTCTTCATATTATGCTAGACAGATGAATTCTCAGTAACTTCCTTGTGTTGTGTGTATTCAACTCACAGAGTTAAACGATCCTTTACACAGAGCAGATTTGAAACACTGTTTTTCTGGAATTTGCAAGTGGAGATTTCAGCCCCTTTGAGGTCAATGGTAGAAAAGGAAATATCTTCGTATAAAAACTAGACAGAATGATTCTCAGAAACTCCTTTGTGATGTGTGCGTTCAACTCACAGAGTTTAACCTTTCTTTTCACAGAGCAGTTAGGAAACACTCTGTTTGTGAAGCCTGCCAGTGGATATTCGGACCTCTTTGAGGCCTTCGTTGGAAACGGGATTTCTTCATATTATGCTAGACAGAGATTTCTCAGTAACTTCTTTGTGTTGTGTGTATGCAACTCACAGAGTTCAACCTTCCTTTAGACAGAGCAGATTTGAAACACTCTTTTTGTGGAATTTGCAAGTGGAGATTTCAAGCGCTTCGATGCCAATGGTAGAAAAGGAAATATCTTCGTATAAAAACAAGACAAACTCGTTCCCAGACACTGCGTAGTGATGTGTGTGTTTAACTCACAGAGTTTCACCTTTCTTTTCATACAGCATTCTGGAAACCCTCTGTTTGTAAAGTCTGCAAGTGGATATTTGGACCTCTTAGATGCCTTCGTTGCAAACGGGATTTCTTCATATAATGCTAGAGGGAAGAATTCTTAGTAACTTCTTTGTGTTGTGTGTATTCAACTGACAGAGTTGAACCTTCCTTTAGACAGAGCAGATTTGAAAGTCTCTTTTTGTGGAATTTGCAAGTGGAGATTTCAAGCGCTTTGAGGCCAAAAGCAGAAAAGGAAATATTTTCCTATAAAAACTCGACAGAATCTTTCTCAGAAACTGCTCTGGGATGTGTGCGTTCAACTCACAGAGTTTAACTTTTCTTTTCATTCAGCAGTTTGGAAACACTCTGTTTGGAAAGTCTGCACGTGGATATTTTGACCTCTTTGAGGCCTTCTTTGGAAACGGGTTTTTTTCATGTAAGGCTAGACAGAAGAAATCTCAGTAACTTCCTTGTGTTGTGTGTATTCAACTGACAGAGTTGAACCTTCCTTTAGACAGAGCAGATTCGAAACACTCTTTTTCTGCAATTTGCAAGTGGAGACTTCAAGCGCTTTGAGGCCAAAGGCAGAAAAGGAAATATCTTCGTATAAAAACCCGACAGAATCATTCTCAGAAACTGCTCTGTGATGTGTGCTGTTCAACTCACAGAGTTTAACTTTTCTTTTCATTCAGCAGTTTGGAAACACTCTGTTTGTAAAGTCTGCAAGTGGATATCTTGGCCTCTTAGAGGCCTTCGTTGGAAACGGGTTTTTTCATGTAAGGATAGACAGAGGAATTCCCAGTAACTTCCTTGTGTTGTGTGCATTCAACTCACAGAGTTGAATGATTCTTTACACAGAGCACATTTGAGACACTCTTTTGGTGGAATTTGTAAGTGGAGAATTCAGCCGCTTTGAGGTCAACGGTAGAAAAGGAAATATCTTCGTATAAAAACTAGACAGAATGATTCTCAGAAACTGTTTTGTGATGTGTGCGTTCAACTCACAGAGTTTAACCTTTCTTTTCAGAGAGCAGTTAGGAAACACTCTGTAAAGTCTGCAAGTGGATATTCAGACCTCTTTGAGGCCTTCGTTGGAAACGGGATTTCTTCATATTATGCTAGACAGATGAATTCTCAGTAACTTCCCTTGTGTTGTGTGTATTCAACTCACAGAGTTGAACGATCCTTTACACAGAGCAGATTTGAAACACTGTTTTTCTGGAATTTGCAAGTGGAGATTTCAGCCGCTTTGAGGTCAATGGTAGAAAAGGAAATATCTTCGTATAAAAACTAGACAGAATGATTCTCAGAAACTCCTTTGTGATGTGTGCGTTCAACTCACAGAGTTTAACCTTTCTTTTCACAGAGCAGTTAGGAAACACTCTGTTTGTGAAGCCTGCCAGTGGATAATCGGACCTCTTTGAGGCCTTCGTTGGAAACGGGATTTCTTCATATTATGCTAGACAGAAGATTTCTCAGTAACTTCTTTGTGTTGTGTGTATGCAACTCACAGAGTTCAACCTTCCTTTAGACAGAGCAGATTTGAAACACTCTTTTTGTGGAATTTGCAAGTGGAGATTTCAAGCGCTTCGATGCCAATGGTAGAAAAGGAAATATCTTCGTATAAAAACAAGACAAACTCGTTCCCAGACACTGCGTAGTGATGTGTGTGTTTAACTCACAGAGTTTCACCTTTCTTTTCATACAGCATTCTGGAAACCCTCTGTTTGTAAAGTCTGCAAGTCGATATTTGGACCTCTTAGATGCCTTCGTTGGAAACGGGATTTCTTCATATAATGCTAGAGGGAAGAATTCTTAGTAACTTCTTTGTGTTGTGTGTATTCAACTGACAGAGTTGAACCTTCCTTTAGACAGAGCAGATTTGAAAGTCTCTTTTTGTGGAATTTGCAAGTGGAGATTTCAAGCGCTTTGAGGCCAAAAGCAGAAAAGGAAATATTTTCCTATAAAACCTCGACAGAATCTTTCTCAGAAACTGCTCTGGGATGTGTGCGTTCAACTCAGTGTTTAACTTTTCTTTTCATTCAGCGTTTGGAAACACTCTGTTTGGAAAGTCTGCACGTGGATATTTTGACCTCTTTGAGGCCTTCGTTGGAAACGGGTTTTTTTCATGTAAGGCTAGACAGAAGAAATCTCAGTAACTTCCTTGTGTTGTGTGTATTCAACTGACAGAGTTGAACCTTCCTTTAGACAGAGCAGATTCGAAACACTCTTTTTCTGCAATTTGCAAGTGGAGACTTCAAGCGCTTTGAGGCCAAAGGCAGAAAAGGAAATATCTTCGTATAAAAACCCGACAGAATCTTTCTCAGAAACTGCTCTGTGATGTGTGCGTTCAACTCACAGAGTTTAACTTTTCTTTTCATTCAGCAGTTTGGAAACACTCTGTTTGTAAAGTCTGCAAGTGGATATCTTGGCCTCTTAGAGGCCTTCGTTGGAAACGGGTTTTTTCATGTAAGGATAGACAGAGGAATTCCCAGTAACTTCCTTGTGTTGTGTGCATTCAACTCACAGAGTTGAATGATTCTTTACACAGAGCAGATTTGAGACACTCTTTTGGTGGAATTTGTAAGTGGAGAATTCAGCCGCTTTGAGGTCAACGGTAGAAAAGGAAATATCTTCGTATAAAAACTAGACAGAATGATTCTCAGAAACTGTTTTGTGATGTGTGCGTTCAACTCACAGAGTTTAACCTTTCTTTTCAAAGAGCAGTTAGGAAACACTCTGTTTGTAAAGTCTGCAAGTGGATATTCAGACCTCTTTGAGGCCTTCGTTGGAAACGGGATTTCTTCATATTATGCTAGACAGATGAATTCTCAGTAACTTCCTTGTGTTGTGTGTATTCAACTCACAGAGTTGAACGATCCTTTACACAGAGCAGATTTGAAACACTGTTTTTCTGGAATTTGCAAGTGGAGATTTCAGCCGCTTTGAGGTCAATGGTAGAAAAGGAAATATCTTCGTATAAAAACTAGACAGAATGATTCTCAGAAACTCCTTTGTGATGTGTGCGTTCAACTCACAGAGTTTAACCTTTCTTTTCACAGAGCAGTTAGGAAACACTCTGTTTGTGAAGCCTGCCAGTGGATATTCGGACCTCTTTGAGGCCTTCGTTGGAAACGGGATTTCTTCATATTATGCTAGACAGAAGATTTCTCAGTAACTTCTTTGTGTTGTGTGTATGCAACTCACAGAGTTCAACCTTCCTTTAGACAGAGCAGATTTGAAACACTCTTTTTGTGGAATTTGCAAGTGGAGATTTCAAGCGCTTCGATGCCAATGGTAGAAAAGGAAATATCTTCGTATAAAAACAAGACAAACTCGTTCCCAGACACTGCGTAGTGATGTGTGTGTTTAACTCACAGAGTTTCACCTTTCTTTTCATACAGCATTCTGGAAACCCTCTGTTTGTAAAGTCTGCAAGTGGATATTTGGACCTCTTAGATGCCTTCGTTGGAAACGGGATTTCTTCATATAATGCTAGAGGGAAGAATTCTTAGTAACTTCTTTGTGTTGTGTGTATTCAACTGACAGAGTTGAACCTTCCTTTAGACAGAGCAGATTTGAAAGTCTCTTTTTGTGGAATTTGCAAGTGGAGATTTCAAGCGCTTTGAGGCCAAAAGCAGAAAAGGAAATATTTTCCTATAAAAACTCGACAGAATCTTTCTCAGAAACTGCTCTGGGATGTGTGCGTTCAACTCACAGAGTTTAACTTTTCTTTTCATTCAGCAGTTTGGAAACACTCTGTTTGGAAAGTCTGCACGTGGATATTTTGACCTCTTTGAGGCCTTCGTTGGAAACGGGTTTTTTTCATGTAAGGCTAGACAGAAGAAATCTCAGTAACTTCCTTGTGTTGTGTGTATTCAACTGACAGAGTTGAACCTTCCTTTAGACAGAGCAGATTCGAAACACTCTTTTTCTGCAATTTGCAAGTGGAGACTTCAAGCGCTTTGAGGCCAAAGGCAGAAAAGGAAATATCTTCGTATAAAAACCCGACAGAATCATTCTCAGAAACTGCTCTGTGATGTGTGCGTTCAACTCACAGAGTTTAACTTTTCTTTTCATTCAGCAGTTTGGAAACACTCTGTAAAGTCTGCAAGTGGATATCTTGGCCTCTTAGAGGCCTTCGTTGGAAGCGGGTTTTTTCATGTAAGGTTAGACAGAGGAATTCCCAGTAACTTCCTTGTGTTGTGTGCATTCAACTCACAGAGTTGAATGATTCTTTACACAGAGCAGTTTTGAGACACTCTTTTGGTGGAATTTGTAAGTGGAGAATTCAGCCGCTTTGAGGTCAACGGTAGAAAAGGAAATATCTTCGTATAAAAACTAGACAGAATGATTCTCAGAAACTGTTTTGTGATGTGTGCGTTCAACTCACAGAGTTTAACCTTTCTTTTCAAAGAGCAGTTAGGAAACACTCTGTTTGTAAAGTCTGCAAGTGGATATTCAGACCTACTTTGAGGCCTTCGTTGGAAACGGGATTTCTTCATATTATGCTAGACAGATGAATTCTCAGTAACTTCCTTGTGTTGTGTGTATTTAACTCACAGAGTTAAACGATCCTTTACACAGAGCAGATTTGAAACACTGTTTTTCTGGAATTTGCAAGTGGAGATTTCAGCCGCTTTGAGGTCAATGGTAGAAAAGGAAATATCTTCGTATAAAAACTAGACAGAATGATTCTCAGAAACTCCTTTGTGATGTGTGCGTTCAACTCACAGAGTTTAACCTTTCTATTCACAGAGCAGTTAGGAAACACTCTGTTTGTGAAGTCTGCCAGTGGATATTCGGACCTCTTTGAGGCCTTCGTTGGAAACGGGATTTCTTCATATTATGCTAGACAGATTTCTCAGTAACTACTTTGTGTTGTGTGTATGCAACTCACAGAGTTCATCCTTCCCTTAGACAGAGCAGATTTGAAACACTCTTTTTGTGGAATTTGCAAGTGGAGATTTCAAGCGCTTCGACGCCAATGGTAGAAAAGGAAATATCTTCGTATAAAAACAAGACAAAATCATTCCCAGAAACTGCGTAGTGATGTGTGTGTTTAACTCACAGAGTTAAACCTTTCTTTTCATACAGAATTCTGGAAACCCTCTGTTTGTAAAGTCTGCAAGTGGATATTTGGACCTCTTAGATGCCTTCGTTGGAAATGGGATGTCGTCATATAATGGTAGAGGGAAGATTTCTCAGTAACTTCTTTGTGTTGTGTGTATGCAACTCACAGAGTTCAACCTTCCTTTAGACAGAGCAGATTTGAAACACTCTTTTTGTGGAATTTGCAAGTGGAGATTTCAAGCGCTTTGAGGCCAAAAGCAGAAAAGGAAATATTTTCCTATAAAAACTAGACAGAATCTTTCTCAGAAACTGCTCTGTGATGTGTGCGTTCAACTCACAGAGTTTAACTTTTCTTTTCATTCAGCAGTTTGGAAACACTCTGTTTGTAAAGTCTGCAAGTGGATATCTTGGCCTCTTAGAGGCCTTCGTTGGAAACGGGTTTTTTCATGTAAGGATAGACAGAGGAATTCCCAGTAACTTCCTTGTGTTGTGTGCATTCAACTCACAGAGTTGAATGAGTCTTTACACAGAGCAGATTTGAGACACTCTTTTGGTGGAATTTGTAAGTGGAGAATTCAGCCGCTTTGAGGTCAACGGTAGAAAAGGAAATATCTTCGTATAAAAACTAGACAGAATGATTCTCAGAAACTGTTTTGTGATGTGTGCGTTCAACTCACAGAGTTTAACCTTTCTTTTCAAAGAGCAGTTAGGAAACACTCTGTTTGTAAAGTCTGCAAGTGGATATTCAGACCTCTTTGAGGCCTTCGTTGGAAACGGGATTTCTTCATATTATGCTAGACAGATGAATTCTCAGTAACTTCCTTGTGTTGTGTGTATTCAACTCACAGAGTTGAACGATCCTTTACACAGAGCAGATTTGAAACACTGTTTTTCTGGAATTTGCAAGTGGAGATTTCAGCCGCTTTGAGGTCAATGGTAGAAAAGGAAATATCTTCGTATAAAAACTAGACAGAATGATTCTCAGAAACTCCTTTGTGATGTGTGCGTTCAACTCACAGAGTTTAACCTTTCTTTTCACAGAGCAGTTAGGAAACACTCTGTTTGTGAAGCCTGCCAGTGGATATTCGGACCTCTTTCAGGCCTTCGTTGGAAACGGGATTTCTTCATATTATGCTAGACAGATTTCTCAGTAACTACTTTGTGTTATGTGTATGCAACTCACAGAGTTCATCCTTCCTTTAGACAGAGCAGATTTGAAACACTCTTTTTGTGGAATTTGCAAGTGGAGATTTCAAGCGCTTCGACGCCAATGGTCGAAAAGGAAATATCTTCGTATAAAAACAAGACAAACTCGTTCCCAGACACTGCGTAGTGATGTGTGTGTTTAACTCACAGAGTTTCACCTTTCTTTTCATACAGCATTCTGGAAACCCTCTGTTTGTAAAGTCTGCAAGTGGATATTTGGACCTCTTAGATGCCTTCGTTGCAAACGGGATTTCTTCATATAATGCTAGAGGGAAGAATTCTTAGTAACTTCTTTGTGTTGTGTGTATTCAACTGACAGAGTTGAACCTTCCTTTAGACAGAGCAGATTTGAAAGTCTCTTTTTGTGGAATTTGCAAGTGGAGATTTCAAGCGCTTTGAGGCCAAAAGCAGAAAAGGAAATATTTTCCTATAAAAACTAGACAGAATCTTTCTCAGAAACTGCTCTGGGTTGTGTGTGTTCAACTCACAGAGTTTAACTTTTCTTTTCATTCAGCAGTTTGGAAACACTCTGTTTGGAAAGTCTGCACGTGGATATTTTGACCTCTTTGAGGCCTTCGTTGGAAACGGGTTTTTTTCATGTAAGGCTAGACAGAAGAAATCTCAGTAACTTCCTTGTGTTGTGTGTATTCAACTGACAGAGTTGAACCTTCTTTTAGACAGAGCAGATTCGAAACACTCTTTTTCTGCAATTTGCAAGTGGAGACTTCAAGCGCTTTGAGGCCAAAGGCAGAAAAGGAAATATCTTCGTATAAAAACCCGACAGAATCATTCTCAGAAACTGCTCTGTGATGTGTGCGTTCAACTCACAGAGTTTAACTTTTCTTTTCATTCAGCAGTTTGGAAACACTCTGTTTGTAAAGTCTGCAAGTGGATATCTTGGCCTCTTAGAGGCCTTCGTTGGAAACGGGTTTTTTCATGTAAGGTTAGACAGAGGAATTCCCAGTAACTTCCTTGTGTTGTGTGCATTCAACTCACACAGTTGAATGATTCTTTACACAGAGCAGATTTGAGACACTGTTGGTGGAATTTGTAAGTGGAGAATTCAGCCGCTTTGAGGTCAATGGTAGAAAAGGAAATATCTTCGTATAAAAACTAGACAGAATGATTCTCAGAAACTGTTTTGTGATGTGTGCGTTCAACTCACAGAGTTTAACCTTTCTTTTCAAAGAGCAGTTAGGAAACACTCTGTTTGTAAAGTCTGCAAGCGGATATTCAGACCTCTTTGAGGCCTTCGTTGGAAACGGGATTTCTTCATATTATGCTAGACAGATGAATTCTCAGTAACTTCCTTGTGTTGTGTGTATTCAACTCACAGAGTTGAACGATCCTTTACACAGAGCAGATTTGAAACACTGTTTTTCTGGAATTTGCAAGTGGAGATTTCAGCCGCTTTGAGGTCAATGGTAGAAAAAGAAATATCTTCGTATAAAAACTAGACAGAATGATTCTCAGAAACTCCTTTGTGATGTGTGCGTTCAACTCACAGAGTTTAACCTTTCTTTTCACAGAGCAGTTAGGAAACACTCTGTTTGTGAAGCCTGCCAGTGGATATTCGGACCTCTTTGAGGCCTTCGTTGGAAACGGGATTTCTTCATATTTTGCTAGACAGAAGATTTCTCAGTAACTTCTTTGTGTTGTGTGTATGCAACTCACAGAGTTCAACCTTCCTTTAGACAGAGCAGATTTGAAACACTCTTTTTGTGGAATTTGCAAGTGGAGATTTCAAGCGCTTCGATGCCAATGGTAGAAAAGGAAATATCTTCGTATAAAAACAAGACAAACTCGTTCCCAGACACTGCGTAGTGATGTGTGTGTTTAACTCACAGAGTTTAACCTTTCTTTTCATACAGCATTCTGGAAACCCTGTGTTTGTAAAGTCTGCAAGTGGATATTTGGACCTCTTAGATGCCTTCGTTGGAAACGGGATTTCTTCATATAATGCTAGAGGGAAGAATTCTTAGTAACTTCTTTGTGTTGTGTGTATTCAACTGACAGAGTTGAACCTTCCTTTAGACAGCAGATTTGAAAGTCTCTTTTTGTGGAATTTGCAAGTGGAGATTTCAAGCGCTTTGAGGCCAAAAGCAGAAAAGGAAATATTTTCCTATAAAAACTCGACAGAATCTTTCTCAGAAACTGCTCTGGGATGTGTGCGTTCAACTCACAGAGTTTAACTTTTCTTTCCATTCAGCAGTTTGGAAACACTCTGTTTGGAAAGTCTGCACGTGGATATTTTGACCTCTTTGAGGCCTTCGTTGGAAACGGGTTTTTTTCATGTAAGGCTAGACAGAAGAAATCTCAGTAACTTCCTTGTGTTGTGTGTATTCAACTGACAGAGTTGAACCTTCCTTTAGACAGAGCAGATTCGAAACACTCTTTTTCTGCAATTTGCAAGTGGAGACTTCAAGCGCTTTGAGGCCAAAGGCAGAAAAGGAAATATCTTCGTATAAAAACCCGACAGAATCATTCTCAGAAACTGCTCTGTGATGTGTGCGTTCAACTCACAGAGTTTAACTTTTCTTTTCATTCAGCAGTTTGGAAACACTCTGTTTGTAAAGTTTGCAAGTGGATATCTTGGCCTCTTAGAGGCCTTCGTTGGAAACGGGTTTTTTCATGTAAGGTTAGACAGAGGAATTCCCAGTAACTTCCTTGTGTTGTGTGCATTCAACTCACAGAGTTGAATGATTCTTTACACAGAGCAGATTTGAGACACTCTTTTGGTGTTATTTGTAAGTGGAGAATTCAGCTGCTTTGAGGTCAACGGTAGAAAAGGAAATATCTTCGTATAAAAACTAGACAGAATGATTCTCAGAAACTGTTTTGTGATGTGTGCGTTCAACTCACAGAGTTTAACCTTTCTTTTCAAAGAGCAGTTAGGAAACACTCTGTTTGTAAAGTCTCCAAGTGGATATTCAGACCTCTTTGAGGCCTTCGTTGGAAACGGGATTTCTTCATATTATGCTAGACAGATGAATTCTCAGTAACTTCCTTGTGTTGTGTGTATTCAACTCACAGAGTTGAACGATCCTTTACACAGAGCAGATTTGAAACACTGTTTTTCTGGAATTTGCAAGTGGAGATTTCAGCCGCTTTGAGGTCAATGGTAGAAAAGGAAATATCTTCGTATAAAAACTAGACAGAATGATTCTCAGAAACTCCTTTGTGATGTGTGCGTTCAACTCACAGAGTTTAACCTTTCTTTTCACAGAGCAGTTAGGAAACACTCTGTTTGTGAAGCCTGCCAGTGGATATTCGGACCTCTTTCAGGCCTTCGTTGGAAACGGGATTTCTTCATATTATGCTAGACAAAAGATTTCTCAGTAACTTCTTCGTGTTGTGTGTATGCAACTCACAGAGTTCAACCTTCCTTTAGACAGAGCAGATTTGAAACACTCTTTTTGTGGAATTTGCAAGTGGAGATTTCAAGCGCTTCGATGCCAATGGTAGAAAAGGAAATATCTTCGTAGAAAAACAAGACAAACTCGTTCCCAGACACTGCGTAGTGATGTGTGTGTTTAACTCACAGAGTTTAACCTTTCTTTTCATACAGCATTCTGGAAACCCTGTGTTTGTAAAGTCTGCAAGTGGATATTTGGACCTCTTAGATGCCTTCGTTGGAAACGGGATTTCTTCATATAATGCTAGAGGGAAGAATTCTTAGTAACTTCTTTGTGTTGTGTGTATTCAACTGACAGAGTTGAACCTTCCTTTAGACAGAGCAGATTTGAAAGTCTCTTTTTGTGGAATTTGCAAGTGGAGATTTCAAGCGCTTTGAGGCCAAAAGCAGAAAAGGAAATATTTTCCTATAAAAACTAGACAGAATCTTTCTCAGAAACTGCTCTGGGATGTGTGCGTTCAACTCACAGAGTTTAACTTTCTTTTCATTCAGCAGTTTGGAAACACTCTGTTTGGAAAGTCTGCACGTGGATATTTTGACCTCTTTGAGGCCTTCGTTGGAAACGGGTTTTTTTCATGTAAGGCTAGACAGAAGAAATCTCAGTAACTTCCTTGTGTTGTGTGTATTCAACTGACAGAGTTGAACCTTCCTTTAGACAGAGCAGATTCGAAACACTCTTTTTCTGCAATTTGCAAGTGGAGACTTCAAGCGCTTTGAGGCCAAAGGCAGAAAAGGAAATATCTTCGTATAAAAACCCGACAGAATCATTCTCAGAAACTGCTCTGTGATGTGTGCGTTCAACTCACAGAGTTTAACTTTTCTATTCATTCAGCAGTTTGGAAACACTCTGTTTGTAAAGTCTGCAAGTGGATATCTTGGCCTCTTAGAGGCCTTCGTTGGAAACGGGTTTTTTCATGTAAGGTTAGACAGAGGAATTCCCAGTAACTTCCTTGTGTTGTGTGCATTCAACTCACAGAGTTGAATGATTCTTTACACAGAGCAGATTTGAGACACTCTTTTGGTGGAATTTGTAAGTGGAGAATTCAGCCGCTTTGAGGTCAACGGTAGAAAAGGAAATATCTTCGTATAAAAACTAGACAGAATGATTCTCAGAAACTGTTTTGTGATGTGTGCGTTCAACTCACAGAGTTTAACCTTTCTTTTCAAAGAGCAGTTAGGAAACACTCTGTTTGTAAAGTCTGCAAGTGGATATTCAGACCTACTTTAAAGCCTTCGTTGGAAACGGGATTTCATCATATTATGCTAGACAGATGAATTCTCAGTAACTTCCTTGTGTTGTGTGTATTCAACTCACAGAGTTGAACGATCCTTTACACAGAGCAGATTTGAAACACTGTTTTTCTGGAATTTGCAAGTGGAGATTTCAGCCGCTTTGAGGTCAATGGTAGAAAAGGAAATATCTTCTGTATAAAAACTAGACAGAATGATTCTCAGAAACTCCTTTGTGATGTGTGCGTTCAACTCACAGGGTTTAACCTTTCTTTTCACAGAGCAGTTAGGAAACACTCTGTTTGTGAAGCCTGCCAGTGGATATTCGGACCTCTTTGAGGCCTTCGTTGGAAACGGGATTTCTTCATATTATGCTAGACAGAAGATTTCTCAGTAACTTCTTTGTGTTGTGTGTATGCAACTCACAGAGTTCAACCTTCCTTTAGACAGAGCAGATTTGAAACACTCTTTTTGTGGAATTTGCAAGTGGAGATTTCAAGCGCTTCGATGCCAATGGTAGAAAAGGAAATATCTTCGTATAAAAACAAGACAAACTCGTTCCCAGACACTGCGTAGTGATGTGTGTGTTTAACTCACAGAGTTTCACCTTTCTTTTCATACAGCATTCTGGAAACCCTGTGTTTGTAAAGTCTGCAAGTGGATATTTGGACCTCTTAGATGCCTTCGTTGGAAACGGGATTTCTTCATATAATGCTAGAGGGAAGAATTCTTAGTAACTTCTTTGTGTTGTGTGTATTCAACTGACAGAGTTGAACCTTCCTTTAGACAGAGCAGATTTGAAAGTCTCTTTTTGTGGAATTTGCAAGTGGAGATTTCAAGCGCTTTGAGGCCAAAAGCAGAAAAGGAAATATTTTCCTATAAAAACTCGACAGAATCGTTCTCAGAAACTGCTCTGGGATGTGTGCGTTCAACTCACAGAGTTTAACTTTTCTTTTCATTCAGCAGTTTGGAAACACTCTGTTTGGAAAGTCTGCACGTGGATATTTTGACCTCTTTGAGGCCTTCGTTGGAAACGGGTTTTTTTCATGTAAGGCTAGACAGAAGAAATCTCAGTAACTTCCTTGTGTTGTGTGTATTCAACTGACAGAGTTGAACCTTCCTTTAGACAGAGCAGATTCGAAACACTCTTTTTCTGCAATTTGCAAGTGGAGACTTCAAGCGCTTTGAGGCCAAAGGCAGAAAAGGAAATATCTTCGTATAAAAACCCGACAGAATCATTCTCAGAAACTGCTCTGTGATGTGTGCATTCAACTCACAGGGTTTAACTTTTCTTTTCATTCAGCAGTTTGGAAACACTCTGTTTGTAAAGTCTGCAAGTGGATATCTTGGCCTCTTAGAGGCCTTCGTTGGAAACGGGTTTTATCATGTAAGGTTAGACAGAGGAATTCCCAGTAACTTCCTTGTGTTGTGTGCATTCAACTCACAGAGTTGAATGATTCTTTACACAGAGCAGATTTGAGACACTCTTTTGGTGGAATTTGTAAGTGGAGAATTCAGCCGCTTTGAGGTCAACGGTAGAAAAGGAAATATCTTCGTATAAAAACTAGACAGAATGATTCTCAGAAACTGTTTTGTGATGTGTGCGTTGAACTCACAGAGTTTAACCTTTCTTTTCAAAGAGCAGTTAGGAAACACTCTGTTTGTAAAGTCTGCAAGTGGATATTCAGACCTCTTTGAGGCCTTCGTTGGAAACGGGATTTCTTCATATTATGCTAGACAGATGAATTCTCAGTAACTTCCCTTGTGTTGTGTGTATTCAACTCACAGAGTTGAACGATCCTTTACACAGAGCAGATTTGAAACACTGTTTTTCTGGAATTTGCAAGTGGAGATTTCAGCCGCTTTGAGGTCAATGGTAGAAAAGGAAATATCTTCGTATAAAAACTAGACAGAATGATTCTCAGAAACTCCTTTGTGATGTGTGCGTTCAACTCACAGAGTTTAACCTTTCTTTTCACAGAGCAGTTAGGAAACACTCTGTTTGTGAAGCCTGCCAGTGGATATTCGGACCTCTTTGAGGCCTTCGTTGGAAACGGGATTTCTTCATATTATGCTAGACAGAAGATTTCTCAGTAACTTCTTTGTGTTGTGTGTATGCAACTCACAGAGTTCAACCTTCCTTTAGACAGAGCAGATTTGAAACACTCTTTTTGTGGAATTTGCAAGTGGAGATTTCAAGCGCTTCGATGCCAATGGTAGAAAAGGAAATATCTTCGTATAAAAACAAGACAAACTCGTTCCCAGACACTGCGTAGTGATGTGTGTGTTTAACTCACAGAGTTTAACCTTTCTTTTCATACAGCATTCTGGAAACCCTGTGTTTGTAAAGTCTGCAAGTGGATATTTGGACCTCTTAGATGCCTTCGTTGGAAACGGGATTTCTTCATATAATGCTAGAGGGAAGAATTCTTAGTAACTTCTTTGTGTTGTGTGTATTCAACTGACAGAGTTGAACCTTCCTTTAGACAGAGCAGATTTGAAAGTCTCTTTTTGTGGAATTTGCAAGTGGAGATTTCAAGCGCTTTGAGGCCAAAAGCAGAAAAGGAAATATTTTCCTATAAAAACTCGACAGAATCATTCTCAGAAACTGCTCTGTGATGTGTGCGTTCAACTCACAGAGTTTAACTTTTCTTTTCATTCAGCAGTTTGGAAACACTGTTTGGAAAGTCTGCACGTGGATATTTTGACCTCTTTGAGGCCTTCGTTGGAAACGGGTTTTTTTCATGTAAGGCTAGACAGAAGAAATCTCAGTAACTTCCTTGTGTTGTGTGTATTCAACTGACAGAGTTGAACCTTCCTTTAGACAGAGCAGATTCGAAACACTCTTTTTCTGCAATTTGCAAGTGGAGACTTCAAGCGCTTTGAGGCCAAAGGCAGAAAAGGAAATATCTTCGTATAAAAACCCGACAGAATCATTCTCAGAAACTGCTCTGTGATGTGTGCGTTCAACTCACAGAGTTTAACTTTTCTTTTCATTCAGCAGTTTGGAAACACTCTGTTTGTAAAGTCTGCAAGTGGATATCTTGGCCTCTTAGAGGCCTTCGTTGGAAACGGGTTTTGTCATGTAAGGTTAGACAGAGGAATTCCCAGTAACTTCCTTGTGTTGTGTGCATTCAACTCACAGAGTTGAATGATTCTTTACACAGAGCAGATTTGAGACACTCTTTTGGTGGAATTTGTAAGTGGAGAATTCAGCCGCTTTGAGGTCAACGGTAGAAAAGGAAATATCTTCGTATAAAAACTAGACAGAATGATTCTCAGAAACTGTTTTGTGATGTGTGCGTTCAACTCACAGAGTTTAACCTTTCTTTTCAAAGAGCAGTTAGGAAACACTCTGTTTGTAAAGTCTGCATGTGGATATTCAGACCTCTTTGAGGCCTTCGTTGGAAACGGGATTTCTTCATATTATGCTAGACAGATGAATTCTCAGTAACTTCCCTTGTGTTGTGTGTATTCAACTCACAGAGTTGAACGATCCTTTACACAGAGCAGATTTGAAACACTGTTTTTCTGGAATTTGCAAGTGGAGATTTCAGCCGCTTTGAGGTCAATGGTAGAAAAGGAAATATCTTCGTATAAAAACTAGACAGAATGATTCTCAGAAACTCCTTTGTGATGTGTGCGTTCAACTCACAGAGTTTAACCTTTCTTTTCACAGAGCAGTTAGGAAACACTCTGTTTGTGAAGCCTGCCAGTGGATATTCGGACCTCTTTGAGGCCTTCGTTGGAAACGGGATTTCTTCATATTATGCTAGACAGAAGATTTCTCAGTAACTTCTTTGTGTTGTGTGTATGCAACTCACAGAGTTCAACCTTCCTTTAGACAGAGCAGATTTGAAACACTCTTTTTGTGGAATTTGCAAGTGGAGATTTCAAGCGCTTCGATGCCAATGGTAGAAAAGGAAATATCTTCGTATAAAAACAAGACAAACTCGTTCCCAGACACTGCGTAGTGATGTGTGTGTTTAACTCACAGAGTTTAACCTTTCTTTTCATACAGCATTCTGGAAACCCTGTGTTTGTAAAGTCTGCAAGTGGATATTTGGACCTCTTAGATGCCTTCGTTGGAAACGGGATTTCTTCATATAATGCTAGAGGGAAGAATTCTTAGTAACTTCTTTGTGTTGTGTGTATTCAACTGACAGAGTTGAACCTTCCTTTAGACAGAGCAGATTTGAAAGTCTCTTTTTGTGGAATTTGCAAGTGGAGATTTCAAGCGCTTTGAGGCCAAAAGCAGAAAAGGAAATATTTTCCTATAAAAACTCGACAGAATCTTTCTCAGAAACTGCTCTGGGATGTGTGCGTTCAACTCACAGAGTTTAACTTTTCTTTTCATTCAGCAGTTTGGAAACACTCTGTTTGGAAAGTCTGCACGTGGATATTTTGACCTCTTTGAGGCCTTCGTTGGAAACGGGTTTTTTTCATGTAAGGCTAGACAGAAGAAATCTCAGTAACTTCCTTGTGTTGTGTGTATTCAACTGACAGAGTTGAACCTTCCTTTAGACAGAGCAGATTCGAAACACTCTTTTTCTGCAATTTGCAAGTGGAGACTTCAAGCGCTTTGAGGCCAAAGGCAGAAAAGGAAATATCTTCGTATAAAAACCCGACAGAATCATTCTCAGAAACTGCTCTGTGATGTGTGCGTTCAACTCACAGAGTTTAACTTTTCTTTTCATTCAGCAGTTTGGAAACACTCTGTTTGTAAAGTCTGCAAGTGGATATCTTGGCCTCTTAGAGGCCTTCGTTGGAAACGGGTTTTTTCATGTAAGGATAGACAGAGGAATTCCCAGTAACTTCCTTGTGTTGTGTGCATTCAACTCACAGAGTTGAATGATTCTTTACACAGAGCAGATTTGAGACACTCTTTTGGTGGAATTTGAAAGTGGAGAATTCAGCCGCTTTGAGGTCAACGGTAGAAAAGGAAATATCTTCGTATAAAAACTAGACAGAATGATTCTCAGAAACTGTTTTGTGATGTGTGCGTTCAACTCACAGAGTTTAACCTTTCTTTTCAAAGAGCAGTTAGGAAACACTCTGTTTGTAAAGTCTGCAAGTGGATATTCAGACCTCTTTGAGGCCTTCGTTGGAAACGGGATTTCTTCATATTATGCTAGACAGATGAATTCTCAGTAACTTCCTTGTGTTGTGTGTATTCAACTCACAGAGTTGAACGATCCTTTACACAGAGCAGATTTGAAACACTGTTTTTCTGGAATTTGCAAGTGGAGATTTCAGCCGCTTTGAGGTCAATGGTAGAAAAGGAAATATCTTCGTATAAAAACTAGACAGAATGATTCTCAGAAACTCCTTTGTGATGTGTGCGTTCAACTCACAGAGTTTAACCTTTCTTTTCACAGAGCAGTTAGGAAACACTCTGTTTGTGAAGCCTGCCAGTGGATATTCGGACCTCTTTGAGGCCTTCGTTGGAAACGGGATTTCTTCATATTATGCTAGACAGAAGATTTCTCAGTAACTTCTTTGTGTTGTGTGTATGCAACTCACAGAGTTCAACCTTCCTTTAGACAGAGCAGATTTGAAACACTCTTTTTGTGGAATTTGCAAGTGGAGATTTCAAGCGCTTCGATGCCAATGGTAGAAAAGGAAATATCTTCGTATAAAAACAAGACAAACTCGTTCCCAGACACTGCGTAGTGATGTGTGTGTTTAACTCACAGAGTTTAACCTTTCTTTTCATACAGCATTCTGGAAACCCTGTGTTTGTAAAGTCTGCAAGTGGATATTTGGACCTCTTAGATGCCTTCGTTGGAAACGGGATTTCTTCATATAATGCTAGAGGGAAGAATTCTTAGTAACTTCTTTTTGTTGTGTGTATTCAACTGACAGAGTTGAACCTTCCTTTAGACAGAGCAGATTTGAAAGTCTCTTTTTGTGGAATTTGCAAGTGGAGATTTCAAGCGCTTTGAGGCCAAAAGCAGAAAAGGAAATATTTTCCTATAAAAACTCGACAGAATCTTTCTCAGAAACTTCTCTGGGATGTGTGCGTTCAACTCACAGAGTTTAACTTTTCTTTTCATTCAGCAGTTTGGAAACACTCTGTTTGGAAAGTCTGCACGTGGATATTTTGACCTCTTTGAGGCCTTCGTTGGAAACGGGTTTTTTTCATGTAAGGCTAGACAGAAGAAATCTCAGTAACTTCCTTGTGTTGTGTGTATTCAACTGACAGAGTTGAACCTTCCTTTAGACAGAGCAGATTCGAAACACTCTTTTTCTGCAATTTGCAAGTGGAGACTTCAAGCGCTTTGAGGCCAAAGGCAGAAAAGGAAATATCTTCGTATAAAAACCCGACAGAATCATTCTCAGAAACTGCTCTGTGATGTGTGCGTTCAACTCACAGAGTGTAACTTTTCTTTTCATTCAGCAGTTTGGAAACACTCTGTTTGTAAAGTCTGCAAGTGGATATCTTGGCCTCTTAGAGGCCTTCGTTGGAAACGGGTTTTTTCATGTAAGGTTAGACAGAGGAATTCCCAGTAACTTCCCTTGTGTTGTGTGCATTCAACTCACAGAGTTGAATGATTCTTTACACAGAGCAGATTTGAGACACTCTTTTGGTGGAATTTGTTAGTGGAGAATTCAGCCGCTTTGAGGTCAACGGTAGAAAAGGAAATATCTTCGTATAAAAACTAGACAGAATGATTCTCAGAAACTTTTTTGTGATGTGTGCGTTCAACTCACAGAGTTTAACCTTTCTTTTCAAAGAGCAGTTAGGAAACACTCTGTTTGTAAAGTCTGCAAGTGGATATTCAGACCTCTTTGAGGCCTTCGTTGGAAACGGGATTTCTTCATATTATGCTAGACAGATGAATTCTCAGTAACTTCCTTGTGTTGTGTGTATTCAACTCACAGAGTTGAACGATCCTTTACACAGAGCAGATTTGAAACACTGTTTTTCTGGAATTTGCAAGTGGAGATTTCAGCCGCTTTGAGGTCAATGGTAGAAAAGGAAATATCTTCGTATAAAAACTAGACAGAATGATTCTCAGAAACTCCTTTGTGATGTGTGCGTTCAACTCACAGAGTTTAACCTTTCTTTTCACAGAGCAGTTAGGAAACACTCTGTTTGTGAAGCCTGCCAGTGGATATTCGGACCTCTTTGAGGCCTTCGTTGGAAACGGGATTTCTTCATATTATGCTAGACAGAAGATTTCTCAGTAACTTCTTTGTGTTGTGTGTATGCAACTCACAGAGTTCAACCTTCCTTTAGACAGAGCAGATTTGAAACACTCTTTTTGTGGAATTTGCAAGTGGAGATTTCAAGCGCTTCGATGCCAATGGTAGAAAAGGAAATATCTTCGTATAAAAACAAGACAAACTCGTTCCCAGACACTGCGTAGTGATGTGTGTGTTTAACTCACAGAGTTTAACCTTTCTTTTCATACAGCATTCTGGAAACCCTGTGTTTGTAAAGTCTGCAAGTGGATATTTGGACCTCTTAGATGCCTTCGTTGGAAACGGGATTTCTTCATATAATGCTAGAGGGAAGAATTCTTAGTAACTTCTTTGTGTTGTGTGTATTCAACTGACAGAGTTGAACCTTCCTTTAGACAGAGCAGATTTGAAAGTCTCTTTTTGTGCAATTTGCAAGTGGAGATTTCAAGCGCTTTGAGGCCAAAAGCAGAAAAGGAAATATTTTCCTATAAAAACTCGACAGAATCATTCTCAGAAACTGCTCTGTGATGTGTGCGTTCAACTCACAGAGTTTAACTTTTCTTTTCATTCAGCAGTTTGGAAACACTGTTTGGAAAGTCTGCACGTGGATATTTTGACCTCTTTGAGGCCTTCGTTGGAAACGGGTTTTTTTCATGTAAGGCTAGACAGAAGAAATCTCAGTAACTTCCTTGTGTTGTGTGTATTCAACTGACAGAGTTGAACCTTCCTTTAGACAGAGCAGATTCGAAACACTCTTTTTCTGCAATTTGCAAGTGGAGACTTCAAGCGCTTTGAGGCCAAAGGCAGAAAAGGAAATATCTTCGTATAAAAACCCGACAGAATCATTCTCAGAAACTGCTCTGTGATGTGTGCGTTCAACTCACAGAGTTTAACTTTTCTTTTCATTCAGCAGTTTGGAAACACTCTGTTTGTAAAGTCTGCAAGTGGATATCTTGGCCTCTTAGATGCCTTCGTTGGAAACGGGTTTTTTCATGTAAGGATAGACAGAGGAATTCCCCAGTAACTTCCTTGTGTTGTGTGCATTCAACTCACAGAGTTGAATGATTCTTTACACAGAGCAGATTTGAGACACTCTTTTGGTGGAATTTGTAAGTGGAGAATTCAGCCGCTTTGAGGTCAACGGTAGAAAAGGAAATATCTTCGTATAAAAACTAGACAGAATGATTCTCAGAAACTGTTTTGTGATGTGTGCGTTCAACTCACAGAGTTTAACCTTTCTTTTCAAAGAGCAGTTAGGAAACACTCTGTTTGTAAAGTCTGCAAGTGGATATTCAGACCTCTTTGAGGCCTTCGTTGGAAACGGGATTTCTTCATATTATGCTAGACAGATGAATTCTCAGTAACTTCCTTGTGTTGTGTGTATTCAACTCACAGAGTTGAACGATCCTTTACACAGAGCAGATTTGAAACACTGTTTTTCTGGAATTTGCAAGTGGAGATTTCAGCCGCTTTGAGGTCAATGGTAGAAAAAGAAATATCTTCGTATAAAAACTAGACAGAATGATTCTCAGAAACTCCTTTGTGATGTGTGCGTTCAACTCACAGGGTTTAACCTTTCTTTTCACAGAGCAGTTAGGAAACACTCTGTTTGTGAAGCCTGCCAGTGGATATTCGGACCTCTTTGAGGCCTTCGTTGGAAACGGGATTTCTTCATATTATGCTAGACAGAAGATTTCTCAGTAACTTCTTTGTGTTGTGTGTATGCAACTCACAGAGTTCAACCTTCCTTTAGACAGAGCAGATTTGAAACACTCTTTTTGTGGAATTTGCAAGTGGAGATTTCAAGTGCTTCGATGCCAATGGTAGAAAAGGAAATATCTTCGTATAAAAACAAGACAAACTCGTTCCCAGACACTGCGTAGTGATGTGTGTGTTTAACTCACAGAGTTTCACCTTTCTTTTCATACAGCATTCTGGAAACCCTGTGTTTGTAAAGTCTGCAAGTGGATATTTGGACCTCTTAGATGCCTTCGTTGGAAACGGGATTTCTTCATATAATGCTAGAGGGAAGAATTCTTAGTAACTTCTTTGTGTTGTGTGTATTCAACTGACAGAGTTGAACCTTCCTTTAGACAGAGCAGATTTGAAAGTCTCTTTTTGTGGAATTTGCAAGTGGAGATTTCAAGCGCTTTGAGGCCAAAAGCAGAAAAGGAAATATTTTCCTATAAAAACTCGACAGAATCTTTCTCAGAAACTGCTCTGGGATGTGTGCGTTCAACTCACAGAGTTTAACTTTTCTTTTCATTCAGCAGTTTGGAAACACTCTGTTTGGAAAGTCTGCACGTGGATATTTTGACCTCTTTGAGGCCTTCGTTGGAAATGGGTTTTTTTCATGTAAGGCTAGACAGAAGAAATCTCAGTAACTTCCTTGTGTTGTGTGTATTCAACTGACAGAGTTGAACCTTCCTTTAGACAGAGCAGATTCGAAACACTCTTTTTCTGCAATTTGCAAGTGGAGACTTCAAGCGCTTTGAGGCCAAAGGCAGAAAAGGAAATATCTTCGTATAAAAACCCGACAGAATCATTCTCAGAAACTGCTCTGTGATGTGTGCGTTCAACTCACAGAGTTTAACTTTTCTTTTCATTCAGCAGTTTGGAAACACTCTGTTTGTAAAGTCTGCAAGTGGATATCTTGGCCTCTTAGAGGCCTTCGTTGGAAACGGGTTTTTTCATGTAAGGATAGACAGAGGAATTCCCAGTAACTTCCTTGTGTTGTGTGCATTCAACTCACAGAGTTGAATGATTCTTTACACAGAGCAGATTTGAGACACTCTTTGGGTGGAATTTGTAAGTGGAGAATTCAGCCGCTTTGAGGTCAACGGTAGAAAAGGAAATATCTTCGTATAAAATCTAGACAGATGATTCTCAGAAACTGTTTTGTGATGTGTGCGTTCAACTCACAGAGTTTAACCTTTCTTTTCAAAGAGCAGTTAGGAAACACTCTGTTTGTAAAGTCTGCAAGTGGATATTCAGACCTCTTTGAGGCCTTCGTTGGAAACGGGATTTCTTCATATTATGCTAGACAGATGAATTCTCAGTAACTTCCTTGTGTTGTGTGTATTCAACTCACAGAGTTGAACGATCCTTTACACAGAGCAGATTTGAAACACTGTTTTTCTGGAATTTGCAAGTGGAGATTTCAGCCGCTTTGAGGTCAATGGTAGAAAAGGAAATATCTTCGTATAAAAACTAGACAGAATGATTCTCAGAAACTCCTTTGTGATGTGTGCGTTCAACTCACAGAGTTTAACCTTTCTTTTCACAGAGCAGTTAGGAAACACTCTGTTTGTGAAGCCTGCCAGTGGATATTCGGACCTCTTTGAGGCCTTCGTTGGAAACGGGATTTCTTCATATTATGCTAGACAGAAGATTTCTCAGTAACTTCTTTGTGTTGTGTGTATGCAACTCACAGAGTTCAACCTTCCTTTAGACAGAGCAGATTTGAAACACTCTTTTTGTGGAATTTGCAAGTGGAGATTTCAAGCGCTTCGATGCCAATGGTAGAAAAGGAAATATCTTCGTATAAAAACAAGACAAACTCGTTCCCAGACACTGCGTAGTGATGTGTGTGTTTAACTCACAGAGTTTAACCTTTCTTTTCATACAGCATTCTGGAAACCCTCTGTTTGTAAAGTCTGCAAGTGGATATTTGGACCTCTTAGATGCCTTCGTTGGAAACGGGATTTCTTCATATAATGCTAGAGGGAAGAATTCTTAGTAACTTCTTTGTGTTGTGTGTATTCAACTGACAGAGTTGAACCTTCCTTTAGACAGAGCAGATTTGAAAGTCTCTTTTTGTGGAATTTGCAAGTGGAGATTTCAAGCGCTTTGAGGGCAAAAGCAGAAAAGGAAATATTTTCCTATAAAAACTAGACAATCTTTCTCAGAAACTGCTCTGGGATATGTGCGTTCAACTCACAGAGTTTAACTTTTCTTTTCATTCAGCAGTTTGGAAACACTCTGTTTGGAAAGTCTGCACGTGGATATTTTGACCTCTTTGAGGCCTTCGTTGGAAACGGGTTTTTTTCATGTAAGGCTAGACAGAAGAAATCTCAGTAACTTCCTTGTGTTGTGTGTATTCAACTGACAGAGTTGAACCTTCCTTTAGACAGAGCAGATTCGAAACACTCTTTTTCTGCAATTTGCAAGTGGAGACTTCAAGCGCTTTGAGGCCAAAGGCAGAAAAGGAAATATCTTCGTATAAAAACCCGACAGAATCATTCTCAGAAACTGCTCTGTGATGTGTGCGTTCAACTCACAGAGTTTAACGTTTCTTTTCATTCAGCAGTTTGGAAACACTCTGTTTGTAAAGTCTGCAAGTGGATATCTTGGCCTCTTAGAGGCCTTCGTTGGAAGCGGGTTTTTTCATGTAAGGATAGACAGAGGAATTCCCAGTAACTTCCTTGTGTTGTGTGCATTCAACTCACAGAGTTGAATGATTCTTTACACAGAGCAGATTTGAGACACTCTTTTGGTGGAATTTGTAAGTGGAGAATTCAGCCGCTTTGAGGTCAACGGTAGAAAAGGAAATATCTTCGTATAAAAACTAGACAGAATGATTCTCAGAAACTTTTTTGTGATGTGTGCGTTCAACTCACAGAGTTTAACCTTTCTTTTCAAAGAGCAGTTAGGAAACACTCTGTTTGTAAGTCTGCAAGTGGATATTCAGACCTCTTTGAGGCCTTCGTTGGAAACGGGATTTCTTCATATTATGCTAGACAGATGAATTCTCAGTAACTTCCTTGTGTTGTGTGTATTCAACTCACAGAGTTGAACGATCCTTTACACAGAGCAGATTTGAAACACTGTTTTTCTGGAATTTGCAAGTGGAGATTTCAGCCGCTTTGAGGTCAATGGTAGAAAAGGAAATATCTTCGTATAAAAACTAGACAGAATGATTCTCAGAAACTCCTTTGTGATGTGTGCGTTCAACTCACAGAGTTTAACCTTTCTTTTCACAGAGCAGTTAGGAAACACTCTGTTTGTGAAGCCTGCCAGTGGATATTCGGACCTCTTTGAGGCCTTCGTTGGAAACGGGATTTCTTCATATTATGCTAGACAGAAGATTTCTCAGTAACTTCTTTGTGTTGTGTGTATGCAACTCACAGAGTTCAACCTTCCTTTAGACAGAGCAGATTTGAAACACTCTTTTTGTGGAATTTGCAAGTGGAGATTTCAAGCGCTTCGATGCCAATGGTAGAAAAGGAAATATCTTCGTATAAAAACAAGACAAACTCGTTCCCAGACACTGCGTAGTGATGTGTGTGTTTAACTCACAGAGTTTAACCTTTCTTTTCATACAGCATTCTGGAAACCCTCTGTTTGTAAAGTCTGCAAGTGGATATTTGGACCTCTTAGATGCCTTCGTTGGAAACGGGATTTCTTCATATAATGCTAGAGGGAAGAATTCTTAGTAACTTCTTTGTGTTGTGTGTATTCAACTGACAGAGTTGAACCTTCCTTTAGACAGAGCAGATTTGAAAGTCTCTTTTTGTGGAATTTGCAAGTGGAGATTTCAAGCGCTTTGAGGCCAAAAGCAGAAAAGGAAATATTTTCCTATAAAAACTAGACAGAATCTTTCTCAGAAACTGCTCTGGGATGTGTGTGTTCAACTCACAGAGTTTAACTTTTCTTTTCATTCAGCAGTTTGGAAACACTCTGTTTGGAAAGTCTGCACGTGGATATTTTGACCTCTTTGAGGCCTTCGTTGGAAACGAGTTTTTTTCATATAAGGCTAGACAGAAGAAATCTCAGTAACTTCCTTGTGTTGTGTGTATTCAACTGACAGAGTTGAACCTTCCTTTAGACAGAGCAGATTCGAAACACTCTTTTTCTGCAATTTGCAAGTGGAGACTTCAAGCGCTTTGAGGCCAAAGGCAGAAAAGGAAATATCTTCGTATAAAAACCCGACAGAATCATTCTCAGAAACTGCTCTGTGATGTGTGCGTTCAACTCACAGAGTTTAACTTTTCTTTTCATTCAGCAGTTTGGAAACACTCTGTTTGTAAAGTCTGCAAGTGGATATCTTGGCCTCTTAGAGGCCTTCGTTGGAAACGCGTTTTTTCATGTAAGGTTAGACAGAGGAATTCCCAGTAACTTCCTTGTGTTGTGTGCATTCAACTCACAGAGTTGAATGATTCTTTACACAGAGCAGATTTGAGACACACTTTTGGTGGAATTTGTAAGTGGAGAATTCAGCCGCTTTGAGGTCAACGGTAGAAAAGGAAATATCTTCGTATAAAAACTAGAAAGAATGATTCTCAGAAACTGTTTTGTGATGTGTGCGTTCAACTCACAGAGTTTAACCTTTCTTTTCAAAGAGCAGTTAGGAAACACTCTGTTTGTAAAGTCTGCAATGGATATTCAGACCTCTTTGAGGCCTTCGTTGGAAACGGGATTTCATCATATTATGCTAGACAGATGAATTCTCAGTAACTTCCTTGTGTTGTGTGTATTCAACTCACAGAGTTGAACGATCCTTTACACAGAGCAGATTTGAAACACTGTTTTTCTGGAATTTGCAAGTGGAGATTTCAGCCGCTTTGAGGTCAATGGTAGAAAAGGAAATATCTTCGTATAAAAACTGGACAGAATGATTCTCAGAAACTCCTTTGTGATGTGTGCGTTCAACTCACAGAGTTTAACCTTTCTTTTCACAGAGCAGTTAGGAAACACTCTGTTTGTGAAGCCTGCCAGTGGATATTCGGACCTCTTTGAGGCCTTCGTTGGAAACGGGATTTCTTCATATTATGCTAGACAGAAGATTTCTCAGTAACTTCTTTGTGTTGTGTGTATGCAACTCACAGAGTTCAACCTTCCTTTAGACAGAGCAGATTTGAAACACTCTTTTTGTGGAATTTGCAAGTGGAAATTTCAAGCGCATCGATGCCAATGGTAGAAAAGGAAATATCTTCGTATAAAAACATGACAAACTCGTTCCCAGACACTGCGTAGTGATGTGTGTGTTTAACTCACAGAGTTTCACCTTTCTTTTCATACAGCATTCTGGAAACCCTCTGTTTGTAAAGTCTGCAAGTGGATATTTGGACCTCTTAGATGCCTTCGTTGGAAACGGTATTTCTTCATATAATGCTAGAGGGAAGAATTCTTAGTAACTTCTTTGTGTTGTGTGTATTCAACTGACAGAGTTGAACCTTCCTTTAGACAGAGCAGATTTGAAAGTCTCTTTTTGTGGAATTTGCAAGTGGAGATTTCAAGCGCTTTGAGGCCAAAAGCAGAAAAGGAAATATTTTCCTATAAAAACTCGACAGAATCTTTCTCAGAAACTGCTCTGGGATGTGTGCGTTCAACTCACAGAGTTTAACTTTTCTTTTCATTCAGCAGTTTGGAAACACTCTGTTTGGAAAGTCTGCACGTGGATATTTTGACCTCTTTGAGGCCTTCGTTGGAAACGGGTTTTTTTCATGTAAGCTAGACAGAAGAAATCTCAGTAACTTCCTTGTGTTGTGTGTATTCAACTGACAGAGTTGAACCTTCCTTTAGACAGAGCAGATTCGAAACACTCTTTTTCTGCAATTTGCAAGTGGAGACTTCAAGCGCTTTGAGGCCAAAGGCAGAAAAGGAAATATCTTCGTATAAAAACCCGACAGAATCATTCTCAGAAACTGCTCTGTGATGTGTGCGTTCAACTCACAGAGTTTAACTTTTCTTTTCATTCAGCAGTTTGGAAACACTGTTTGTAAAGTCTGCAAGTGGATATCTTGGCCTCTTAGAGGCCTTCGTTGGAAACGGGTTTTTTCATGTAAGGTTAGACAGAGGAATTCCCAGTAACTTCCTTGTGTTGTGTGCATTCAACTCACAGAGTTGAATGATTCTTTACACAGAGCAGATTTGAGACACTCTTTTGGTGGAATTTGTAAGTGGAGAATTCAGCCGCTTTGAGGTCAACGGTAGAAAAGGAAATATCTTCGTATAAAAACTAGACAGAATGATTCTCAGAAACTGTTTTTTGATGTGTGCGTTCAACTCACAGAGTTTAACCTTTCTTTTCAAAGAGCAGTTAGGAAACACTCTGTTTGTAAAGTCTGCAAGTGGATATTGAGACCTCTTTGAGGCCTTCGTTGGAAACGGGATTTCTTCATATTATGCTAGACAGATGAATTCTCAGTAACTTCCTTGTGTTGTGTGTATTCAACTCACAGAGTTGAACGATCCTTTACACAGAGCAGATTTGAAACACTGTTTTTCTGGAATTTGCAAGTGGAGATTTCAGCCGCTTTGAGGTCAATGGTAGAAAAGGAAATATCTTCGTATAAAAACTAGACAGAATGATTCTCAGAAACTCCTTTGTGATGTGTGCGTTCAACTCACAGAGTTTAACCTTTCTTTTCACAGGAGCAGTTAGGAAACACTCTGTTTGTGAAGCCTGCCAGTGGATATTCGGACCTCTTTGAGGCCTTCGTTGGAAACGGGATTTCTTCATATTATGCTAGACAGAAGATTTCTCAGTAACTTCTTTGTGTTGTGTGTATGCAACTCACAGAGTTCAACCTTCCTTTAGACAGAGCAGATTTGAAACACTCTTTTTGTGGAATTTGCAAGTGGAGATTTCAAGCGCTTCGATGCCAATGGTAGAAAAGGAAATATCTTCGTATAAAAACAAGACAAACTCGTTCCCAGACACTGCGTAGTGATGTGTGTGTTTAACTCACAGAGTTTAACCTTTCTTTTCATACAGCATTCTGGAAACCCTGTGTTTGTAAAGTCTGCAAGTGGATATTTGGACCTCTTAGATGCCTTCGTTGGAAACGGGATTTCTTCATATAATGCTAGAGGGAAGAATTCTTAGTAACTTCTTTGTGTTGTGTGTATTCAACTGACAGAGTTGAACCTTCCTTTAGACAGAGCAGATTTGAAAGTCTCTTTTTGTGGAATTTGCAAGTGGAGATTTCAAGCGCTTTGAGGCCAAAAGCAGAAAAGGAAATATTTTCCTATAAAAACTCGACAGAATCTTTCTCAGAAACTGCTCTGGGATGTGTGCGTTCAACTCACAGAGTTTAACTTTTCTTTTCATTCAGCAGTTTGGAAACACTCTGTTTGGAAAGTCTGCACGTGGATATTTTGACCTCTTTGAGGCCTTCGTTGGAAACGGGTTTTTTTCATGTAAGGCTAGACAGAAGAAATCTCAGTAACTTCCTTGTGTTGTGTGTATTCAACTGACAGAGTTGAACCTTCCTTTAGACAGAGCAGATTCGAAACACTCTTTTTCTGCAATTTGCAAGTGGAGACTTCAAGCGCTTTGAGGCCAAAGGCAGAAAAGGAAATATCTTCGTATAAAAACCCGACAGAATCATTCTCAGAAACTGCTCTGTGATGTGTGCGTTCAACTCACAGAGTTTAACTTTTCTTTTCATTCAGCAGTTTGGAAACACTCTGTTTGTAAAGTCTGCAAGTGGATATCTTGGCCTCTTAGAGGCCTTCGTTGGAAACGGGTTTTTTCATGTAAGGTTAGACAGAGGAATTCCCGGTAACTTCCTTGTGTTGTGTGCATTCAACTCACAGAGTTGAATGATTCTTTACACAGAGCAGATTTGAGACACTCTTTTGGTGGAATTTGTAAGTGGAGAATTCAGCCGCTTTGAGGTCAACGGTAGAAAAGGAAATATCTTCGTATAAAAACTAGACAGAATGATTCTCAGAAACTGTTTTGTGATGTGTGCGTTCAACTCACAGAGTTTAACCTTTCTTTTCAAAGAGCAGTTAGGAAACACTCTGTTTGTAAAGTCTGCAAGTGGATATTCAGACCTCTTTGAGGCCTTCGTTGGAAACGGGATTTCTTCATATTATGCTAGACAGATGAATTCTCAGTAACTTCCTTGTGTTGTGTGTATTCAACTCACAGAGTTGAACGATCCTTTACACAGAGCAGATTTGAAACACTGTTTTTCTGGAATTTGCAAGTGGAGATTTCAGCCGCTTTGAGGTCAATGGTAGAAAAGGAAATATCTTCGTATAAAAACTAGACAGAATGATTCTCAGAAACTCCTTTGTGATGTGTGCGTTCAACTCACAGAGTTTAACCTTTCTTTTCACAGGAGCAGTTAGGAAACACTCTGTTTGTGAAGCCTGCCAGTGGATATTCGGACCTCTTTGAGGCCTTCGTTGGAAACGGGATTTCTTCATATTATGCTAGACAGAAGATTTCTCAGTAACTTCTTTGTGTTGTGTGTATGCAACTCACAGAGTTCAACCTTCCTTTAGACAGAGCAGATTTGAAACACTCTTTTTGTGGAATTTGCAAGTGGAGATTTCAAGCGCTTCGATGCCAATGGTAGAAAAGGAAATATCTTCGTATAAAAACAAGACAAAACTCGTTCCCAGCACACTGCGTAGTGATGTGTGTGTTTAACTCACAGAGTTTCACCTTTCTTTTCATACAGCATTCTGGAAACCCTGTGTTTGTAAAGTCTGCAAGTGGATATTTGGACCTCTTAGATGCCTTCGTTGGAAACGGGATTTCTTCATATAATGCTAGAGGGAAGAATTCTTAGTAACTTCTTTGTGTTGTGTGTATTCAACTGACAGAGTTGAACCTTCCTTTAGACAGAGCAGATTTGAAAGTCTCTTTTTGTGGAATTTGCAAGTGGAGATTTCAAGCGCTTTGAGGCCAAAAGCAGAAAAGGAAATATTTTCCTATAAAAACTCGACAGAATCTTTCTCAGAAACTGCTCTGGGATGTGTGCGTTCAACTCACAGAGTTTAACTTTTCTTTTCATTCAGCAGTTTGGAAACACTCTGTTTGGAAAGTCTGCACGTGGATATTTTGACCTCTTTGAGGCCTTCGTTGGAAACGGGTTTTTTTCATGTAAGGCTAGACAGAAGAAATCTCAGTAACTTCCTTGTGTTGTGTGTATTCAACTGACAGAGTTGAACCTTCCTTTAGACAGAGCAGATTCGAAACACTCTTTTTCTGCAATTTGCAAGTGGAGACTTCAAGCGCTTTGAGGCCAAAGGCAGAAAAGGAAATATCTTCGTATAAAAACCCGACAGAATCATTCTCAGAAACTGCTCTGTGATGTGTGCGTTCAACTCACAGAGTTTAACTTTTCTTTTCATTCAGCAGTTTGGAAACACTCTGTTTGTAAAGTCTGCAAGTGGATATCTTGGCCTCTTAGAGGCCTTCGTTGGAAACGGGTTTTTTCATGTAAGGATAGACAGAGGAATTCCCAGTAACTTCCTTGTGTTGTATGCATTCAACTCACAGAGTTGAATGATTCTTTACACAGAGCAGATTTGAGACACTCTTTTGGTGGAATTTGTAAGTGGAGAATTCAGCCGCTTTGAGGTCAACGGTAGAAAAGGAAATATCTTCGTATAAAAACTAGAAAGAATGATTCTCAGAAACTGTTTTGTGATGTGTGCGTTCAACTCACAGAGTTTAACCTTTCTTTTCAAAGAGCAGTTAGGAAACACTCTGTAAAGTCTGCAAGTGGATATTCAGACCTCTTTGAGGCCTTCGTTGGAAACGGGATTTCTTCATATAATGCTAGAGGGATGAATTCTCAGTAACTTCCTTGTGTTGTGTGTATTCAACTCACAGAGTTGAACGATCCTTTACACAGAGCAGATTTGAAACACTGTTTTTCTGGAATTTGCAAGTGGAGATTTCAGCCGCTTTGAGGTCAATGGTAGAAAAGGAAATATCTTCGTATAAAAACTAGACAGAATGATTCTCAGAAACTCCTTTGTGATGTGTGCGTTCAACTCACAGAGTTTAACCTTTCTTTTCACAGAGCAGTTAGGAAACACTCTGTTTGTGAAGCCTGCCAGTGGATATTCGGACCTCTTTGAGGCCTTCGTTGGAAACGGGATTTCTTCATATTATGCTAGACAGAAGATTTCTCAGTAACTTCTTTGTGTTGTGTGTATGCAACTCACAGAGTTCAACCTTCCTTTAGACAGAGCAGATTTGAAACACTCTTTTTGTGGAATTTGCAAGTGGAGATTTCAAACGCTTCGATGCCAATGGTAGAAAAGGAAATATCTTCGTATAAAAACAAGACAAACTCGTTCCCAGACACTGCGTAGTGATGTGTGTGTTTAACTCACAGAGTTTCACCTTTCTTTTCATACAGCATTCTGGAAACCCTCTGTTTGTAAAGTCTGCAAGTGGATATTTGGACCTCTTAGATGCCTTCGTTGGAAACGGGATTTCTTCATATAATGCTAGAGGGAAGAATTCTTAGTAACTTCTTTGTGTTGTGTGTATTCAACTGACAGAGTTGAACCTTCCTTTAGACAGAGCAGATTTGAAAGTCTCTTTTTGTGGAATTTGCAAGTGGAGATTTCAAGCGCTTTGAGGCCAAAAGCAGAAAAGGAAATATTTTCCTATAAAAACTCGACAGAATCTTTCTCAGAAACTGCTCTGGGATGTGTGCGTTCAACTCACAGAGTTTAACTTTTCTTTTCATTCAGCAGTTTGGAAACACTCTGTTTGGAAAGTCTGCACGTGGATATTTTGACCTCTTTGAGGCCTTCGTTGGAAACGGGTTTTTTTCATGTAAGGCTAGACAGAAGAAATCTCAGTAACTTCCTTGTGTTGTGTGTATTCAACTGACAGAGTTGAACCTTCCTTTAGACAGAGCAGATTCGAAACACTCTTTTTCTGCAATTTGCAAGTGGAGACTTCAAGCGCTTTGAGGCCAAAGGCAGAAAAGGAAATATCTTCGTATAAAAACCCGACAGAATCATTCTCAGAAACTGCTCTGTGATGTGTGCGTTCAACTCACAGAGTTTAACTTTTCTTTTCATTCAGCAGTTTGGAAACACTCTGTTTGTAAAGTCTGCAAGTGGATATCTTGGCCTCTTAGAGGCCTTCGTTGGAAACGGGTTTTTTCATGTAAGGTTAGACAGAGGAATTCCCAGTAACTTCCTTGTGTTGTGTGCATTCAACTCACAGAGTTGAATGATTCTTTACACAGAGCAGATTTGAGACACTCTTTTGGTGGAATTTGTAAGTGGAGAATTCAGCCGCTTTGAGGTCAACGGTAGAAAAGGAAATATCTTCGTATAAAAACTAGACAGAATGATTCTCAGAAACTGTTTTGTGATGTGTGCGTTCAACTCACAGAGTTTAACCTTTCTTTTCAAAGAGCAGTTAGGAAACACTCTGTTTGTAAAGTCTGCAAGTGGATATTCAGACCTCTTTGAGGCCTTCGTTGGAAACTGGATTTCTTCATATTATGCTAGACAGATGAATTCTCAGTAACTTCCTTGTGTTGTGTGTATTCAACTCACAGAGTTGAACGATCCTTTACACAGAGCAGATTTGAAACACTGTTTTTCTGGAATTTGCAAGTGGAGATTTCAGCTGCTTTGAGGTCAATGGTAGAAAAGGAAATATCTTCGTATAAAAAACTAGACAGAATGATTCTCAGAAACTCCTTTGTGATGTGTGCGTTCAACTCACAGAGTTTAACCTTTCTTTTCACAGAGCAGTTAGGAAACACTCTGTTTGTGAAGCCTGCCAGTGGATATTCGGACCTCTTTGAGGCCTTCGTTGGAAACGGGATTTCTTCATATTATGCTAGACAGAAGATTTCTCAGTAACTTCTTTGTGTTGTGTGTATGCAACTCACAGAGTTCAACCTTCCTTTAGACAGAGCAGATTTGAAACACTCTTTTTGTGGAATTTGCAAGTGGAGATTTCAAGCGCTTCGATGCCAATGGTAGAAAAGGAAATATCTTCGTATAAAAACAAGACAAACTCGTTCCCAGACACTGCGTAGTGATGTGTGTGTTTAACTCACAGAGTTTAACCTTTCTTTTCATACAGCATTCTGGAAACCCTCTGTTTGTAAAGTCTGCAAGTGGATATTTGGACCTCTTAGATGCCTTCGTTGGAAACGGGATTTCTTCATATAATGCTAGAGGGAAGAATTCTTAGTAACTTCTTTGTGTTGTGTGTATTCAACTGACAGAGTTGAACCTTCCTTTAGACAGAGCAGATTTGAAAGTCTCTTTTTGTGGAATTTGCAAGTGGAGATTTCAAGCGCTTTGAGGCCAAAAGCAGAAAAGGAAATATTTTCCTATAAAAACTCGACAGAATCTTTCTCAGAAACTGCTCTGGGATGTGTGCGTTCAACTCACAGAGTTTAACTTTTCTTTTCATTCAGCAGTTTGGAAACACTCTGTTTGGAAAGTCTGCACAGTGGATATTTTGACCTCTTTGAGGCCTTCGTTGGAAACGGGTTTTTTTCATGTAAGGCTAGACAGAAGAAATCTCAGTAACTTCCTTGTGTTGTGTGTATTCAACTGACAGAGTTGAACCTTCCTTTAGACAGAGCAGATTCGAAACACTCTTTTTCTGCAATTTGCAAGTGGAGACTTCAAGCGCTTTGAGGCCAAAGGCAGAAAAGGAAATATCTTCGTATAAAAACCCGACAGAATCATTCTCAGAAACTGCTCTGTGATGTGTGCGTTCAACTCACAGAGTTTAACTTTTCTTTTCATTCAGCAGTTTGGAAACACTCTGTTTGTAAAGTCTGCAAGTGGATATCTTGGCCTCCTTAGAGGCCTTCGTTGGAAACGGGTTTTTTCATGTAAGGATAGACAGAGGAATTCCCAGTAACTTCCTTGTGTTGTGTGCATTCAACTCACAGAGTTGAATGATTCTTTACACAGAGCAGATTTGAGACACTCTTTTGGTGGAATTTGTAAGTGGAGAATTCAGCCGCTTTGAGGTCAACGGTAGAAAAGGAAATATCTTCGTATAAAAACTAGACAGAATGATTCTCAGAAACTGTTTTGTGATGTGTGCGTTCAACTCACAGAGTTTAACCTTTCTTTTCAAAGAGCAGTTAGGAAACACTCTGTTTGTAAAGTCGGCAAGTGGATATTCAGACCTCTTTGAGGCCTTCGTTGGAAACGGGATTTCTTCATATTATGCTAGACAGATGAATTCTCAGTAACTTCCTTGTGTTGTGTGTATTCAACTCACAGAGTTAAACGATCCTTTACACAGAGCAGATTTGAAACACTGTTTTTCTGGAATTTGCAAGTGGAGATTTCAGCCGCTTTGAGGTCAATGGTAGAAAAGGAAATATCTTCGTATAAAAACTAGACAGAATGATTCTCAGAAACTCCTTTGTGATGTGTGCGTTCAACTCACAGAGTTTAACCTTTCTTTTCATACAGCATTCTGGAAACCCTGTGTTTGTAAAGTCTGCAAGTGGATATTTGGACCTCTTAGATGCCTTCGTTGGAAACGGGATTTCTTCATATAATGCTAGAGGGAAGAATTCTTAGTAACTTCTTTGTGTTGTGTGTATTCAACTGACAGAGTTGAACCTTCCTTTAGACAGAGCAGATTTGAAAGTCTCTTTTTGTGGAATTTGCAAGTGGAGATTTCAAGCGCTTTGAGGCCAAAAGCAGAAAAGGAAATATTTTCCTATAAAAACTAGACAGAATCTTTCTCAGAAACTGCTCTGGGATGTGTGCGTTCAACTCACAGAGTTTAACTTTTCTTTTCATTCAGCAGTTTGGAAACACTCTGTTTGGAAAGTCTGCACGTGGATATTGTGACCTCTTTGAGGCCTTCGTTGGAAACGGGTTTTTTTCATGTAAGGCTAGACAGAAGAAATCTCAGTAACTTCCCTTGTGTTGTGTGTATTCAACTGACAGAGTTGAACCTTCCTTTAGACAGAGCAGATTCGAAACACTCTTTTTCTGCAATTTGCAAGTGGAGACTTCAAGCGATTTGAGGCCAAAGGCAGAAAAGGAAATATCTTCGTATAAAAACCCGACAGAATCATTCTCAGAAACTGCTCTGTGATGTGTGCGTTCAACTCACAGAGTTTAACTTTTCTTTTCATTCAGCAGTTTGGAAACACTCTGTTTGTAAAGTCTGCAAGTGGATATCTTGGCCTCTTAGAGGCCTTCGTTGGAAACGGGTTTTTTCATGTAAGGATAGACAGAGGAATTCCCAGTAACTTCCTTGTGTTGTGTGCATTCAACTCACAGAGTTGAATGATTCTTTACACAGAGCAGTTTTGAGACACTCTTTTGGTGGAATTTGTAAGTGGAGAATTCAGCCGCTTTGAGGTCAACGGTAGAAAAGGAAATATCTTCGTATAAAAACTAGACAGAATGATTCTCAGAAACTGTTTTGTGATGTGTGCGTTCAACTCACAGAGTTTAACCTTTCTTTTCAAAGAGCAGTTAGGAAACACTCTGTTTGTAAAGTCTGCAAGAGGATATTCAGACCTCTTTGAGGCCTTCGTTGGAAACGGGATTTCTTCATATTATGCTAGACAGATGAATTCTCAGTAACTTCCTTGTGTTGTGTGTATTCAACTCACAGAGTTAAACGATCCTTTACACAGAGCAGATTTGAAACACTGTTTTTCTGGAATTTGCAAGTGGAGATTTCAGCCGCTTTGAGGTCAATGGTAGAAAAGGAAATATCTTCGTATAAAAACTAGACAGAATGATTCTCAGAAACTCCTTTGTGATGTGTGCGTTCAACTCACAGAGTTTAACCTTTCTTTTCACAGAGCAGTTAGGAAACACTCTGTTTGTGAAGCATGCCAGTGGATATTCGGACCTCTTTGAGGCCTTCGTTGGAAACGGGATTTCTTCATATTATGCTAGACAGAAGATTTCTCAGTAACTTCTTTGTGTTGTGTGTATGCAACTCACAGAGTTCAACCTTCCTTTAGACAGAGCAGATTTGAAACACTCTTTTTGTGGAATTTGCAAGTGGAGATTTCAAGCGCTTCGATGCCAATGGTAGAAAAGGAAATATCTTCGTAGAAAAACAAGACAAACTCGTTCCCAGACACTGCGTAGTGATGTGTGTGTTTAACTCACAGAGTTTCACCTTTCTTTTCATACAGCATTCTGGAAACCCTCTGTTTGTAAAGTCTGCAAGTGGATATTTGGACCTCTTAGATGCCTTCGTTGCAAACGGGATTTCTTCATATAATGCTAGAGGGAAGAATTCTTAGTAACTTCTTTGTGTTGTGTGTATTCAACTGACAGAGTTGAACCTTCCTTTAGACAGAGCAGATTTGAAAGTCTCTTTTTGTGGAATTTGCAAGTGGAGATTTCAAGCGCTTTGAGGCCAAAAGCAGAAAAGGAAATATTTTCCTATAAAAACTAGACAGAATCATTCTCAGAAACTGCTCTGTGATGTGTGTGTTCAACTCACAGAGTTTAACTTTTCTTTTCATTCAGCAGTTTGGAAACACTCTGTTTGGAAAGTCTGCACGTGGATATTTTGACCTCTTTGAGGCCTTCGTTGGAAACGGGTTTTTTTCATGTAAGGCTAGACAGAAGAAATCTCAGTAACTTCCTTGTGTTGTGTGTATTCAACTGACAGAGTTGAACCTTCCTTTAGACAGAGCAGATTCGAAACACTCTTTTTCTGCAATTTGCAAGTGGAGACTTCAAGCGCTTTGAGGCCAAAGGCAGAAAAGGAAATATCTTCGTATAAAAACCCGACAGAATCATTCTCAGAAACTGCTCTGTGATGTGTGCGTTCAACTCACAGAGTTTAACTTTTCTTTTCATTCAGCAGTTTGGAAACACTCTGTTTGTAAAGTCTGCAAGTGGATATCTTGGCCTCTTAGAGGCCTTCGTTGGAAGCGGGTTTTTTCATGTAAGGATAGACAGAGGAATTCCCAGTAACTTCCTTGTGTTGTGTGCATTCAACTCACAGAGTTGAATGATTCTTTACACAGAGCAGATTTGAGACACTCTTTTGGTGGAATTTGTAAGTGGAGAATTCAGCCGCTTTGAGGTCAACGGTAGAAAAGGAAATATCTTCGTATAAAAACTAGACAGAATGATTCTCAGAAACTGTTCTGTGATGTGTGCGTTCAACTCACAGAGTTTAACCTTTCTTTTCAAAGAGCAGTTAGGAAACACTCTGTTTGTAAAGTCTGCAAGTGGATATTCAGACCTCTTTGAGGCCTTCGTTGGAAACGGGATTTCTTCATATTATGCTAGACAGATGAATTCTCAGTAACTTCCTTGTGTTGTGTGTATTCAACTCACAGAGTTGAACGATCCTTTACACAGAGCAGATTTGAAACACTGTTTTTCTGGAATTTGCAAGTGGAGATTTCAGCCGCTTTGAGGTCAATGGTAGAAAAAGAAATATCTTCGTATAAAAACTAGACAGAATGATTCTCAGAAACTCCTTTGTGATGTGTGCGTTCAACTCACAGAGTTTAACCTTTCTTTTCACAGAGCAGTTAGGAAACACTCTGTTTGTGAAGCCTGCCAGTGGATATTCGGACCTCTTTGAGGCCTTCGTTGGAAACGGGATTTCTTCATATTATGCTAGACAAAAGATTTCTCAGTAACTTCTTTGTGTTGTGTATATGCAACTCACAGAGTTCAACCTTCCTTTAGACAGAGCAGATTTGAAACACTCTTTTTGTGGAATTTGCAAGTGGAGATTTCAAGCGCTTCGATGCCAATGGTAGAAAAGGAAATATCTTCGTATAAAAACAAGACAAACTCGTTCCCAGACACTGCGTAGTGATGTGTGTGTTTAACTCACAGAGTTTCACCTTTCTTTTCATACAGCATTCTGGAAACCCTCTGTTTGTAAAGTCTGCAAGTGGATATTTGGACCTCTTAGATGCCTTCGTTGGAAACGGGATTTCTTCATATAATGCTAGAGGGAAGAATTCTTAGTAACTTCTTTGTGTTGTGTGTATTCAACTGACAGAGTTGAACCTTCCTTTAGACAGAGCAGATTTGAAAGTCTCTTTTTGTGGAATTTGCAAGTGGAGATTTCAAGCGCTTTGAGGCCAAAAGCAGAAAAGGAAATATTTTCCTATAAAAACTCGACAGAATCTTTCTCAGAAACTGCTCTGGGATGTGTGCGTTCAACTCACAGAGTTTAACTTTTCTTTTCATTCAGCAGTTTGGAAACACTCTGTTTGGAAAGTCTGCACGTGGATATTTTGACCTCTTTGAGGCCTTCGTTGGAAACGGGTTTTTTTCATGTAAGGCTAGACAGAAGAAATCTCAGTAACTTCCTTGTGTTGTGTGTATTCAACTGACAGAGTTGAACCTTCCTTTAGACAGAGCAGATTCGAAACACTCTTTTTCTGCAATTTGCACGTGGAAACTTCAAGCGCTTTGAGGCCAAAGGCAGAAAAGGAAATATCTTCGTATAAAAACCCGACAGAATCACTCTCAGAAACTGCTCTGTGATGTGTGCGTTCAACTCACAGAGTTTAACTTTTCTTTTCATTCAGCAGTTTGGAAACACTCTGTTTGTAAAGTCTGCAAGTGGATATCTTGGCCTCTTAGAGGCCTTCGTTGGAAACGGGTTTTTTCATGTAAGGTTAGACAGAGGAATTCCCACTAACTTCCTTGTGTTGTGTGCATTCAACTCACAGAGTTGAATGATTCTTTACACAGAGCAGATTTGAGACACTCTTTTGGTGGAATTTGTAAGTGGAGAATTCAGCCGCTTTGAGGTCAACGGTAGAAAAGGAAATATCTTCGTATAAAAACTAGACAGAATGATTCTCAGAAACTGTTTTGTGATGTGTGCGTTCAACTCACAGAGTTTAACCTTTCTTTTCAAAGAGCAGTTAGGAAACACTCTGTTTGTAAAGTCTGCAAGTGGATATTCAGACCTCTTTGAGGCCTTCGTTGGAAACGGGATTTCTTCATATTATGCTAGACAGATGAATTCTCAGTAACTTCCTTGTGTTGTGTGTATTCAACTCACAGAGTTGAACGATCCTTTACACAGAGCAGATTTGAAACACTGTTTTTCTGGAATTTGCAAGTGGAGATTTCAGCCGCTTTGAGGTCAATGGTAGAAAAGGAAATATCTTCGTATAAAAACTAGACAGAATGATTCTCAGAAACTGTTTTGTGATGTGTGCGTTCAACTCACAGAGTTTAACCTTTCTTTTCAGAGAGCAGTTAGGAAACACTCTGTTTGTGAAGCCTGCCAGTGGATATTCGGACCTCTTTGAGGCCTTCGTTGGAAACGGGATTTCTTCATATTATGCTAGACAGAAGATTTCTCAGTAACTTCTTTGTGTTGTGTGTATGCAACTCACAGAGTTCAACCTTCCTTTAGACAGAGCAGATTTGAAACACTCTTTTTGTGGAATTTGCAAGTGGAGATTTCAAGCGCTTCGATGCCAATGGTAGAAAAGGAAATATCTTCGTATAAAAACAAGACAAACTCGTTCCCAGACACTGCGTAGTGATGTGTGTGTTTAACTCACAGAGTTTAACCTTTCTTTTCATACAGCATTCTGGAAACCCTGTGTTTGTAAAGTCTGCAAGTGGATATTTGGACCTCTTAGATGCCTTCGTTGGAAACGGGATTTCTTCATATAATGCTAGAGGGAAGAATTCTTAGTAACTTCTTTGTGTTGTGTGTATTCAACTGACAGAGTTGAACCTTCCTTTAGACAGAGCAGATTTGAAAGTCTCTTTTTGTGGAATTTGCAAGTGGAGATTTCAAGCGCTTTGAGGCCAAAAGCAGAAAAGGAAATATTTTCCTATAAAAACTAGACAGAATCTTTCTCAGAAACTGCTCTGGGATGTGTGCGTTCAACTCACAGAGTTTAACTTTTCATTCAGCAGTTTGGAAACACTCTGTTTGGAAAGTCTGCACGTGGATATTTTGACCTCTTTGAGGCCTTCGTTGGAAACGGGTTTTTTTCATGTAAGGCTAGACAGAAGAAATCTCAGTAACTTCCTTGTGTTGTGTGTATTCAACTGACAGAGTTGAACCTTCCTTTAGACAGAGCAGATTCGAAACACTCTTTTTCTGCAATTTGCAAGTGGAGACTTCAAGCGCTTTGAGGCCAAAGGCAGAAAAGGAAATATCTTCGTATAAAAACCCGACAGAATCATTCTCAGAAACGGCTCTGTGATGTGTGCGTTCAACTCACAGAGTTTAACTTTTCTTTTCATTCAGCAGTTTGGAAACACTCTGTTTGTAAAGTCTGCAAGTGGATATCTTGGCCTCTTAGAGGCCTTCGTTGGAAGCGGGTTTTTTCATGTAAGGTTAGACAGAGGAATTCCCAGTAACTTCCCTTGTGTTGTGTGCATTCAACTCACAGAGTTGAATGATTCTTTACACAGAGCAGATTTGAGACACTCTTTTGGTGGAATTTGTAAGTGGAGAATTCAGCCGCTTTGAGGTCAACGGTAGAAAAGGAAATATCTTCGTATAAAAACTAGACAGAATGATTCTCAGAAACTGTTTTGTGATGTGTGCGTTCAACTCACAGAGTTTAACCTTTCTTTTCAAAGAGCAGTTAGGAAACACTCTGTTTGTAAAGTCTGCAAGTGGATATTCAGACCTCTTTGAGGCCTTCGTTGGAAACGGGATTTCTTCATATTATGCTAGACAGATGAATTCTCAGTAACTTCCTTGTGTTGTGTGTATTCAACTCACAGAGTTGAACGATCCTTTACACAGAGCAGATTTGAAACACTGTTTTTCTGGAATTTGCAAGTGGAGATTTCAGCCGCTTTGAGGTCAATGGTAGAAAAGGAAATATCTTCGTATAAAAACTAGACAGAATGATTCTCAGAAACTCCTTTGTGATGTGTGCGTTCAACTCACAGAGTTTAACCTTTCTTTTCACAGAGCAGTTAGGAAACACTCTGTTTGTGAAGCCTGCCAGTGGATATTCGGACCTCTTTCAGGCCTTCGTTGGAAACGGGATTTCTTCATATTATGCTAGACAGAAGATTTCTCAGTAACTTCTTTGTGTTGTGTGTATGCAACTCACAGAGTTCAACCTTCCTTTAGACAGAGCAGATTTGAAACACTCTTTTTGTGGAATTTGCAAGTGGAGATTTCAAGCGCTTCGATGCCAATGGTAGAAAAGGAAATATCTTCGTATAAAAACAAGACAAACTCGTTCCCAGACACTGCGTAGTGATGTGTGTGTTTAACTCACAGAGTTTCACCTTTCTTTTCATACAGCATTCTGGAAACCCTCTGTTTGTAAAGTCTGCAAGTGGATATTTGGACCTCTTAGATGCCTTCGTTGGAAACGGGATTTCTTCATATAATGCTAGAGGGAAGAATTCTTAGTAACTTCTTTGTGTTGTGTGTATTCAACTGACAGAGTTGAACCTTCCTTTAGACAGAGCAGATTTGAAAGTCTCTTTTTGTGGAATTTGCAAGTGGAGATTTCAAGCGCTTTGAGGCCAAAAGCAGAAAAGGAAATATTTTCCTATAAAAACTCGACAGAATATCTTTCTCAGAAACTGCTCTGGGATGTGTGCGTTCAACTCACAGAGTTTAACTTTTCTTTTCATTCAGCAGTTTGGAAACACTCTGTTTGGAAAGTCTGCACGTGGATATTTTGACCTCTTTGAGGCCTTCGTTGGAAACGGGTTTTTTTCATGTAACGCTAGACAGAAGAAATCTCAGTAACTTCCTTGTGTTGTGTGTATTCAACTGACAGAGTTGAACCTTCCTTTAGACAGAGCAGATTCGAAACACTCTTTTTCTGCAATTTGCAAGTGGAGACTTCAAGCGCTTTGAGGCCAAAGGCAGAAAAGGAAATATCTTCGTATAAAAACCCGACAGAATCATTCTCAGAAACTGCTCTGTGATGTGTGCGTTCAACTCACAGAGTTTAACTTTTCTTTTCATTCAGCAGTTTGGAAACACTCTGTTTGTAAAGTCTGCAAGTGGATATCTTGGCCTCTTAGAGGCCTTCGTGGGAAACGGGTTTTTTCATGTAAGGTTAGACAGAGGAATTCCCAGTAACTTCCTTGTGTTGTGTGCATTCAACTCACAGAGTTGAATGATTCTTTACACAGAGCAGATTTGAGACACTCTTTTGGTGGAATTTGTAAGTGGAGAATTCAGCCGCTTTGAGGTCAATGGTACAAAAGGAAATATCTTCGTATAAAAACTAGACAGAATGATTCTCAGAAACTGTTTTGTGATGTGTGCGTTCAACTCACAGAGTTTAACCTTTCTTTTCAAAGAGCAGTTAGGAAACACTCTGTTTGTAAAGTCTGCAAGTGGATATTCAGACCTCTTTGAGGCGTTCGTTGGAAACGGCATTTCTTCATATTATGCTACACAGAAGAATTCTCAGTAACTTCCTTGTGTTGTGTGTATTCAACTCACAGAGTTGAACGATCCTTTACACAGAGCAGATATGAAACACTCTTTTTCTGGAATTTGCAAGTGGAGATTTCAGCCGCTTTGAGGTCAATGGTAGAAAAGGAAATATCTTCATATAAAAACTAGACAGAATGATTCTCAGAAACTCCTTTGTGATGTGTGCGTTCAACTCACAGAGTTTAACCTTTCTTTTCACAGAGCAGTTAGGAAACACTCTGTTTGTGAAGTCTGCCAGTGGATATTCGGACCTCTTTGAGGCCATCGTTGGAAACGGGATTTCTTCATATTATGCTAGACAGAAGATTTCTCAGTAACTTCTTTGTGTTGTGTGTATGCAACTCACAGAGTTCAACCTTCCTTTAGAGAGAGCAGATTTGAAACACTCTTTTTAAGGAATTTGCAAGTGGAGATTTCAAGCGCTTCGATGCCAATGGTAGAAAAGGAAATATCTTCGTATAAAAACAAGACAAACTCGTTCCAAGAAACTGCGTAGTGATGTGTGTGTTTAACTCACAGACTTTAACGTTTCTTTTCATACAGAATTCTGGAAACCCTCTGTTTGTAAAGTCTGCAAGTGCATATTTGGACCTCTTAGATGCCTTCGTTGGAAACGGGATTTCGTCATATAATAGTAGAGGGAAGATTTCTTAGTAACTTCTTTGTGTTGTGTGTATTCAACTGACAGAGTTGAACCTTCCTTTAGACAGAGCAGATTTCAAAGTCTCTTTTTGTGGAATTTGCAAGTGGAGATTTCAAGCGCTTTGAGGCCAAAAGCAGAAAAGGAAATATTTTCCTATAAAAACTAGACAGAATCATTCTCAGAAACTGCTCTGTGATGTGTGCGTTCAACTCACAGAGTTTAACTTTTCTTTTCATTCAGCAGTTTGGAAACACTCTGTTTGTAAAGTCTGCCGTGGATATTTTGACCTCTTTGAGGCCTTCGTTGGAAACGGGTTTTTTTCATGTAAGGCTAGACAGAGGAAATCTCAGTAATTTCCTTGTGTTGTGTGTATTCAACTGACAAGGTTGAACCTTCCTTTAGACAGAGCAGATTCGAAACACTCTTTTTCTGCAATTTGCAAGTGGAGACTTCAAGCGCTTTGAGGCCAAAGGCAGAAAAGGAAATATCTTCGTATAAAAACCCGACAGAATCATTCTCAGAAACTGCTCTGTGATGTGTGCGTTCAACTCACAGAGTTTAACTTTTCTTTTCATTCAGCAGTTTGGAAACACTCTGTTTGTAAAGTCTGCAAGTGGATATCTTGGCCTCTTAGAGGCCTTCGTTGGAAGCGGGTTTTTTCATGTAAGGTTAGACAGAGGAATTCCCAGTAACTTCCTTGTGTTGTGTGCATTCAACTCACAGAGTTGAATGATTCTTTACACAGAGCACATTTGAGACACTCTTTTGGTGGAATTTGTAAGTGGAGAATTCAGCCGCTTTGAGGTCAACGGTAGAAAAGGAAATATCTTCGTATAAAAACTAGACAGAATGATTCTCAGAAACTGTTTTGTGATGTGTGCGTTCAACTCACAGAGTTTAACCTTTCTTTTCAAAGAGCAGTTAGGAAACACTCTGTTTGTAAAGTCTGCAAGTGGATATTCAGACCTCTTTGAGGCCTTCGTTGGAAACGGGATTTCTTCATATTATGCTAGACAGATGAATTCTCAGTAACTTCCTTGTGTTGTGTGTATTCAACTCACAGAGTTGAACGATCCTTTACACAGAGCAGATTTGAAACACTGTTTTTCTGGAATTTGCAAGTGGAGATTTCAGCCGCTTTGAGGTCAATGGTAGAAAAGGAAATATCTTCGTATAAAAACTAGACAGAATGATTCTCAGAAACTCCTTTGTGATGTGTGCGTTCAACTCACCGAGTTTAACCTTTCTTTTCATAGAGTAGTTAGGAAACACTCTGTTTGTGAAGTCTGCCAGTGGATATTCAGACCTCTTTGAGGCCTTCGTTGGAAACGGGGTTTCTTCATATTATGCTAGACAGAAAGATTTCTCAGTAACTTCTTTGTGTTGTGTGTATGCAACTCACAGAGTTCAACCTTCCTTTAGACAGAGCAGATTTGAAACACTCTTTTTGTGGAATTTGCAAGTGGAGATTTCAAGCGCTTCGATGCCAATGGTAGAAAAGGAAATATCTTCGTATAAAAACAAGACAAACTCGTTCCCAGACACTGCGTAGTGATGTGTGTGTTTAACTCACAGAGTTTAACCTTTCTTTTCATACAGCATTCTGGAAACCCTCTGTTTGTAAAGTCTGCAAGTGGATATTTGGACCTCTTAGATGCCTTCGTTGGAAACGGGATTTCTTCATATAATGCTAGAGGGAAGAATTCTTAGTAACTTCTTTGTGTTGTGTGTATTCAACTGACAGAGTTGAACCTTCCTTTAGACAGAGCAGATTTGAAAGTCTCTTTTTGTGGAATTTGCAAGTGGAGATTTCAAGCGCTTTGAGGCCAAAAGCAGAAAAGGAAATATTTTCCTATAAAAACTCGACAGAATCTTTCTCAGAAACTGCTCTGGGACGTGTGCGTTCAACTCACAGAGTTTAACTTTTCTTTTCATTCAGCAGTTTGGAAACACTCTGTTTGGAAAGTCTGCACGTGGATATTTTGACCTCTTTGAGGCCTTCGTTGGAAACGGGTTTTTTTCATGTAAGGCTAGACAGAAGAAATCTCAGTAACTTCCTTGTGTTGTGTGTATTCAACTGACAGAGTTGAACCTTCCTTTAGACAGAGCAGATTCGAAACACTCTTTTTCTGCAATTTGCAAGTGGAGACTTCAAGCGCTTTGAGGCCAAAGGCAGAAAAGGAAATATCTTCGTATAAAAACCCGACAGAATCATTCTCAGAAACTGCTCTGTGATGTGTGCGTTCAACTCACAGAGTTTAACTTTTCTTTTCATTCAGCAGTTTGGAAACACTCAGTTTGTAAAGTCTGCAAGTGGATATCTTGGCCTCTTAGAGGCCTTCGTTGGAAGCGGGTTTTTTCATGTAAGGATAGACAGAGGAATTCCCAGTAACTTCCTTGTGTTGTGTGCATTCAACTCACAGAGTTGAATGATTCTTTACACAGAGCAGATTTGAGACACTCTTTTGGTGGAATTTGTAAGTGGAGAATTCAGCCGCTTTGAGGTCAACGGTAGAAAAGCAAATATCTTCGTATAAAAACTAGACAGAATGATTCTCAGAAACTGTTTTGTGATGTGTGCGTTCAACTCACAGAGTTTAACCTTTCTTTTCAAAGAGCAGTTAGGAAACACTCTGTTTGTAAAGTCGGCAAGTGGATATTCAGACCTCTTTGAGGCCTTCGTTGGAAACGGGATTTCTTCATATTATGCTAGACAGATGAATTCTCAGTAACTTCCTTGTGTTGTGTGTATTCAACTCACAGAGTTGAACGATCCTTTACACAGAGCAGATTTGAAACACTGTTTTTCTGGAATTTGCAAGTGGAGATTTCAGCCGCTTTGAGGTCAATGGTAGAAAAGGAAATATCTTCGTATAAAAACTAGACAGAATGATTCTCAGAAACTCCTTTGTGATGTGTGCGTTCAACTCACAGAGTTTAACCTTTCTTTTCACAGAGCAGTTAGGAAACACTCTGTTTGTGAAGCCTGCCAGTGGATATTCGGACCTCTTTGAGGCCTTCGTTGGAAACGGGATTTCTTCATATTATGCTAGACAGAAGATTTCTCAGTAACTTCTTTGTGTTGTGTGTATGCAACTCACAGAGTTCAACCTTCCTTTAGACAGAGCAGATTTGAAACACTCTTTTTGTGGAATTTGCAAGTGGAGATTTCAAGCGCTTCGATGCCAATGGTAGAAAAGGAAATATCTTCGTATAAAAACAAGACAAACTCGTTCCCAGACACTGCGTAGTGATGTGTGTGTTTAACTCACAGAGTTTAACCTTTCTTTTCATACAGCATTCTGGAAACCCTCTGTTTGTAAAGTCTGCAAGTGGATATTTGGACCTCTTAGATGCCTTCGTTGGAAACGGGATTTCTTCATATAATGCTAGAGGGAAGAATTCTTAGTAACTTCTTTGTGTTGTGTGTATTCAACTGACAGAGTTGAACCTTCCTTTAGACAGAGCAGATTTGAAAGTCTCTTTTTGTGGAATTTGCAAGTGGAGATTTCAAGCGCTTTGAGGCCAAAAGCAGAAAAGGAAATATTTTCCTATAAAAACTAGACAGAATCTTTCTCAGAAACTGCTCTGGGATGTGTGCGTTCAACTCACAGTAGTTTAACTTTTCTTTCCATTCAGCAGTTTGGAAACACTCTGTTTGGAAAGTCTGCACGTGGATATTTTGACCTCTTTGAGGCCTTCGTTGGAAACGGGTTTTTTTCTTGTAAGGCTAGACAGAAGAAATCTCAGTAACTTCCTTGTGTTGTGTGTATTCAACTGACAGAGTTGAACCTTCCTTTAGACAGAGCAGATTGGAAACACTCTTTTTCTGCAATTTGCAAGTGGAGACTTCAAGCGCTTTGAGGCCAAAGGCAGAAAAGGAAATATCTTCGTATAAAAACCCGACAGAATCATTCTCAGAAACTGCTCTGTGATGTGTGCGTTCAACTCACAGAGTTTAACTTTTCTTTTCATTCAGCAGTTTGGAAACACTCTGTTTGTAAAGTCTGCAAGTGGATATCTTGGCCTCTTAGAGGCCTTCGTTGGAAACGGGTTTTTTCATGTAAGGTTAGACAGAGGAATTCCCAGTAACTTCCTTGTGTTGTGTGCATTCAACTCACAGAGTTGAATGATTCTTTACACAGAGCAGATTTGAGACACTCTTTTGGTGGAATTTGTAAGTGGAGAATTCAGCCGCTTTGAGGTCAACGGTAGAAAAGGAAATATCTTCGTATAAAAACTAGACAGAATGATTCTCAGAAACTTTTTTGTGATGTGTGCGTTCAACTCACAGAGTTTAACCTTTCTTTTCAAAGAGCAGTTAGGAAACACTCTGTTTGTAAAGTCTGCAAGTGGATATTCAGACCTCTTTGAGGCCTTCGTTGGAAACGGGATTTCTTCATATTATGCTAGACAGATGAATTCTCAGTAACTTCCTTGTGTTGTGTGTATTCAACTCACAGAGTTGAACGATCCTTTACACAGAGCAGATTTGAAACACTGTTTTTCTGGAATTTGCAAGTGGAGATTTCAGCCGCTTTGAGGTCAATTGTAGAAAAAGAAATATCTTCGTATAAAAACTAGACAGAATGATTCTCAGAAACTCCTTTGTGATGTGTGCGTTCAACTCACAGAGTTTAACCTTTCTTTTCACAGAGCAGTTAGGAAACACTCTGTTTGTGAAGCCTGCCAGTGGATATTCGGACCTCTTTGAGGCCTTCGTTGGAAACGGGATTTCTTCATATTATGCTAGACAGAAGATTTCTCAGTAACTTCTTTGTGTTGTGTGTATGCAACTCACAGAGTTCAACCTTCCTTTAGACAGAGCAGATTTGAAACACTCTTTTTGTGGAATTTGCAAGTGGAGATTTCAAGCGCTTCGATGCCAATGGTAGAAAAGGAAATATCTTCGTATAAAAACAAGACAAACTCGTTCCCAGACACTGCGTAGTGATGTGTGTGTTTAACTCACAGAGTTTAACCTTTCTTTTCATACAGCATTCTGGAAACCCTGTGTTTGTAAAGTCTGCAAGTGGATATTTGGACCTCTTAGATGCCTTCGTTGGAAACGGGATTTCTTCATATAATGCTAGAGGGAAGAATTCTTAGTAACTTCTTTGTGTTGTGTGTATTCAACTGACAGAGTTGAACCTTCCTTTAGACAGAGCAGATTTGAAAGTCTCTTTTTGTGGAATTTGCAAGTGGAGATTTCAAGCGCTTTGAGGCCAAAAGCAGAAAAGGAAATATTTTCCTATAAAAACTCGACAGAATCTTTCTCAGAAACTGCTCTGGGATGTGTGCGTTCAACTCACAGAGTTTAACTTTTCTTTTCATTCAGCAGTTTGGAAACACTCTGTTTGGAAAGTCTGCACGTGGATATTTTGACCTCTTTGAGGCCTTCGTTGGAAACGGGTTTTTTTCATGTAAGGCTAGACAGAAGAAATCTCAGTAACTTCCTTGTGTTGTGTGTATTCAACTGACAGAGTTGAACCTTCCTTTAGACAGAGCAGATTCGAAACACTCTTTTTCTGCAATTTGCAAGTGGAAAGTTCAAGCGCTTTGAGGCCAAAGGCAGAAAAGGAAATATCTTCGTATAAAAACCCGACAGAATCATTCTCAGAAACTGCTCTGTGATGTGTGCGTTCAACTCACAGAGTTTAACTTTTCTTTTCATTCAGCAGTTTGGAAACACTCTGTTTGTAAAGTCTGCAAGTGGATATCTTGGCCTCTTAGAGGCCTTCGTTGGAAACGGGTTTTTTCATGTAAGGTTAGACAGAGGAATTCCCAGTAACTTCCTTGTGTTGTGTGCATTCAACTCACAGAGTTGAATGATTCTTTACACAGAGCAGATTTGAGACACTCTTTTGGTGGAATTTGTAAGTGGAGAATTCAGCCGCTTTGAGGTCAACGGTAGAAAAGGAAATATCTTCGTATAAAAACTAGACAGAATGATTCTCAGAAACTGTTTTGTGATGTGTGCGTTCAACTCACAGAGTTTAACCTTTCTTTTCAAAGAGCAGTTAGGAAACACTCTGTTTGTAAAGTCTGCAAGTGGATATTCAGACCTCTTTGAGGCCTTCGTTGGAAACGGGATTTCTTCATATTATGCTAGACAGATGAATTCTCAGTAACTTCCTTGTGTTGTGTGTATTCAACTCACAGAGTTGAACGATCCTTTTCACAGAGCAGATTTGAAACACTGTTTTTCTGGAATTTGCAAGTGGAGATTTCAGCCGCTTTGAGGTCAATGGTAGAAAAGGAAATATCTTCGTATAAAAACTAGACAGAATGATTCTCAGAAACTCCTTTGTGATGTGTGCGTTCAACTCACAGAGTTTAACCTTTCTTTTCACAGAGCAGTTAGGAAACACTCTGTTTGTGAAGCCTGCCAGTGGATATTCGGACCTCTTTGAGGCCTTCGTTGGAAACGGGATTTCTTCATATTTTGCTAGACAGAAGATTTCTCAGTAACTTCTTTGTGTTGTGTGTATGCAACTCACAGAGTTCAACCTTCCTTTAGACAGAGCAGATTTGAAACACTCTTTTTGTGGAATTTGCAAGTGGAGATTTCAAGCGCTTCGATGCCAATGGTAGAAAAGGAAATATCTTCGTATAAAAACAAGACAAACTCGTTCCCAGACACTGCGTAGTGATGTGTGTGTTTAACTCACAGAGTTTAACCTTTCTTTTCATACAGCATTCTGGAAACCCTGTGTTTGTAAAGTCTGCAAGTGGATATTTGGACCTCTTAGATGCCTTCGTTGGAAACGGGATTTCTTCATATAATGCTAGAGGGAAGAATTCTTAGTAACTTCTTTGTGTTGTGTGTATTCAACTGACAGAGTTGAACCTTCCTTTAGACAGAGCAGATTTGAAAGTCTCTTTTTGTGGAATTTGCAAGTGGAGATTTCAAGCGCTTTGAGGCCAAAAGCAGAAAGGGAAATATTTTCCTATAAAAACTCGACAGAATCTTTCTCAGAAACTGCTCTGGGATGTGTGCGTTCAACTCACAGAGTTTAACTTTTCTTTCCATTCAGCAGTTTGGAAACACTCTGTTTGGAAAGTCTGCACGTGGATATTTTGACCTCTTTGAGGCCTTCGTTGGAAACGGGTTTTTTTCTTGTAAGGCTAGACAGAAGAAATCTCAGTAACTTCCTTGTGTTGTGTGTATTCAACTGACAGAGTTGAACCTTCCTTTAGACAGAGCAGATTCGAAACACTCTTTTTCTGCAATTTGCAAGTGGAGACTTCAAGCGCTTTGAGGCCAAAGGCAGAAAAGGAAATATCTTCGTATAAAAACCCGACAGAATCATTCTCAGAAACTGCTCTGTGATGTGTGCGTTCAACTCACAGAGTTTAACTTTTCTTTTCATTCAGCAGTTTGGAAACACTCTGTTTGTAAAGTCTGCAAGTGGATATCTTGGCCTCTTAGAGGCCTTCGTTGGAAACGGGTTTTTTCATGTAAGGTTAGACAGAGGAATTCCCAGTAACTTCCTTGTGTTGTGTGCATTCAACTCACAGAGTTGAATGATTCTTTACACAGAGCAGATTTGAGACACTCTTTTGGTGGAATTTGTAAGTGGAGAATTCAGCTGCTTTGAGGTCAACGGTAGAAAAGGAAATATCTTCGTATAAAAACTAGAATGATTCTCAGAAACTGTTTTGTGATGTGTGCGTTCAACTCACAGAGTTTAACCTTTCTTTTCAAAGAGCAGTTAGGAAACACTCTGTTTGTAAAGTCTGCAAGTGGATATTCAGACCTCTTTGAGGCCTTCGTTGGAAACGGGATTTCTTCATATTATGCTAGACAGATGAATTCTCAGTAACTTCCTTGTGTTGTGTGTATTCAACTCACAGAGTTGAACGATCCTTTACACAGAGCAGATTTGAAACACTGTTTTTCTGGAATTTGCAAGTGGAGATTTCAGCCGCTTTGAGGTCAATGGTAGAAAAGGAAATATCTTCGTATAAAAACTAGACAGAATGATTCTCAGAAACTCCTTTGTGATGTGTGCGTTCAACTCACAGAGTTTAACCTTTCTTTTCACAGAGCAGTTAGGAAACACTCTGTTTGTGAAGCCTGCCAGTGGATATTCGGACCTCTTTGAGGCCTTCGTTGGAAACGGGATTTCTTCATATTATGCTAGACAGAAGATTTCTCAGTAACTTCTTTGTGTTGTGTGTATGCAACTCACAGAGTTCAACCTTCCTTTAGACAGAGCAGATTTGAAACACTCTTTTTGTGGAATTTGCAAGTGGAGATTTCAAGCGCTTCGATGCCAATGGTAGAAAAGGAAATATCTTCGTATAAAAACAAGACAAACTCGTTCCCAGACACTGCGTAGTGATGTGTGTGTTTAACTCACAGAGTTTAACCTTTCTTTTCATACAGCATTCTGGAAACCCTCTGTTTGTAAATTCTGCAAGTGGATATTTGGACCTCTTAGATGCCTTCGTTGGAAACGGTATTTCTTCATATAATGCTAGAGGGAAGAATTCTTAGTAACTTCTTTGTGTTGTGTGTATTCAACTGACAGAGTTGAACCTTTCCTTTAGACAGAGCAGATTTGAAAGTCTCTTTTTGTGGAATTTGCAAGTGGAGATTTCAAGCGCTTTGAGGCCAAAAGCAGAAAAGGAAATATTTTCCTATAAAAACTAGACAGAATCTTTCTCAGAAACTGCTCTGGGACGTGTGCGTTCAACTCACAGAGTTTAACTTTTCTTTTCATTCAGCAGTTTGGAAACACTCTGTTTGGAAAGTCTGCACGTGGATATTTTGACCTCTTTGAGGCCTTTGTTGGAAACGGGTTTTTTTCATGTAAGGCTAGACAGAAGAAATCTCAGTAACTTCCTTGTGTTGTGTGTATTCAACTGACAGAGTTGAACCTTCCTTTAGACAGAGCAGATTCGAAACACTCTTTTTCTGCAATTTGCAAGTGGAGACTTCAAGCGCTTTGAGGCCAAAGGCAGAAAAGGAAATATCTTCGTATAAAAACCCGACAGAATCACTCTCAGAAAGTGCTCTGTGATGTGTGCGTTCAACTCACAGAGTTTAACTTTTCTTTTCATTCAGCAGTTTGGAAACACTCTGTTTGTAAAGTCTGCAAGTGGATATCTTGGCCTCTTAGAGGCCTTCGTTGGAAACGGGTTTTTTCATGTAAGGTTAGACAGAGGAATTCCCAGTAACTTCCTTGTGTTGTGTGCATTCAACTCACAGAGTTGAATGATTCTTTACACAGAGCAGATTTGAGACACTCTTTTGGTGGAATTTGTAAGTGGAGAATTCAGCCGCTTTGAGGTCAACGGTAGAAAAGGAAATATCTTCGTATAAAAACTAGGCAGAATGATTCTCAGAAACTGTTTTGTGATGTGTGCGTTCAACTCACAGAGTTTAACCTTTCTTTTCAAAGAGCAGTTAGGAAACACTCTGTTTGTAAAGTCTGCAAGTGGATATTCAGACCTCTTTGAGGCCTTCGTTGGCAACGGGATTTCTTCATATTATGATAGACAGATGAATTCTCAGTAACTTCCTTGTGTTGTGTGTATTCAACTCACAGAGTTGAACGATCCTTTACACAGAGCAGATTTGAAACACTGTTTTTCTGGAATTTGCAAGTGGAGATTTCAGCCGCTTTGAGGTCAATGGTAGAAAAGGAAATATCTTCGTATAAAAACTAGACAGAATGATTCTCAGAAACTCCTTTGTGATGTGTGCGTTCAACTCACAGAGTTTAACCTTTCTTTTCACAGAGCAGTTAGGAAACACTCTGTTTGTGAAGCCTGCCAGTGGATATTCGGACCTCTTTGAGGCCTTCGTTGGAAACGGGATTTCTTCATATTATGCTAGACAGAAGATTTCTCAGTAACTTCTTTGTGTTGTGTGTATGCAACTCACAGAGTTCAACCTTCCTTTAGACAGAGCAGATTTGAAACACTCTTTTTGTGGAATTTGCAAGTGGAGATTTCAAGCGCTTCGATGCCAATGGTAGAAAAGGAAATATCTTCGTATAAAAACAAGACAAACTCGTTCCCAGACACTGCGTAGTGATGTGTGTGTTTAACTCACAGAGTTTCACCTTTCTTTTCATACAGCATTCTGGAAACCCTCTGTTTGTAAAGTCTGCAAGTGAATATTTGGACCTCTTAGATGCCTTCGTTGGAAACGGGATTTCTTCATATAATGCTAGAGGGAAGAATTCTTAGTAACTTCTTTGTGTTGTGTGTATTCAACTGACAGAGTTGAACCTTCCTTTAGACAGAGCAGATTTGAAAGTCTCTTTTTGTGGAATTTGCAAGTGGAGATTTCAAGCGCTTTGAGGCCAAAAGCAGAAAAGGAAATATTTTCCTATAAAAACTAGACAGAGTCTTTCTCAGAAACTGCTCTGGGATGTGTGCGTTCAACTCACAGAGTTTAACTTTTCTTTTCATTCAGCAGTTTGGAAACACTCTGTTTGGAAAGTCTGCACGAGGATATTTTGACCTCTTTGAGGCCTTCGTTGGAAACGGGTTTTTTTAATGTAACGCTAGACAGAAGAAATCTCAGTAACTTCCTTGTGTTGTGTGTATTCAACTGACAGAGTTGAACCTTCCTTTAGACAGAGCAGATTTGAAACACTCTTTTTGTGGAATTTGCAAGTGGAGATTTCAAGCGCTTTGAGGCCAAAAGCAGAAAAGGAAATATTTTCCTATAAAAACTAGACAGAATCATTCTCAGAAACTGCTCTGTGATGTGTGTGTTCAACTCACAGAGTTTAACTTTCTTTTCATTCAGCAGTTTGGAAACACTCTGTTTGGAAAGTCTGCACGTGGATATTTTGACCTCTTTGAGGCCTTCGTTGGAAACGGGTTTTTTTCATGTAAGGCTAGACAGAAGAAATCTCAGTAACTTCCTTGTGTTGTGTGTATTCAACTGACAGAGTTGAACCTTCCTTTAGACAGAGCAGATTCGAAGCACTCTTTTTCTGCAATTTGCAAGTGGAGACTTCAAGCGCTTTGAGGCCAAAGGCAGAAAAGGAAATATCTTCGTATAAAAACCCGACAGAATCATTCTCAGAAACTGCTCTGTGATGTGTGCGTTCAACTCACAGAGTTTAACTTTTCTTTTCATTCAGCAGTTTGGAAACACTCTGTTTGTAAAGTCTGCAAGTGGATATCTTGGCCTCTTAGAGGCCTTCGTTGGAAACGGGTTTTTTCATGTAAGGTTAGACAGAGGAATTCCCAGTAACTTCCTTGTGTTGTGTGCATTCAACTCACAGAGGTGAATGATTCTTTACACAGAGCAGATTTGAGACACTCTTTTGGTGGAATTTGTTAGTGGAGAATTCAGCCGCTTTGAGGTCAACGGTAGAAAAGGAAATATCTTCGTATAAAAACTAGACAGAATGATTCTCAGAAACTGTTTTGTGATGTGTGCGTTCAACTCACAGAGTTTAACCTTTCTTTTCAAAGAGCAGTTAGGAAACACTCTGTTTGTAAAGTCTGCAAGTGGATATTCAGACCTCTTTGAGGCCTTCGTTGGAAACGGGATTTCTTCATATTATGCTAGACAGATGAATTCTCAGTAACTTCCTTGTGTTGTGTGTATTCAACTCACAGAGTTGAACGATCCTTTACACAGAGCAGATTTGAAACACTGTTTTTCTGGAATTTGCAAGTGGAGATTTCAGCCGCTTTGAGGTCAATGGTAGAAAAGGAAATATCTTCGTATAAAAACTAGACAGAATGATTCTCAGAAACTCCTTTGTGATGTGTGCGTTCAACTCACAGAGTTTAACCTTTCTTTTCACAGAGCAGTTAGGAAACACTCTGTTTGTGAAGCCTGCCAGTGGATATTCGGACCTCTTTGAGGCCTTCGTTGGAAACGGGATTTCTTCATATTTTGCTAGACAGAAGATTTCTCAGTAACTTCTTTGTGTTGTGTGTATGCAACTTACAGAGTTCAACCTTCCTTTAGAGAGAGCATATTTGAAACACTCTTTTTGTGGAATTTGCAAGTGGAGATTTCAAGCGCTTCGATGCAAATGGTAGAAAAGGAAATATCTTCGTATAAAAACAAGACAAACTCGTTCCCAGACACTGCGTAGTGATGTGTGTGTTTAACTCACAGAGTTTAACCTTTCTTTTCATACAGCATTCTGGAAACCCTGTGTTTGTAAAGTCTGCAAGTGGATATTTGGACCTCTTAGATGCCTTCGTTGGAAACGGGATTTCTTCATATAATGCTAGAGGGAAGAATTCTTAGTAACTTCTTTGTGTTGTGTGTATTCAACTGACAGAGTTGAACCTTCCTTTAGACAGAGCAGATTTGAAAGTCTCTTTTTGTGGAATTTGCAAGTGGAGATTTCAAGCGCTTTGAGGCCAAAAGCAGAAAAGGAAATATTTTCCTATAAAAACTCGACAGAATCTTTCTCAGAAACTGCTCTGGGATGTGTGCGTTCAACTCACAGAGTTTAACTTTTCTTTTCATTCAGCAGTTTGGAAACACTCTGTTTGGAAAGTCTGCACGTGGATATTTTGACCTCTTTGAGGCCTTCGTTGGAAACGGGTTTTTTTCATGTAAGGCTAGACAGAAGAAATCTCAGTAACTTCCTTGTGTTGTGTGTATTCAACTGACAGAGTTGAACCTTCTTTTAGACAGAGCAGATTCGAAACACTCTTTTTCTGCAATTTGCAAGTGGAGACTTCAAGCGCTTTGAGGCCAAAGGCAGAAAAGGAAATATCTTCGTATAAAAACCCGACAGAATCATTCTCAGAAACTGCTCTGTGATGTGTGCGTTCAACTCACAGAGTTTAACTTTTCTTTTCATTCAGCAGTTTGGAAACACTCTGTTTGTAAAGTCTGCAAGTGGATATCTTGGCCTCTTAGAGGCCTTCGTTGGAAACGGGTTTTTTCATGTAAGGTTAGACAGAGGAATTCCCAGTAACTTCCTTGTGTTGTGTGCATTCAACTCACAGAGTTGAATGATTCTTTACACAGAGCAGATTTGAGACACTCTTTTGGTGGAATTTGTAAGTGGAGAATTCAGCCGCTTTGAGGTCAACGGTAGAAAAGGAAATATCTTCGTATAAAAACTAGACAGAATGATTCTCAGAAACTGTTTTGTGATGTGTGCGTTCAACTCACAGAGTTTAACCTTTCTTTTCAAAGAGCAGTTAGGAAACACTCTGTTTGTAAAGTCTGCAAGTGGATATTCAGACCTCTTTGAGGCCTTCGTTGGAAACGGGATTTCTTCATATTATGCTAGACAGATGAATTCTCAGTAACTTCCTTGTGTTGTGTGTATTCAACTCACAGAGTTAAACGATCCTTTACACAGAGCAGATTTGAAACACTGTTTTTCTGGAATTTGCAAGTGGAGATTTCAGCCGCTTTGAGGTCAATGGTAGAAAAGGAAATATCTTCGTATAAAAACTAGACAGAATGATTCTCAGAAACTCCTTTGTGATGTGTGCGTTCAACTCACAGAGTTTAACCTTTCTTTTCACAGAGCAGTTAGGAAACACTCTGTGAAGCCTGCCAGTGGATATTCGGACCTCTTTGAGGCCTTCGTTGGAAACGGGATTTCTTCATATTATGCTAGACAGAAGATTTCTCAGTAACTTCTTTGTGTTGTGTGTATGCAACTCACAGAGTTCAACCTTCCTTTAGACAGAGCAGATTTGAAACACTCTTTTTGTGGAATTTGCAAGTGGAGATTTCAAGCGCTTCGATGCCAATGGTAGAAAAGGAAATATCTTCGTATAAAAACAAGACAAACTCGTTCCCAGACACTGCGTAGTGATGTGTGTGTTTAACTCACAGAGTTTAACCTTTCTTTTCATACAGCATTCTGGAAACCCTGTGTTTGTAAAGTCTGCAAGTGGATATTTGGACCTTTTAGATGCCTTCGTTGGAAACGGGATTTCTTCATATAATGCTAGAGGGAAGAATTCTTAGTAACTTCTTTGTGTTGTGTGTATTCAACTGACAGAGTTGAACCTTCCTTTAGACAGAGCAGATTTGAAAGTCTCTTTTTGTGGAATTTGCAAGTGGAGATTTCAAGCGCTTTGAGGCCAAAAGCAGAAAAGGAAATATTTTCCTATAAAAACTAGACAGAATCTTTCTCAGAAACTGCTCTGTGATGTGTGCGTTCAACTCACAGAGTTTAACTTTTCTTTTCATTCAGCAGTTTGGAAACACTCTATTTGGAAAGTCTGCACGTGGATATTTTGACCTCTTTGAGGCCTACGTTGGAAACGGGTTTTTTTCATGTAAGGCTAGACAGAAGAAATCTCAGTAACTTCCTTGTGTTGTGTGTATTCAACTGACAGAGTTGAACCTTCTTTTAGACAGAGCAGATTCGAAACACTCTTTTTCTGCAATTTGCAAGTGGAGACTTCAAGCGCTTTGAGGCCAAAGGCAGAAAAGGAAATATCTTCGTATAAAAACCCGACAGAATCATTCTCAGAAACTGCTCTGTGATGTGTGCGTTCAACTCACAGAGTTTAACTTTTCTTTTCATTCAGCAGTTTGGAAACACTCTGTTTGTAAAGTCTGCAAGTGGATATCTTGGCCTCTTAGAGGCCTTCGTTGGAAACGGGTTTTTTCATGTAAGGTTAGACAGAGGAATTCCCAGTAACTTCCTTGTGTTGTGTGCATTCAACTCACAGAGTTGAATGATTCTTTACACAGAGCAGATTTGAGACACTCTTTTTGTGGAATTTGTTAGTGGAGAATTCAGCCGCTTTGAGGTCAACGGTAGAAAAGGAAATATCTTCGTATAAAAACTAGACAGAATGATTCTCAGAAACTGTTTTGTGATGTGTGCGTTCAACTCACAGAGTTTAACCTTTCTTTTCAAAGAGCAGTTAGGAAACACTCTGTTTGTAAAGTCTGCAAGTGGATATTCAGACCTCTTTGAGGCCTTCGTTGGAAACGGGATTTCTTCATATTATGCTAGACAGATGAATTCTCAGTAACTTCCTTGTGTTGTGTGTATTCAACTCACAGAGTTGAACGATCCTTTACACAGAGCAGATTTGAAACACTGTTTTTCTGGAATTTGCAAGTGGAGATTTCAGCCGCTTTGAGGTCAATGGTAGAAAAGGAAATATCTTCGTATAAAAACTAGACAGAATGATTCTCAGAAACTCCTTTGTGATGTGTGCGTTCAACTCACAGAGTTTAACCTTTCTTTTCACAGAGCAGTTAGGAAACACTCTGTTTGTGAAGCCTGCCAGTGGATATTCGGACCTCTTTGAGGCCTTCGTTGGAAACGGGATTTCTTCATATTATGCTAGACAGAAGATTTCTCAGTAACTTCTTTGTGTTGTGTGTATGCAACTCACAGAGTTCAACCTTCCTTTAGACAGAGCAGATTTGAAACACTCTTTTTGTGGAATTTGCAAGTGGAGATTTCAAGCGCTTCGATGCCAATGGTAGAAAAGGAAATATCTTCGTATAAAAACAAGACAAACTCGTTCCCAGACACTGCGTAGTGATGTGTGTGTTTAACTCACAGAGTTTAACCTTTCTTTTCATACAGCATTCTGGAAACCCTCTGTTTGTAAAGTCTGCAAGTGGATATTTGGACCTCTTAGATGCCTTCGTTGGAAACGGGATTTCTTCATATAATGCTAGAGGGAAGAATTCTTAGTAACTTCTTTGTGTTGTGTGTATTCAACTGACAGAGTTGAACCTTCCTTTAGACAGAGCAGATTTGAAAGTCTCTTTTTGTGGAATTTGCAAGTGGAGATTTCAAGCGCTTTGAGGCCAAAAGCAGAAAAGGAAATATTTTCCTATAAAAACTAGACAGAATCATTCTCAGAAACTGCTCTGGGATGTGTGCGTTCAACTCACAGAGTTTAACTTTTCTTTTCATTCAGCAGTTTGGAAACACTCTGTTTGTAAAGTCTGCAAGTGGATATATTGGCCTCTTAGAGGCCTTCGTTGGAAACGGGTTTTTTTCATGTAAGGCTAGACAGAAGAAATCTCAGTAACTTCCCTTGTGTTGTGTGTATTCAACTGACAGAGTTGAACCTTCCTTTAGACAGAGCAGATTCGAAACGCTCTTTTTCTGCAATTTGCAAGTGGAGACTTCAAGCGCTTTGAGGCCAAAGGCAGAAAAGGAAATATCTTCGTATAAAAACCCGACAGAATCACTCTCAGAAACTGCTCTGTGATGTGTGCGTTCAACTCACAGAGTTTAACTTTTCTTTTCATTCAGCAGCTTGGAAACACTCTGTTTGTAAAGTCTGCAAGTGGATATCTTGGCCTCTTAGAGGCCTTCGTTGGAAACGGGTTTTTTCATGTAAGGTTAGATAGAGGAATTCCCAGTAACTTCCTTGTGTTGTGTGCATTCAACTCACAGAGTTGAATGATTCTTTACACAGAGCAGATTTGAGACACTCTTTTGGTGGAATTTGTAAGTGGAGAATTCAGCTGCTTTGAGGTCAACGGTAGAAAAGGAAATATCTTCGTATAAAAACTAGACAGAATGATTCTCAGAAACTGTTTTGTGATGTGTGCGTTCAACTCACAGAGTTTAACCTTTCTTTTCAAAGAGCAGTTAGGAAACACTCTGTTTGTAAAGTCTGCAAGTGGATATTCAGACCTCTTTGAGGCCTTCGTTGGAAACGGGGTTTCTTTATATTATGCTAGACAGATGAATTCTCAGTAACTTCCTTGTGTTGTGTGTATTCAACTCACAGAGTTGAACGATCCTTTACACAGAGCAGATTTGAAACACTGTTTTTCTGGAATTTGCAAGTGGAGATTTCAGCCGCTTTGAGGTCAATGGTAGAAAAGGAAATATCTTCGTATAAAAACTAGACAGAATGATTCTCAGAAACTCCTTTGTGATGTTTGCGTTCAACTCACAGAGTTTAACCTTTCTTTTCACAGAGCAGTTAGGAAACACTCTGTTTGTGAAGCCTGCCAGTGGATATTCGGACCTCTTTGAGGCCTTCGTTGGAAACGGGATTTCTTCATATTATGCTAGACAAAAGATTTCTCAGTAACTTCTTTGTGTTGTGTGTATGCAACTCACAGAGTTCAACCTTCCTTTAGACAGAGCAGATTTGAAACACTCTTTTTGTGGAATTTGCAAGTGGAGATTTCAAGCGCTTCGATGCCAATGGTAGAAAAGGAAATATCTTCGTATAAAAACAAGACAAACTCGTTCCCAGACACTGCGTAGTGATGTGTGTGTTTAACTCACAGAGTTTAACCTTTCTTTTCATACAGCATTCTGGAAACCCTGTGTTTGTAAAGTCTGCAAGTGGATATTTGGACCTCTTAGATGCCTTCGTTGGAAACGGGATTTCTTCATATAATGCTAGAGGGAAGAATTCTTAGTAACTTCTTTGTGTTGTGTGTATTCAACTGACAGAGTTGAACCTTCCTTTAGACAGAGCAGATTTGAAAGTCTCTTTTTGTGGAATTTGCAAGTGGAGATTTCAAGCGCTTTGAGGCCAAAAGCAGAAAAGGAAATATTTTCCTATAAAAACTAGACAGAATCATTCTCAGAAACTGCTCTGTGATGTGTGTGTTCAACTCACAGAGTTTAACTTTCTTTTCATTCAGCAGTTTGGAAACACTCTGTTTGGAAAGTCTGCACGTGGATATTTTGACCTCTTTGAGGCCTTCGTTGGAAACGGGTTTTTTTCATGTAAGGCTAGACAGAAGAAATCTCAGTAACTTCCTTGTGTTGTGTGTATTCAACTGACAGAGTTGAACCTTCCTTTAGACAGAGCAGATTCGAAACACTCTTTTTCTGCAATTTGCAAGTGGAGACTTCAAGCGCTTTGAGGCCAAAGGCAGAAAAGGAAATATCTTCGTAGAAAAACCCGACAGAATCATTCTCAGAAACTGCTCTGTGATGTGTGCGTTCAACTCACAGAGTTTAACTTTTCTTTTCATTCAGCAGTTTGGAAACACTCTGTTTGTAAAGTCTGCAAGTGGATATCTTGGCCTCTTAGAGGCCTTCGTTGGAAACGGGTTTTTTCATGTAAGGTTAGACAGAGGAATTCCCAGTAACTTCCTTGTGTTGTGTGCATTCAACTCACAGAGTTGAATGATTCTTTACACAGAGCAGATTTGAGACACTCTTTTGGTGGAATTTGTAAGTGGAGAATTCAGCCGCTTTGAGGTCAACGGTAGAAAAGGAAATATCTTCGTATAAAAACTAGAAAGAATGATTCTCAGAAACTGTTTTGTGATGTGTGCTTTCAACTCACAGAGTTTAACCTTTCTTTTCAAAGAGCAGTTAGGAAACACTCTGTTTGTAAAGTCTGCAAGTGGATATTCAGACCTCTTTGAGGCCTTCGTTGGAAACGGGATTTCTTCATATTATGCTAGACAGATGAATTCTCAGTAACTTCCTTGTGTTGTGTGTATTCAACTCACAGAGTTGAACGATCCTTTACACAGAGCAGATTTGAAACACTGTTTTTCTGGAATTTGCAAGTGGAGATGTCAGCCGCTTTGAGGTCAATGGTAGAAAAGGAAATATCTTCGTATAAAAACTAGACAGAATGATTCTCAGAAACTCCTTTGTGATGTGTGCGTTCAACTCACAGAGTTTAACCTTTCTTTTCACAGAGCAGTTAGGAAACACTCTGTTTGTGAAGCCTGCCAGTGGATATTCGGACCTCTTTGAGGCCTTCGTTGGAAACGGGATTTCTTCATATTTTGCTAGACAGAAGATTTCTCAGTAACTTCTTTGTGTTGTGTGTATGCAACTCACAGAGTTCAACCTTCCTTTAGACAGAGCAGATTTGAAACACTCTTTTTGTGGAATTTGCAAGTGGAGATTTCAAGCGCTTCGATGCCAATGGTAGAAAAGGAAATATCTTCGTATAAAAACAAGACAAACTCGTTCCCAGACACTGCGTAGTGATGTGTGTGTTTAACTCACAGAGTTTAACCTTTCTTTTCATACAGCATTCTGGAAACCCTGTGTTTGTAAAGTCTGCAAGTGGATATTTGGACCTCTTAGATGCCTTCGTTGGAAACGGGATTTCTTCATATAATGCTAGAGGGAAGAATTCTTAGTAACTTCTTTGTGTTGTGTGTATTCAACTGACAGAGTTGAACCTTCCTTTAGACAGAGCAGATTTGAAAGTCTCTTTTTGTGGAATTTGCAAGTGGAGATTTCAAGCGCTTTGAGGCCAAAAGCAGAAAAGGAAATATTTTCCTATAAAAACTAGACAGAATCATTCTCAGAAACTGCTCTGTGATGTGTGTGTTCAACTCACAGAGTTTAACTTTCTTTTCATTCAGCAGTTTGGAAACACTCTGTTTGGAAAGTCTGCACGTGGATATTTTGACCTCTTTGAGGCCTTCGTTGGAAACGGGTTTTTTTCATGTAACGCTAGACAGAAGAAATCTCAGTAACTTCCTTGTGTTGTGTGTATTCAACTGACAGAGTTGAACCTTCCTTTAGACAGAGCAGATTCGAAACACTCTTTTTCTGCAATTTGCAAGTGGAGACTTCAAGCGCTTTGAGGCCAAAGGCAGAAAAGGAAATATCTTCGTATAAAAACCCGACAGAATCATTCTCAGAAACTGCTCTGTGATGTGTGCGTTCAACTCACAGAGTTTAACTTTTCTTTTCATTCAGCAGTTTGGAAACACTCTGTTTGTAAAGTCTGCAAGTGGATATCTTGGCCTCTTAGAGGCCTTCGTTGGAAACGGGTTTTTTCATGTAAGGTTAGACAGAGGAATTCCCAGTAACTTCCTTGTGTTGTGTGCATTCAACTCACAGAGTTGAATGATTCTTTACACAGAGCAGATTTGAGACACTCTTTTGGTGGAATTTGTAAGTGGAGAATTCAGCCGCTTTGAGGTCAACGGTAGAAAAGGAAATATCTTCGTATAAAAACTAGACAGAATGATTCTCAGAAACTGTTTTGTGATGTGTGCGTTCAACTCACAGAGTTTAACCTTTCTTTTCAAAGAGCAGTTAGGAAACACTCTGTTTGTAAAGTCTGCAAGTGGATATTCAGACCTCTTTGAGGCCTTCGTTGGAAACGGGATTTCTTCATATTATGCTAGACAGATGAATTCTCAGTAACTTCCTTGTGTTGTGTGTATTCAACTCACAGAGTTGAACGATCCTTTACACAGAGCAGATTTGAAACACTGTTTTTCTGGAATTTGCAAGTGGAGATTTCAGCCGCTTTGAGGTCAATGGTAGAAAAGGAAATATCTTCGTATAAAAACTAGACAGAATGATTCTCAGAAACTCCTTTGTGATGTGTGCGTTCAACTCACAGAGTTTAACCTTTCTTTTCACAGAGCAGTTAGGAAACACTCTGTTTGTGAAGCCTGCCAGTGGATATTCGGACCTCTTTGAGGCCTTCGTTGGAAACGGGATTTCTTCATATTATGCTAGACAGAAGATTTCTCAGTAACTTCTTTGTGTTGTGTGTATGCAACTCACAGAGTTCAACCTTCCTTTAGACAGAGCAGATTTGAAACACTCTTTTTGTGGAATTTGCAAGTGGAGATTTCAAGCGCTTCGATGCCAATGGTAGAAAAGGAAATATCTTCGTATAAAAACAAGACAAACTCGTTCCCAGACACTGCGTAGTGATGTGTGTGTTTAACTCACAGAGTTTCACCTTTCTTTTCATACAGCATTCTGGAAACCCTGTGTTTGTAAAGTCTGCAAGTGGATATTTGGACCTCTTAGATGCCTTCGTTGGAAACGGGATTTCTTCATATAATGCTAGAGGGAAGAATTCTTAGTAACTTCTTTGTGTTGTGTGTATTCAACTGACAGAGTTGAACCTTCCTTTAGACAGAGCAGATTTGAAAGTCTCTTTTTGTGGAATTTGCAAGTGGAGATTTCAAGCGCTTTGAGGCCAAAAGCAGAAAAGGAAATATTTTCCTATAAAACCTCGACAGAATCATTCTCAGAAACTGCTCTGTGATGTGTGTGTTCAACTCACAGAGTTTAACTTTCTTTTCATTCAGCAGTTTGGAAACACTCTGTTTGGAAAGTCTGCACGTGGATATTTTGACCTCTTTGAGGCCTTCGTTGGAAACGGGTTTTTTTCATGTAAGGCTAGACAGAAGAAATCTCAGTAACTTCCCTTGTGTTGTGTGTATTCAACTGACAGAGTTGAACCTTCCTTTAGACAGAGCAGATTCGAAACACTCTTTTTCTGCAATTTGCAAGTGGAGACTTCAAGCGATTTGAGGCCAAAGGCAGAAAAGGAAATATCTTCGTATAAAAACCCGACAGAATCATTCTCAGAAACTGCTCTGTGATGTGTGCGTTCAACTCACAGAGTTTAACTTTTCTTTTCATTCAGCAGTTTGGAAACACTCTGTTTGTAAAGTCTGCAAGTGGATATCTTGGCCTCTTAGAGGCCTTCGTTGGAAACGGGTTTTTTCATGTAAGGTTAGACAGAGGAATTCCCGGTAACTTCCTTGTGTTGTGTGCATTCAACTCACAGAGTTGAATGATTCTTTACACAGAGCAGATTTGAGACACTCTTTTGGTGGAATTTGTTAGTGGAGAATTCAGCCGCTTTGAGGTCAACGGTAGAAAAGGAAATATCTTCGTATAAAAACTAGACAGAATGATTCTCAGAAACTGTTTTGTGATGTGTGCGTTCAACTCACAGAGTTTAACCTTTCTTTTCAAAGAGCAGTTAGGAAACACTCTGTTTGTAAAGTCTGCAAGTGGATATTCAGACCTCTTTGAGGCCTTCGTTGGAAACGGGATTTCTTCATATTATGCTAGACAGATGAATTCTCAGTAACTTCCTTGTGTTGTGTGTATTCAACTCACAGAGTTGAACGATCCTTTACACAGAGCAGATTTGAAACACTGTTTTTCTGGAATTTGCAAGTGGAGATTTCAGCCGCTTTGAGGTCAATGGTAGAAAAAGAAATATCTTCGTATAAAAACTAGACAGAATGATTCTCAGAAACTCCTTTGTGATGTGTGCGTTCAACTCACAGAGTTTAACCTTTCTTTTCACAGACCAGTTAGGAAACACTCTGTTTGTGAAGTCTGCCAGTGGATATTCGGACCTCTTTGAGGCCTTCGTTGGAAACGGGATTTCTTCATATTATGCTAGACAGATTTCTCAGTAACTACTTTGTGTTGTGTATATGCAACTCACAGAGTTCAACCTTCCTTTAGAGAGAGCAGATTTGAAACACTCTTTTTGTGGAATTTGGAAGTGGAGATTTCAAGCGCTTCGACGCCAATGGTCGAAAAGGAAATATCTTCGTATAAAAACAAGACAAAATCATTCCCAGAAACTGCGTAGTGATGTGTGTGTTTAACTCACAGACTTTAACCTTTCTTTTCATACAGAACTCTGGAAACCCTCTGTTTGTAAAGTCTGCAAGTGTATATTTGGACCTCTTAGATGCCTTCGTTGGAAATGGGATTTCGTCATATAATGGTAGAGGGAAGAATTCTCAGTAACTTCTTTGTGTTGTGTGTATTCAACTGACAGAGTTGAACCTTCCTTTAGACAGAGCAGATTTGAAAGTCTCTTTTTGTGGAATTTGCAAGTGGAGATTTCAAGCACTTTGAGGCCAAAAGCAGAAAAGGAAATATTTTCCTATAAAAACTAGACAGAATCATTCTCAGAAACTGCTCTGTGATGTGTGCGTTCAACTCACAGAGTTTAACTTTTCTTTTCATTCAGCAGTTTGGAAACACTCTGTTTGTAAAGTCTGCCGTGGATATTTTGACCTCTTTGAGGCCTTGGTTGGAAACGGGTTTTTTTCATGTAAGGCCAGACAGAGGAAATCTCAGTAACTTCCTTGTGTTGTGTGTATTCAACTGACAGGGTTGAACCTTCCTTTAGACAGAGCAGATTCCAAACACTCTTTTTCTGCAATTTGCAAGTGGAGACTTCAAGCGCTTTGAGGCCAAAGGCAGAAAAGGAAATATCTTCGTATAAAAACCCGACAGAATCATTCTCAGAAACTGCTCTGTGATGTGTGCGTTCAACTCACAGAGTTTAACTTTTCTTTTCATTCAGCAGTTTGGAAACACTCTGTTTGTAAAGTCTGCAAGTGGATATCTTGGCCTCTTAGAGGCCTTCGTTGGAAACGGGTTTTTTCATGTAAGGTTAGACAGAGGAATTCCCAGTAACTTCCTTGTGTTGTGTGCATTCAACTCACAGAGTTGAACGATTCTTTACACAGAGCAGATTTGAGACACTCTTTTGGTGGAATTTGTAAGTGGAGAATTCAGCCGCTTTGAGGTCAACGGTAGAAAAGGAAATATCTTCGTATAAAAACTAGACAGAATGATTCTCAGAAACTGTTTTGTGATGTGTGCGTTCAACTCACAGAGTTTAACCTTTCTTTTCAGAGAGCAGTTAGGAAACACTCTGTAAAGTCTGCAAGTGGATATTCAGACCTCTTTGAGGCCTTCCTTGGAAACGGGATTTCTTCATATTATGCTAGACAGATGAATTCTCAGTAACTTCCTTGTGTTGTGTGTATTCAACTCACAGAGTTGAACGATCCTTTACACAGAGCAGATTTGAAACACTGTTTTTCTGGAATTTGCAAGTGGAGATGTCAGCCGCTTTGAGGTCAATGGTAGAAAAGGAAATATCTTCGTATAAAAACTAGACAGAATGATTCTCAGAAACTCCTTTGTGATGTGTGCGTTCAACTCACAGAGTTTAACCTTTCTTTTCACAGAGCAGTTAGGAAACACTCTGTTTGTGAAGCCTGCCAGTGGATATTCGGACCTCTTTGAGGCCTTCGTTGGAAACGGGATTTCTTCATATTATGCTAGACAGAAGATTTCTCAGTAACTTCTTTGTGTTGTGTGTATGCAACTCACAGAGTTCAACCTTCCTTTAGACAGAGCAGATTTGAAACACTCTTTTTGTGGAATTTGCAAGTGGAGATTTCAAGCGCTTCGATGCCAATGGTAGAAAAGGAAATATCTTCGTATAAAAACAAGACAAACTCGTTCCCAGACACTGCGTAGTGATGTGTGTGTTTAACTCACAGAGTTTCACCTTTCTTTTCATACAGCATTCTGGAAACCCTCTGTTTGTAAAGTCTGCAAGTGGATATTTGGACCTCTTAGATGCCTTCGTTGCAAACGGGATTTCTTCATATAATGCTAGAGGGAAGAATTCTTAGTAACTTCTTTGTGTTGTGTGTATTCAACTGACAGAGTTGAACCTTCCTTTAGACAGAGCAGATTTGAAAGTCTCTTTTTGTGGAATTTGCAAGTGGAGATTTCAAGCGCTTTGAGGCCAAAAGCAGAAAAGGAAATATTTTCCTATAAAAACTCGACAGAATCTTTCTCAGAAACTGCTCTGGGATGTGTGCGTTCAACTCACAGAGTTTAACTTTTCTTTCCATTCAGCAGTTTGGAAACACTCTGTTTGGAAAGTCTGCACGTGGATATTTTGACCTCTTTGAGGCCTTCGTTGGAAACGGGTTTTTTTCATGTAAGGCTAGACAGAAGAAATCTCAGTAACTTCCTTGTGTTGTGTGTATTCAACTGACAGAGTTGAACCTTCCTTTAGACAGAGCAGATTCGAAACACTCTTTTTCTGCAATTTGCAAGTGGAAACTTCAAGCGCTTTGAGGCCAAAGGCAGAAAAGGAAATATCTTCGTATAAAAACCCGACAGAATCATTCTCAGAAACTGCTCTGTGATGTGTGCGTTCAACTCACAGAGTTTAACTTTTCTTTTCATTCAGCAGTTTGGAAACACTCTGTTTGTAAAGTCTGCAAGTGGATATCTTGGCCTCTTAGAGGCCTTCGTTGGAAACGGGTTTTTTCATGTAAGGTTAGACAGAGGAATTCCCACTAACTTCCTTGTGTTGTGTGCATTCAACTCACAGAGTTGAATGATTCTTTACACAGAGCAGATTTGAGACACTCTTTTGGTGGAATTTGTAAGTGGAGAATTCAGCCGCTTTGATGTCAACGGTAGAAAAGGAAATATCTTCATATAAAAACTAGACAGAATGATTCTCAGAAACTGTTTTGTGATGTGTGCTTTCAACTCACAGAGTTTAACCTTTCTTTTCAAAGAGCAGTTAGGAAACACTCTGTTTGTAAAGTCTGCAAGTGGATATTCAGACCTCTTTGAGGCCTTCGTTGGAAACGGGATTTCTTCATATTATGCTAGACAGATGAATTCTCAGTAACTTCCTTGTGTTGTGTGTATTCAACTCACAGAGTTGAACGATCCTTTACACAGAGCAGATTTGAAACACTGTTTTTCTGGAATTTGCAAGTGGAGATTTCAGCCGCTTTGAGGTCAATGGTAGAAAAGGAAATATCTTCGTATAAAAACTAGACAGAATGATTCTCAGAAACTCCTTTGTGATGTGTGCGTTCAACTCACAGAGTTTAACCTTTCTTTTCACAGAGCAGTTAGGAAACACTCTGTTTGTGAAGCCTGCCAGTGGATATTCGGACCTCTTTGAGGCCTTCGTTGGAAACGGGATTTCTTCATATTATGCTAGACAGAAGATTTCTCAGTAACTTCTTTGTGTTGTGTGTATGCAACTCACAGAGTTCAACCTTCCTTTAGACAGAGCAGATTTGAAACACTCTTTTTGTGGAATTTGCAAGTGGAGATTTCAAGCGCTTCGATGCCAATGGTAGAAAAGGAAATATCTTCGTATAAAAACAAGACAAACTCGTTCCCAGACACTGCGTAGTGATGTGTGTGTTTAACTCACAGAGTTTCACCTTTCTTTTCATACAGCATTCTGGAAACCCTCTGTTTGTAAAGTCTGCAAGTGGATATTTGGACCTCTTAGATGCCTTCGTTGGAAACGGGATTTCTTCATATAATGCTAGAGGGAAGAATTCTTAGTAACTTCTTTGTGTTGTGTGTATTCAACTGACAGAGTTGAACCTTCCTTTAGACAGAGCAGATTTGAAAGTCTCTTTTTGTGGAATTTGCAAGTGGAGATTTCAAGCGCTTTGAGGGCAAAAGCAGAAAAGGAAATATTTTCCTTTAAAAACTCGACAGAATCTTTCTCAGAAACTGCTCTGGGATGTGTGCGTTCAACTCACAGAGTTTAACTTTTCTTTTCATTCAGCAGTTTGGAAACACTCTGTTTGGAAAGTCTGCACGTGGATATTTTGACCTCTTTGAGGCCTTCGTTGGAAACGGGTTTTTTTCATGTAAGGCTAGACAGAAGAAATCTCAGTAACTTCCTTGTGTTGTGTGTATTCAACTGACAGAGTTGAACCTTCCTTTAGACAGAGCAGATTCGAAACACTCTTTTTCTGCAATTTGCAAGTGGAGACTTCAAGCGCTTTGAGGCCAAAGGCAGAAAAGGAAATATCTTCGTATAAAAACCCGACAGAATCATTCTCAGAAACTGCTCTGTGATGTGTGCGTTCAACTCACAGAGTTTAACTTTTCTTTTCATTCAGCAGTTTGGAAACACTCTGTTTGTAAAGTCTGCAAGTGGATATCTTGGCCTCTTAGAGGCCTTCGTTGGAAACGGGTTTTTTCATGTAAGGTTAGACAGAGGAATTCCCAGTAACTTTCCTTGTGTTGTGTGCATTCAACTCACAGAGTTGAATGATTCTTTACACAGAGCACATTTGAGACACTCTTTTGGTGGAATTTGTAAGTGGAGAATTCAGCCGCTTTGAGGTCAACGGTAGAAAAGGAAATATCTTCGTATAAAAACTAGACAGAATGATTCTCAGAAACTGTTTTGTGATGTGTGCGTTCAACTCACAGAGTTTAACCTTTCTTTTCAAAGAGCAGTTAGGAAACACTCTGTTTGTAAAGTCTGCAAGTGGATATTCAGACCTCTTTGAGGCCTTCGTTGGAAACGGGATTTCTTCATATTATGCTAGACAGATGAATTCTCAGTAACTTCCTTGTGTTGTGTGTATTCAACTCACAGAGTTGAACGATCCTTTACACAGAGCAGATTTGAAACACTGTTTTTCTGGAATTTGCAAGTGGAGATTTCAGCCGCTTTGAGGTCAATGGTAGAAAAGGAAATATCTTCGTATAAAAACTGGACAGAATGATTCTCAGAAACTCCTTTGTGATGTGTGCGTTCAACTCACAGAGTTTAAACTTTCTTTTCACAGAGCAGTTAGGAAACACTCTGTTTGTGAAGCCTGCCAGTGGATATTCGGACCTCTTTGAGGCCTTCGTTGGAAACGGGATTTCTTCATATTATGCTAGACAGAAGATTTCTCAGTAACTTCTTTGTGTTGTGTGTATGCAACTCACAGAGTTCAACCTTCCTTTAGACAGAGCAGATTTGAAACACTCTTTTTGTGGAATTTGCAAGTGGAGATTTCAAGCGCTTCGATGCCAATGGTAGAAAAGGAAATATCTTCGTATAAAAACAAGACAAACTCGTTCCCAGACACTGCGTAGTGATGTGTGTGTTTAACTCACAGAGTTTAACCTTTCTTTTCATACAGCATTCTGGAAACCCTGTGTTTGTAAAGTCTGCAAGTGGATATTTGGACCTCTTAGATGCCTTCGTTGGAAACGGGATTTCTTCATATAATGCTAGAGGGAAGAATTCTTAGTAACTTCTTTGTGTTGTGTGTATTGAACTGACAGAGTTGAACCTTCCTTTAGACAGAGCAGATTTGAAAGTCTCTTTCTGTGGAATTTGCAAGTGGAGATTTCAAGCGCTTTGAGGCCAAAAGCAGAAAAGGAAATATTTTCCTATAAAAACTCGACAGAATCTTTCTCAGAAACTGCTCTGGGATGTGTGCGTTCAACTCACAGAGTTTAACTTTTCTTTTCATTCAGCAGTTTGGAAACACTCTGTTTGGAAAGTCTGCACGTGGATATTTTGACCTCTTTGAGGCCTTCGTTGGAAACGGGTTTTTTTCATGTAAGGCTAGACAGAAGAAATCTCAGTAACTTCCTTGTGTTGTGTGTATTCAACTGACAGAGTTGAACCTTCCTTTAGACAGAGCAGATTCGAAACACTCTTTTTCTGCAATTTGCAAGTGGAGACTTCAAGCGCTTTGAGGCCAAAGGCAGAAAAGGAAATATCTTCGTATAAAAACCCGACAGAATCATTCTCAGAAACTGCTCTGTGATGTGTGCGTTCAACTCACAGAGTTTAACTTTTCTTTTCATTCAGCAGTTTGGAAACACTCTGTTTGTAAAGTCTGCAAGTGGATATCTTGGCCTCTTAGAGGCCTTCGTTGGAAACGGGTTTTTTTCATGTAAGGCTAGACAGAGGAATTCCCAGTAACTTCCTTGTGTTGTGTGCATTCAACTCACAGAGTTGAATGATTCTTTACACAGAGCAGATTTGAGACACTCTTTTGGTGGAATTTGTAAGTGGAGAATTCAGCCGCTTTGAGGTCAACGGTAGAAAAGGAAATATCTTCGTATAAAAACTAGACAGAATGATTCTCAGAAACTGTTTTGTGATGTGTGCGTTCAACTCACAGAGTTTAACCTTTCTTTTCAAAGAGCAGTTAGGAAACACTCTGTTTGTAAAGTCTGCAAGCGGATATTCAGACCTCTTTGAGGCCTTCGTTGGAAACGGGATTTCTTCATATTATGCTAGACAGATGAATTCTCAGTAACTTCCTTGTGTTGTGTGTATTCAACTCACAGAGTTGAACGATCCTTTACACAGAGCAGATTTGAAACACTGTTTTTCTGGAATTTGCAAGTGGAGATTTCAGCCGCTTTGAGGTCAATGGTAGAAAAGGAAATATCTTCGTATAAAAACTAGACAGAATGATTCTCAGAAACTCCTTTGTGATGTGTGCGTTCAACTCACAGAGTTTAACCTTTCTTTTCACAGAGCAGTTAGGAAACACTCTGTTTGTGAAGCCTGCCAGTGGATATTCGGACCTCTTTGAGGCCTTCGTTGGAAACGGGATTTCTTCATATTATGCTAGACAGAAGATTTCTCAGTAACTTCTTTGTGTTGTGTGTATGCAACTCACAGAGTTCAACCTTCCTTTAGACAGAGCAGATTTGAAACACTCTTTTTGTGGAATTTGCAAGTGGAGATTTCAAGCGCTTCGATGCCAATGGTAGAAAAGGAAATATCTTCGTATAAAAACAAGACAAACTCGTTCCCAGACACTGCGTAGTGATGTGTGTGTTTAACTCACAGAGTTTAACCTTTCTTTTCATACAGCATTCTGGAAACCCTCTGTTTGTAAAGTCTGCAAGTGGATATTTGGACCTCTTAGATGCCTTCGTTGGAAACGGGATTTCTTCATATAATGCTAGAGGGAAGAATTCTTAGTAACTTCTTTGTGTTGTGTGTATTCAACTGACAGAGTTGAACCTTCCTTTAGACAGAGCAGATTTGAAAGTCTCTTTTTGTGGAATTTGCAAGTGGAGATTTCAAGCGCTTTGAGGCCAAAAGCAGAAAAGGAAATATTTTCCTATAAAAACTCGACAGAATCTTTCTCAGAAACTGCTCTGGGATGTGTGCGTTCAACTCACAGAGTTTAACTTTTCTTTTCATTCAGCAGTTTGGAAACACTCTGTTTGGAAAGTCTGCACGTGGATATTTTGACCTACTTTGAGGCCTTCGTTGGAAACGGGTTTTTTTCATGTAAGGCTAGACAGAGGAAATCTCAGTAACTTCCTTGTGTTGTGTGTATTCAACTGACAGGGTTGAACCTTCCTTTAGACAGAGCAGATTCGAAACACTCTTTTTCTGCAATTTGCAAGTGGAGACTTCAAGCGCTTTGAGGCCAAAGGCAGAAAAGGAAATATCTTCGTATAAAAACCCGACAGAATCATTCTCAGAAACTGCTCTGTGATGTGTGCGTTCAACTCACAGAGTTTAACTTTTCTTTTCATTCAGCAGTTTGGAAGCACTCTGTTTGTAAAGTCTGCAAGTGGATATCTTGGCCTCTTAGAGGCCTTCGTTGGAAACGGGTTATTTTCATGTAAGGTTAGACAGAGGAATTCCCAGTAACTTCCTTGTGTTGTGTGCATTCAACTCACAGAGTTGAATGATTCTTTACACAGAGCAGATTTGAGACACTCTTTTGGTGGAATTTGTAAGTGGAGAATTCAGCCGCTTTGAGGTCAATGGTAGAAAAGGAAATATCTTCGTATAAAAACTAGACAGAATGATTCTCAGAAACTCCTTTTTGATGTGTGCGTTCAACTCACAGAGTTTAACCTTTCTTTTCAAAGAGCAGTTAGGAAACACTCTGTTTGTAAAGTCTGCAAGTGCATATTCAGACCTCTTTGAGGCCTTCGTTGCAAACGGGATTTCTTCATATTATGCAAGACAGAAGAATTCTCAGTAACTTCCTTGTGTTGTGTGTATTCAACTCACAGAGTTGAACGATCCTTTACACAGAGCAGATTTGAAACACTGTTTTTCTGGAATTTGCAAGTGGAGATTTCAGCCGCTTTGAGGTCAATGGTAGAAAAGGAAATATCTTCGTATAAAAACTAGACAGAATGATTCTCAGAAACTCCTTTGTGATGTGTGCGTTCAACTCACAGAGTTTAACCTTTCTTTTCACAGAGCAGTTAGGAAACACTCTGTTTGTGAAGCCTGCCAGTGGATATTCGGACCTCTTTGAGGCCTTCGTTGGAAACGGGATTTCTTCATATTATGCTAGACAGAAGATTTCTCAGTAACTTCTTTGTGTTGTGTGTATGCAACTCACAGAGTTCAACCTTCCTTTAGACAGAGCAGATTTGAAACACTCTTTTTGTGGAATTTGCAAGTGGAGATTTCAAGCGCTTCGATGCCAATGGTAGAAAAGGAAATATCTTCGTATAAAAACAAGACAAACTCGTTCCCAGACACTGCGTAGTGATGTGTGTGTTTAACTCACAGAGTTTAACCTTTCTTTTCATACAGCATTCTGGAAACCCTGTGTTTGTAAAGTCTGCAAGTGGATATTTGGACCTCTTAGATGCCTTCGTTGGAAACGGGATTTCTTCATATAATGCTAGAGGGAAGAATTCTTAGTAACTTCTTTGTGTTGTGTGTATTCAACTGACAGAGTTGAACCTTCCTTTAGACAGAGCAGATTTGAAAGTCTCTTTTTGTGGAATTTGCAAGTGGAGATTTCAAGCGCTTTGAGGCCAAAAGCAGAAAAGGAAATATTTTCCTATAAAAACTCGACAGAATCTTTCTCAGAAACTGCTGTGGGATGTGTGCGTTCAACTCACAGAGTTTAACTTTTCTTTTCATTCAGCAGTTTGGAAACACTCTGTTTGGAAAGTCTGCACGTGGATATTTTGACCTCTTTGAGGCCTTCGTTGGAAACGGGTTTTTTTCATGTAAGGCTAGACAGAAGAAATCTCAGTAACTTCCTTGTGTTGTGTGTATTCAACTGACAGAGTTGAACCTTCCTTTAGACAGAGCAGATTCGAAACACTCTTTTTCTGCAATTTGCAAGTGGAGACTTCAAGCGCTTTGAGGCCAAAGGCAGAAAAGGAAATATCTTCGTATAAAAACCCGACAGAATCTCTCTCAGCAAACTGCTCTGTGATGTGTGCGTTCAACTCACAGAGTTTAACTTTTCTTTTCATTCAGCAGTTTGGAAACACTCTGTTTGTAAAGTCTGCAAGTGGATATCTTGGCCTCTTAGAGGCCTTCGTTGGAAACGGGTTTTTTCATGTAAGGTTAGACAGAGGAATTCCCAGTAACTTCCTTGTGTTGTGTGCATTCAACTCACAGAGTTGAATGATTCTTTACACAGAGCAGATTTGAGACACTCTTTTGGTGGAATTTGTAAGTGGAGAATTCAGCCGCTTTGAGGTCAACGGTAGAAAAGGAAATATCTTCGTATAAAAACTAGACAGAATGATTCTCAGAAACTGTTTTGTGATGTGTGCGTTCAACTCACACAGTTTAACCTTTCTTTTCAGAGAGCAGTTAGGAAACACTCTGTTTGTAAAGTCTGCAAGTGGATATTCAGACCTCTTTGAGGCCTTCGTTGGAAACGGGATTTCTTCATATTATGCTAGACAGATGAATTCTCAGTAACTTCCTTGTGTTGTGTGTATTCAACTCACAGAGTTGAACGATCCTTTACACAGAGCAGATTTGAAACACTGTTTTTCTGGAATTTGCAAGTGGAGATTTCAGCCGCTTTGAGGTCAATGGTAGAAAAGGAAATATCTTCGTATAAAAACTAGACAGAATGATTCTCAGAAACTCCTTTGTGATGTGTGCGTTCAACTCACAGAGTTTAACCTTTCTTTTCACAGAGCAGTTAGGAAACACTCTGTTTGTGAAGCCTGCCAGTGGATATTCGGACCTCTTTGAGGCCTTCGTTGGAAACGGGATTTCTTCATATTATGCTAGACAGAAGATTTCTCAGTAACTTCTTTGTGTTGTGTGTATGCAACTCACAGAGTTCAACCTTCCTTTAGACAGAGCAGATTTGAAACACTCTTTTTGTGGAATTTGCAAGTGGAGATTTCAAGCGCTTCGATGCCAATGGTAGAAAAGGAAATATCTTCGTATAAAAACAAGACAAACTCGTTCCCAGACACTGCGTAGTGATGTGTGTGTTTAACTCACAGAGTTTAACCTTTCTTTTCATACAGCATTCTGGAAACCCTGTGTTTGTAAAGTCTGCAAGTGGATATTTGGACCTCTTAGATGCCTTCGTTGGAAACGGGATTTCTTCATATAATGCTAGAGGGAAGAATTCTTAGTAACTTCTTTGTGTTGTGTGTATTCAACTGACAGAGTTGAACCTTCCTTTAGACAGAGCAGATTTGAAAGTCTCTTTTTGTGGAATTTGCAAGTGGAGATTTCAAGCGCTTTGAGGCCAAAAGCAGAAAAGGAAATATTTTCCTATAAAAACTAGACAGAATCTTTCTCAGAAACTGCTCTGGGATGTGTGCGTTCAACTCACAGAGTTTAACTTTTCATTCAGCAGTTTGGAAACACTCTGTTTGGAAAGTCTGCACGTGGATATTTTGACCTCTTTGAGGCCTTCGTTGGAAACGGGTTTTTTCATGTAACGCTAGACAGAAGAAATCTCAGTAACTTCCTTGTGTTGTGTGTATTCAACTGACAGAGTTGAACCTTCCTTTAGACAGAGCAGATTCGAAACACTCTTTTTCTGCAATTTGCAAGTGGAGACTTCAAGCGCTTTGAGGCCAAAGGCAGAAAAGGAAATATCTTCGTATAAAAACCCGACAGAATCATTCTCAGAAACTGCTCTGTGATGTGTGCGTTCAACTCACAGAGTTTAACTTTTCTTTTCATTCAGCAGTTTGGAAACACTCTGTTTGTAAAGTCTGCAAGTGGATATCTTGGCCTCTTAGAGGCCTTCGTTGGAAAAGGGTTTTTTCATGTAAGTTAGACAGAGGAATTCCCAGTAACTTCCTTGTGTTGTGTGCATTCAACTCACAGAGTTGAATGATTCTTTACACAGAGCAGATTTGAGACACTCTTTTGGTGGAATTTGTAAGTGGAGAATTCAGCCGCTTTGAGGTCAACGGTAGAAAAGGAAATATCTTCGTATAAAAACTAGACAGAATGATTCTCAGAAACTGTTTTGTGATGTGTGCGTTCAACTCACAGAGTTTAACCTTTCTTTTCAGAGAGCAGTTAGGAAACACTCTGTAAAGTCTGCAAGTGGATATTCAGACCTCTTTGAGGCCTTCGTTGGAAACGGGATTTCTTCATATTATGCTAGACAGATGAATTCTCAGTAACTTCCTTGTGTTGTGTGTATTCAACTCACAGAGTTGAACGATCCTTTACACAGAGCAGATTTGAAACACTGTTTTTCTGGAATTTGCAAGTGGAGATGTCAGCCGCTTTGAGGTCAATGGTAGAAAAGGAAATATCTTCGTATAAAAACTAGACAGAATGATTCTCAGAAACTCCTTTGTGATGTGTGCGTTCAACTCACAGAGTTTAACCTTTCTTTTCACAGAGCAGTTAGGAAACACTCTGTTTGTGAAGCCTGCCAGTGGATATTCGGACCTCTTTGAGGCCTTCGTTGGAAACGGGATTTCTTCATATTATGCTAGACAGAAGATTTCTCAGTAACTTCTTTGTGTTGTGTGTATGCAACTCACAGAGTTCAACCTTCCTTTAGACAGAGCAGATTTGAAACACTCTTTTTGTGGAATTTGCAAGTGGAGATTTCAAGCGCTTCGATGCCAATGGTAGAAAAGGAAATATCTTCGTATAAAAACAAGACAAACTCGTTCCCAGACACTGCGTAGTGATGTGTGTGTTTAACTCACAGAGTTTAACCTTTGTTTTCATACAGCATTCTGGAAACCCTCTGTTTGTAAAGTCTGCAAGTGGATATTTGGACCTCTTAGATGCCTTCGTTGGAAACGGGATTTCCTCATATAATGCTAGAGGGAAGAATTCTTAGTAACTTCTTTGTGTTGTGTGTATTCAACTGACAGAGTTGAACCTTCCTTTAGACAGAGCAGATTTGAAAGTCTCTTTTTGTGGAATTTGCAAGTGGAGATTTCAAGCGCTTTGAGGCCAAAAGCAGAAAAGGAAATATTTTCCTATAAAAACTCGACACAATCTTTCTCAGAAACTGCTCTGGGATGTGTGCGTTCAACTCACAGAGTTTAACTTTTCTTTTCATTCAGCAGTTTGGAAACACTCTGTTTGGAAAGTCTGCACGTGGATATTTTGACCTCTTTGAGGCCTTCGTTGGAAACGGGTTTTTTTCATGTAAGGCTAGACAGAAGAAATCTCAGTAACTTCCTTGTGTTGTGTGTATTCAACTGACAGAGTTGAACCTTCCTTTAGACAGAGCAGATTCGAAACACTCTTTTTCTGCAATTCGCAAGTGGAGACTTCAAGCGCTTTGAGGCCAAAGGCAGAAAAGGAAATATCTTCGTATAAAAACCCGACAGAATCATTCTCAGAAACTGCTCTGTGATGTGTGCGTTCAACTCACAGAGTTTAACTTTTCTTTTCATTCAGCAGTTTGGAAACACTCTGTTTGTAAAGTCTGCAAGTGGATATCTTGGCCTCTTAGAGGCCTTCGTTGGAAACGGGTTTTTTCATGTAAGGATAGACAGAGGAATTCCCAGTAACTTCCTTGTGTTGTGTGCATTCAACTCACAGAGTTGAATGATTCTTTACACAGAGCAGATTTGAGACACTCTTTTGGTGGAATTTGTAAGTGGAGAATTCAGCCGCTTTGAGGTCAACGGTAGAAAAGGAAATATCTTCGTATAAAAACTAGACAGAATGATTCTCAGAAACTGTTTTGTGATGTGTGCGTTCAACTCACAGAGTTTAACCTTTCTTTTCAAAGAGCAGTTAGGAAACACTCAGTTTGTAAAGTCTGCAAGTGGATATTCAGACCTCTTTGAGGCCTTCGTTGGAAACGGGATTTCTTCATATTATGCTAGACAGATGAATTCTCAGTAACTTCCTTGTGTTGTGTGTATTCAACTCACAGAGTTGAACGATCCTTTACACAGAGCAGATTTGAAACACTGTTTTTCTGGAATTTGCAAGTGGAGATTTCAGCCGCTTTGAGGTCAATGGTAGAAAAGGAAATATCTTCGTATAAAAACTAGACAGAATGATTCTCAGAAACTCCTTTGTGATGTGTGCGTTCAACTCACAGAGTTTAACCTTTCTTTTCACAGAGCAGTTAGGAAACACTCTGTTTGTGAAGCCTGCCAGTGGATATTCGGACCTCTTTGAGGCCTTCGTTGGAAACGGGATTTCTTCATATTATGCTAGACAGAAGATTTCTCAGTAACTTCTTTGTGTTGTGTGTATGCAACTCACAGAGTTCAACCTTCCTTTAGACAGAGCAGATTTGAAACACTCTTTTTGTGGAATTTGCAAGTGGAGATTTCAAGCGCTTCGATGCCAATGGTAGAAAAGGAAATATCTTCGTATAAAAACAAGACAAACTCGTTCCCAGACACTGCGTAGTGATGTGTGTGTTTAACTCACAGAGTTTAACCTTTCTTTTCATACAGCATTCTGGAAACCCTCTGTTTGTAAAGTCTGCAAGTGGATATTTGGACCTCTTAGATGCCTTCGTTGGAAACGGGATTTCTTCATATAATGCTAGAGGGAAGAATTCTTAGTAACTTCTTTGTGTTGTGTGTATTCAACTGACAGAGTTGAACCTTCCTTTAGACAGAGCAGATTTGAAAGTCTCTTTTTGTGGAATTTGCAAGTGGAGATTTCAAGCGCTTTGAGGCCAAAAGCAGAAAAGGAAATATTTTCCTATAAAAACTCGACAGACTCATTCTCAGAAACTACTCTGTGATGTGTGCGTTCAACTCACAGAGTTTAACTTTTCTTTTCATTCAGCAGTTTGGAAACACTGTTTGGAAAGTCTGCACGTGGATATTTTGACCTCTTTGAGGCCTTCGTTGGAAACGGGTTATTTTTATGTAAGGCTAGACAGAAGAAATCTCAGTAACTTCCTTGTGTTGTGTGTATTCAACTGACAGAGTTGAACCTTCCTTTAGACAGAGCAGATTCGAAACACTCTTTTTCTGCAATTTGCAAGTGGAGACTTCAAGCGCTTTGAGGCCAAAGGCAGAAAAGGAAATATCTTCGTATAAAAACCCGACAGAATCATTCTCAGAAACTGCTCTGTGATGTGTGCCGTTCAACTCACAGAGTTTAACTTTTCTTTTCATTCAGCAGTTTGGAAACACTCTGTTTGTAAAGTCTGCAAGTGGATATCTTGGCCTCTTAGAGGCCTTCGTTGGAAGCGGGTTTTTTCATGTAAGGATAGACAGAGGAATTCCCAGTAACTTCCTTGTGTTGTGTGCATTCAACTCACAGAGTTGAATGATTCTTTACACAGAGCAGATTTGAGACACTCTTTTGGTGGAATTTGTAAGTGGAGAATTCAGCCGCTTTGAGGTCAACGGTAGAAAAGGAAATATCTTCGTATAAAAACTAGACAGAATGATTCTCAGAAACTGTTTTGTGATGTGTGCGTTCAACTCACAGAGTTTAACCTTTCTTTTCAAAGAGCAGTTAGGAAACACTCTGTTTGTAAAGTCTGCAAGTGGATATTCAGACCTCTTTGAAGCCTTCGTTGGAAACGGGATTTCTTCATATTATGCTAGACAGATGAATTCTCAGTAACTTCCTTGTGTTGTGTGTATTCAACTCACAGAGTTGAACGATCCTTTACACAGAGCAGATTTGAAACACTGTTTTTCTGGAATTTGCAAGTGGAGATTTCAGCCGCTTTGAGGTCAATGGTAGAAAAGGAAATATCTTCGTATAAAAACTAGACAGAATGATTCTCAGAAACTCCTTTGTGATGTGTGCGTTCAACTCACAGAGTTTAACCTTTCTTTTCACAGAGCAGTTAGGAAACACTCTGTTTGTGAAGCCTGCCAGTGGATATTCGGACCTCTTTGAGGCCTTCGTTGGAAACGGGATTTCTTCATATTATGCTAGACAGAAGATTTCTCAGTAACTTCTTTGTGTTGTGTGTATGCAACTCACAGAGTTCAACCTTCCTTTAGACAGAGCAGATTTGAAACACTCTTTTTGTGGAATTTGCAAGTGGAGATTTCAAGCGCTTCGATGCCAATGGTAGAAAAGGAAATATCTTCGTATAAAAACAAGACAAACTCGTTCCCAGACACTGCGTAGTGATGTGTGTGTTTAACTCACAGAGTTTAACCTTTCTTTTCATACAGCATTCTGGAAACCCTCTGTTTGTAAAGTCTGCAAGTGGATATTTGGACCTCTTAGATGCCTTCGTTGGAAACGGGATTTCTTCATATAATGCTAGAGGGAAGAATTCTTAGTAACTTCTTTGTGTTGTGTGTATTCAACTGACAGAGTTGAACCTTCCTTTAGACAGAGCAGATTTGAAAGTCTCTTTTTGTGGAATTTGCAAGTGGAGATTTCAAGCGCTTTGAGGCCAAAAGCAGAAAAGGAAATATTTTCCTATAAAAACTAGACAGAATCTTTCTCAGAAACTGCTCTGGGATGTGTGCGTTCAACTCACAGAGTTTAACTTTTCTTTTCATTCAGCAGTTTGGAAACACTCTGTTTGGAAAGTCTGCACGTGGATATTTTGACCTCTTTGAGGCCTTCGTTGGAAACGGGTTTTTTCATGTAAGGCTAGACAGAAGAAATCTCAGTAACTTCCTTGTGTTGTGTGTATTCAACTGACAGAGTTGAACCTTCCTTTAGACAGAGCAGATTCGAAACACTCTTTTTCTGCAATTTCCAAGTGGAGACTTCAAGCGCTTTGAGGCCAAAGGCAGAAAAGGAAATATCTTCGTATAAAAACCCGACAGAATCATTCTCAGAAACTGCTCTGTGATGTGTGCGTTCAACTCACAGAGTTTAACTTTTCTTCTCATTCAGCAGTTTGGAAACACTCTGTTTGTAAAGTCTGCAAGTGGATATCTTGGCCTCTTAGAGGCCTTCGTTGGAAACGGGTTTTTTCATGTAAGGATAGACAGAGGAATTCCCAGTAACTTCCTTGTGTTGTGTGCATTCAACTCACAGAGTTGAATGATTCTTTACACAGAGCAGATTTGAGACACTCTTTTGGTGGAATTTGTAAGTGGAGAATTCAGCCGCTTTGAGGTCAACGGTAGAAAAGGAAATATCTTCGTATAAAAACTAGACAGAATGATTCTCAGAAACTGTTTTGTGATGTGTGCGTTCAACTCACAGAGTTTAACCTTTCTTTTCAAAGAGCAGTTAGGAAACACTCTGTTTGTAAAGTCTGCAAGCGGATATTCAGACCTCTTTGAGACCTTCGTTGGAAACGGGATTTCTTCATATTATGCTAGACAGATGAATTCTCAGTAACTTCCTTGTGTTGTGTGTATTCAACTCACAGAGTTGAACGATCCTTTACACAGAGCAGATTTGAAACACTGTTTTTCTGGAATTTGCAAGTGGAGATTTCAGCCGCTTTGAGGTCAATGGTAGAAAAGGAAATATCTTCGTATAAAAACTAGACAGAATGATTCTCAGAAACTCCTTTGTGATGTGTGCGTTCAACTCACAGAGTTTAACCTTTCTTTTCACAGAGCAGTTAGGAAACACTCTGTTTGTGAAGCCTGCCAGTGGATATTCGGACCTCTTTGAGGCCTTCGTTGGAAACGGGATTTCTTCATATTATGCTAGACAGAAGATTTCTCAGTAACTTCTTTGTGTTGTGTGTATGCAACTCACAGAGTTCAACCTTCCTTTAGACAGAGCAGATTTGAAACACTCTTTTTGTGGAATTTGCAAGTGGAGATTTCAAGCGCTTCGATGCCAATGGTAGAAAAGGAAATATCTTCGTATAAAAACAAGACAAACTCGTTCCCAGACACTGCGTAGTGATGTGTGTGTTTAACTCACAGAGTTTAACCTTTCTTTTCATACAGCATTCTGGAAACCCTCTGTTTGTAAAGTCTGCAAGTGGATATTTGGACCTCTTAGATGCCTTCGTTGGAAACGGGATTTCTTCATATAATGCTAGAGGGAAGAATTCTTAGTAACTTCTTTGTGTTGTGTGTATTCAACTGACAGAGTTGAACCTTCCTTTAGACAGAGCAGATTTGAAAGTCTCTTTTTGTGGAATTTGCAAGTGGAGATTTCAAGCGCTTTGAGGCCAAAAGCAGAAAAGGAAATATTTTCCTATAAAAACTCGACAGAATCTTTCTCAGAAACTGCTCTGGGATGTGTGCGTTCAACTCACAGAGTTTAACATTTCTTTTCATTCAGCAGTTTGGAAACACTCTGTTTGGAAAGTCTGCACGTGGATATTTTGACCTCTTTGAGGCCTTCGTTGGAAACGGGTTTTTTTCATGTAAGGCTAGACAGAAGAAATCTCAGTAACTTCCTTGTGTTGTGTGTATTCAACTGACAGAGTTGAACCTTCCTTTAGACAGAGCAGATTCGAAACACTCTTTTTCTGCAATTTGCAAGTGGAGACTTCAAGCGCTTTGAGGCCAAAGGCAGAAAAGGAAATATCTTCGTATAAAAACCCGACAGAATCATTCTCCAGAAACTGCTCTGTGATGTGTGCGTTCAACTCACAGAGTTTAACTTTTCTTTTCATTCAGCAGTTTGGAAACACTCTGTTTGTAAAGTCTGCAAGTGGATATCTTGGCCTCTTAGAGGCCTTCGTTGGAAACGGGTTTTTTCATGTAAGGATAGACAGAGGAATTCCCAGTAACTTCCTTGTGTTGTGTGCATTCAACTCACAGAGTTGAATGATTCTTTACACAGAGCAGATTTGAGACACTCTTTGGGTGGAATTTGTAAGTGGAGAATTCAGCCGCTTTGAGGTCAACGGTAGAAAAGGAAATATCTTCGTATAAAATCTAGACAGAATGATTCTCAGAAACTGTTTTGTGATGTGTGCGTTCAACTCACAGAGTTTAACCTTTCTTTTCAAAGAGCAGTTAGGAAACACTCTGTTTGTAAAGTCTGCAAGTGGATATTCAGACCTCTTTGAGGCCTTCGTTGGAAACGGGATTTCTTCATATTATGCTAGACAGATGAATTCTCAGTAACTTCCTTGTGTTGTGTGTATTCAACTCACAGAGTTGAACGATCCTTTACACAGAGCAGATTTGAAACACTGTTTTTCTGGAATTTGCAAGTGGAGATTTCAGCCGCTTTGAGGTCAATGGTAGAAAAGGAAATATCTTCGTATAAAAACTAGACAGAATGATTCTCAGAAACTCCTTTGTGATGTGTGCGTTCAACTCACAGAGTTTAACCTTTCTTTTCACAGAGCAGTTAGGAAACACTCTGTTTGTGAAGCCTGCCAGTGGATATTCGGACCTCTTTGAGGCCTTCGTTGGAAACGGGATTTCTTCATATTATGCTAGACAGAAGATTTCTCAGTAACTTCTTTGTGTTGTGTGTATGCAACTCACAGAGTTCAACCTTCCTTTAGACAGAGCAGATTTGAAACACTCTTTTTGTGGAATTTGCAAGTGGAGATTTCAAGCGCTTCGATGCCAATGGTAGAAAAGGAAATATCTTCGTATAAAAACAAGACAAACTCGTTCCCAGACACTGCGTAGTGATGTGTGTGTTTAACTCACAGAGTTTAACCTTTCTTTTCATACAGCATTCTGGAAACCCTCTGTTTGTGAAGTCTGCAAGTGGATATTTGGACCTCTTAGATGCCTTCGTTGGAAACGGGATTTCTTCATATAATGCTAGAGGGAAGAATTCTTAGTAACGTCTTTGTGTTGTGTGTATTCAACTGACAGAGTTGAACCTTCCTTTAGACAGAGCAGATTTGAAAGTCTCTTTTTGTGGAATTTGCAAGTGGAGATTTCAAGCGCTTTGAGGCCAAAAGCAGAAAAGGAAATATTTTCCTATAAAAACTAGACAGAATCTTTCTCAGAAACTGCTCTGGGATGTGTGCGTTCAACTCACAGAGTTTAACTTTTCTTTTCATTCAGCAGTTTGGAAACACTCTGTTTGGAAAGTCTGCACGTGGATATTTTGACCTCTTTGAGGCCTTCGTTGGAAACGGGTTTTTTTCATGTAAGGCTAGACAGAAGAAATCTCAGTAACTTCCTTGTGTTGTGTGTATTCAACTGACAGAGTTGAACCTTCTTTTAGACAGAGCAGATTCGAAACACTCTTTTTCTGCAATTAGCAAGTGGAGACTTCAAGCGCTTTGAGGCCAAAGGCAGAAAAGGAAATATCTTCGTATAAAAACCCGACAGAATCATTCTCAGAAACTGCTCTGTGATGTGTGCGTTCAACTCACAGAGTTTAACTTTTCTTTTCATTCAGCAGTTTGGAAACACTCTGTTTGTAAAGTCTGCAAGTGGATATCTTGGCCTCTTAGAGGCCTTCGTTGGAAACGGGTTTTTTCATGTAAGGTTAGACAGAGGAATTCCCAGTAACTTCCCTTGTGTTGTGTGCATTCAACTCACAGAGTTGAATGATTCTTTACACAGAGCAGATTTGAGACACTCTTTTGGTGGAATTTGTAAGTGGAGAATTCAGCCGCTTTGAGGTCAACGGTAGAAAAGGAAATATCTTCGTATAAAAACTAGAAAGAATGATTCTCAGAAACTGTTTTGTGATGTGTGCGTTCAACTCACAGAGTTTAACCTTTCTTTTCAAAGAGCAGTTAGGAAACACTCTGTTTGTAAAGTCTGCAAGTGGATATTCAGACCTCTTTGAAGCCTTCGTTGGAAACGGGATTTCTTCATATTATGCTAGACAGATGAATTCTCAGTAACTTCCCTTGTGTTGTGTGTATTCAACTCACAGAGTTGAACGATCCTTTACACAGAGCAGATTTGAAACACTGTTTTTCTGGAATTTGCAAGTGGAGATTTCAGCCGCTTTGAGGTCAATGGTAGAAAAGGAAATATCTTCGTATAAAAACTAGACAGAATGATTCTCAGAAACTCCTTTGTGATGTGTGCGTTCAACTCACAGAGTTTAACCTTTCTTTTCACAGAGCAGTTAGGAAACACTCTGTTTGTGAAGCCTGCCAGTGGATATTCGGACCTCTTTGAGGCCTTCGTTGGAAACGGGATTTCTTCATATTATGCTAGACAGAAGATTTCTCAGTAACTTCTTTGTGTTGTGTGTATGCAACTCACAGAGTTCAACCTTCCTTTAGACAGAGCAGATTTGAAACACTCTTTTTGTGGAATTTGCAAGTGGAGATTTCAAGCGCTTCGATGCCAATGGTAGAAAAGGAAATATCTTCGTATAAAAACAAGACAAACTCGTTCCCAGACACTGCGTAGTGATGTGTGTGTTTAACTCACAGAGTTTCACCTTTCTTTTCATACAGCATTCTGGAAACCCTCTGTTTGTAAAGTCTGCAAGTGGATATTTGGACCTCTTAGATGCCTTCGTTGGAAACGGGATTTCTTCATATAATGCTAGAGGGAAGAATTCTTAGTAACTTCTTTGTGTTGTGTGTATTCAACTGACAGAGTTGAACCTTCCTTTAGACAGAGCAGATTTGAAAGTCTCTTTTTGTGGAATTTGCAAGTGGAGATTTCAAGCGCTTTGAGGCCAAAAGCAGAAAAGGAAATATTTTCCTATAAAAACTCGACAGAATCTTTCTCAGAAACTGCTCTGGGATGTGTGCGTTCAACTCACAGAGTTTAACTTTTCTTTTCATTCAGCAGTTTGGAAACACTCTGTTTGGAAAGTCTGCACGTGGATATTTTGACCTCTTTGAGGCCTTCGTTGGAAACGGGTTTTTTTCATGTAAGGCTAGACAGAAGAAATCTCAGTAACTTCCTTGTGTTGTGTGTATTCAACTGACAGAGTTGAACCTTCCTTTAGACAGAGCAGATTGGAAACACTCTTGTTCTGCAATTTGCAAGTGGAGACTTCAAGCGCTTTGAGGCCAAAGGCAGAAAAGGAAATATCTTCGTATAAAAACCCGACAGAATCATTCTCAGAAACTGCTCTGTGATGTGTGCGTTCAACTCACAGAGTTTAACTTTTCTTTTCATTCAGCAGTTTGGAAACACTCTGTTTGTAAAGTCTGCAAGTGGATATCTTGGCCTCTTAGAGGCCTTCGTTGGAAACGGGTTTTTTCATTTAAGGTTAGACAGAGGAATTCCCAGTAACTTCCTTGTGTTGTGTGCATTCAACTCACAGAGTTGAATGATTCTTTACACAGAGCAGATTTGAGACACTCTTTTGGTGGAATTTGTAAGTGGAGAATTCAGCCGCTTTGAGGTCAACGGTAGAAAAGGAAATATCTTCGTATAAAAACTAGACAGAATGATTCTCAGAAAATGTTTTGTGATGTGTGCGTTCAACTCACAGAGTTTAACCTTTCTTTTCAAAGAGCAGTTAGGAAACACTCTGTTTGTAAAGTCTGCAAGAGGATATTCAGACCTCTTTGAGGCCTTCGTTGGAAACGGGATTTCTTCATATTATGCTAGACAGATGAATTCTCAGTAACTTCCTTGTGTTGTGTGTATTCAACTCACAGAGTTGAACGATCCTTTACACAGAGCAGATTTGAAACACTGTTTTTCTGGAATTTGCAAGTGGAGATGTCAGCCGCTTTGAGGTCAATGGTAGAAAAGGAAATATCTTCGTATAAAAACTAGACAGAATGATTCTCAGAAACTCCTTTGTGATGTGTGCGTTCAACTCACAGGGTTTAACCTTTCTTTTCACAGAGCAGTTAGGAAACACTCTGTTTGTGAAGCCTGCCAGTGGATATTCGGACCTCTTTGAGGCCTTCGTTGGAAACGGGATTTCTTCATATTATGCTAGACAGAAGATTTCTCAGTAACTTCTTTGTGTTGTGTGTATGCAACTCACAGAGTTCAACCTTCCTTTAGACAGAGCAGATTTGAAACACTCTTTTTGTGGAATTTGCAAGTGGAGATTTCAAGCGCTTCGATGCCAATGGTAGAAAAGGAAATATCTTCGTATAAAAACAAGACAAACTCGTTCCCAGACACTGCGTAGTGATGTGTGTGTTTAACTCACAGAGTTTAACCTTTCTTTTCATACAGCATTCTGGAAACCCTCTGTTTGTAAAGTCTGCAAGTCGATATTTGGACCTCTTAGATGCCTTCGTTGGAAACGGGATTTCTTCATATAATGCTAGAGGGAAGAATTCTTAGTAACTTCTTTGTGTTGTGTGTATTCAACTGACAGAGTTGAACCTTCCTTTAGACAGAGCAGATTTGAAAGTCTCTTTTTGTGGAATTTGCAAGTGGAGATTTCAAGCGCTTTGAGGCCAAAAGCAGAAAAGGAAATATTTTCCTATAAAAACTAGACAGAATCTTTCTCAGAAACTGCTCTGGGATGTGTGCGTTCAACTCACAGAGTTTAACTTTTCTTTTCATTCAGCAGTTTGGAAACACTCTGTTTGGAAAGTCTGCACGTGGATATTTTGACCTCTTTGAGGCCTTCGTTGGAAACGGGTTTTTTTCATGTAAGGCTAGACAGAAGAAATCTCAGTAACTTCCTTGTGTTGTGTGTATTCAACTGACAGAGTTGAACCTTCCTTTAGACAGAGCAGATTCGAAACTCTCTTTTTCTGCAATTTGCAAGTGGAGACTTCAAGCGCTTTGAGGCCAAAGGCAGAAAAGGAAATATCTTCGTATAAAAACCCGACAGAATCATTCTCAGAAACTGCTCTGTGATGTGTGCGTTCAACTCACAGAGTTTAACTTTTCTTTTCATTCAGCAGTTTGGAAACACTCTGTTTGTAAAGTCTGCAAGTGGATATCTTGGCCTCTTAGAGGCCTTCGTTGGAAACGGGTTTTTTCATGTAAGGTTAGACAGAGGAATTCCCCAGTAACTTCCTTGTGTTGTGTGCATTCAACTCACAGAGTTGAATGATTCTTTACACAGAGCAGATTTGAGACACTCTTTTGGTGGAATTTGTAAGTGGAGAATTCAGCCGCTTTGAGGTCAACGGTAGAAAAGGAAATATCTTCGTATAAAAACTAGACAGAATGATTCTCAGAAACTGTTTTGTGATGTGTGCGTTCAACTCACAGAGTTTAACCTTTCTTTTCAAAGAGCAGTTAGGAAACACTCTGTTTGTAAAGTCTGCAAGTGGATATTCAGACCTCTTTGAGGCCTTCGTTGGAAACGGGATTTCTTCATATTATGCTAGACAGAGGAATTCCCAGTAACTTCCTTGTGTTGTGTGCATTCAACACACAGAGTTGAATGATTCTTTACACAGAGCAGATTTGAGACACTCTTTTGGTGGAATTTGTAAGTGGAGAATTCAGCCGCTTTGAGGTCAACGGTAGAAAAGGAAATATCTTCGTATAAAAACTAGACAGAATGATTCTCAGAAACTCCTTTGTGATGTGTGCGTTCAACTCACAGAGTTTAACCTTTCTTTTCACAGAGCAGTTAGGAAACACTCTGTTTGTGAAGCCTGCCAGTGGATATTCGGACCTCTTTGAGGCCTTCGTTGGAAACGGGATTTCTTCATATTATGCTAGACAGAAGATTTCTCAGTAACTTCTTTGTGTTGTGTGTATGCAACTCACAGAGTTCAACCTTCCTTTAGACAGAGCAGATTTGAAACACTCTTTTTGTGGAATTTGCAAGTGGAGATTTCAAGCGCTTCGATGCCAATGGTAGAAAAGGAAATATCTTCGTATAAAAACAAGACAAACTCGTTCCCAGACACTGCGTAGTGATGTGTGTGTTTAACTCACAGAGTTTCACCTTTCTTTTCATACAGCATTCTGGAAACCCTCTGTTTGTAAAGTCTGCAAGTGGATATTTGGACCTCTTAGATGCCTTCGTTGGAAACGGGATTTCTTCATATAATGCTAGAGGGAAGAATTCTTAGTAACTTCTTTGTGTTGTGTGTATTCAACTGACAGAGTTGAACCTTCCTTTAGACAGAGCAGATTTGAAAGTCTCTTTTTGTGGAATTTGCAAGTGGAGATTTCAAGCGCTTTGAGGCCAAAAGCAGAAAAGGAAATATTTTCCTATAAAAACTCGACAGAATCTTTCTCAGAAACTGCTCTGGGATGTGTGCGTTCAACTCACAGAGTTTAACATTTCTTTTCATTCAGCAGTTTGGAAACACTCTGTTTGGAAAGTCTGCACGTGGATATTTTGACCTCTTTGAGGCCTTCGTTGGAAACGGGTTTTTTTCATGTAAGGCTAGACAGAAGAAATCTCAGTAACTTCCTTGTGTTGTGTGTATTCAACTGACAGAGTTGAACCTTCCTTTAGACAGAGCAGATTCGAAACACTCTTTTTCTGCAATTTGCAAGTGGAGACTTCAAGCGCTTTGAGGCCAAAGGCAGAAAAGGAAATATCTTCGTATAAAAACCCGACAGAATCATTCTCAGAAACTGCTCTGTGATGTGTGCGTTCAACTCACAGAGTTTAACTTTTCTTTTCATTCAGCAGTTTGGAAACACTCTGTTTGTAAAGTCTGCAAGTGGATATCTTGGCCTCTTAGAGGCCTTCGTTGGAAACGGGTTTTTTCATGTAAGGTTAGACAGAGGAATTCCCAGTAACTTCCTTGTGTTGTGTGCATTCAACTCACAGAGTTGAATGATTCTTTACACAGAGCAGATTTGAGACACTCTTTTGGTGGAATTTGTAAGTGGAGAATTCAGCCGCTTTGAGGTCAACGGTAGAAAAGGAAATATCTTCGTATAAAAACTAGACAGAATGATTCTCAGAAACTGTTTTGTGATGTGTGCTTTCAACTCACAGAGTTTAACCTTTCTTTTCAAAGAGCAGTTAGGAAACACTCTGTTTGTAAAGTCTGCAAGTGGATATTCAGACCTCTTTGAGGCCTTCGTTGGAAACGGGATTTCTTCATATTATGCTAGACAGATGAATTCTCAGTAACTTCCTTGTGTTGTGTGTATTCAACTCACAGAGTTGAACGATCCTTTACACAGAGCAGATTTGAAACACTGTTTTTCTGGAATTTGCAAGTGGAGATGTCAGCCGCTTTGAGGTCAATGGTAGAAAAGGAAATATCTTCGTATAAAAACTAGACAGAATGATTCTCAGAAACTCCTTTGTGATGTGTGCTTTCAACTCACAGAGTTTAACCTTTCTTTTCACAGAGCAGTTAGGAAACACTCTGTTTGTGAAGCCTGCCAGTGGATATTCGGACCTCTTTGAGGCCTTCGTTGGAAACGGGATTTCTTCATATTATGCTAGACAGAAGATTTCTCAGTAACTTCTTTGTGTTGTGTGTATGCAACTCACAGAGTTCAACCTTCCTTTAGACAGAGCAGATTTGAAACACTCTTTTTGTGGAATTTGCAAGTGGAGATTTCAAGCGCTTCGATGCCAATGGTAGAAAAGGAAATATCTTCGTAGAAAAACAAGACAAACTCGTTCCCAGACACTGCGTAGTGATGTGTGTGTTTAACTCACTGAGTTTAACCTTTCTTTTCATACAGCATTCTGGAAACCCTGTGTTTGTAAAGTCTGCAAGTGGATATTTGGACCTCTTAGATGCCTTCGTTGGAAACGGGATTTCTTCGTATAATGCTAGAGGGAAGAATTCTTAGTAACTTCTTTGTGTTGTGTGTATTCAACTGACAGAGTTGAACCTTCCTTTAGACAGAGCAGATTTGAAAGTCTCTTTTTGTGGAATTTGCAAGTGGAGATTTCAAGCGCTTTGAGGCCAAAAGCAGAAAAGGAAATATTTTCCTATAAAAACTAGACAGAATCATTCTCAGAAACTGCTCTGGGATGTGTGCGTTCAACTCACAGAGTTTAACTTTTCTTTTCATTCAGCAGTTTGGAAACACTCTGTTTGGAAAGTCTGCACGTGGATATTTTGACCTCTTTGAGGCCTTCGTTGGAAACGGGTTTTTTTCATGTAAGGCTAGACAGAAGAAATCTCAGTAACTTCCTTGTGTTGTGTGTATTCAACTGACAGAGTTGAACCTTCCTTTAGACAGAGCAGATTCGAAACGCTCTTTTTCTGCAATTTGCAAGTGGAGACTTCAAGCGCTTTGAGGCCAAAGGCAGAAAAGGAAATATCTTCGTATAAAAACCCGACAGAATCATTCTCAGAAACTGCTCTGTGATGTGTGCGTTCAACTCACAGAGTTTAACTTTTCTTTTCATTCAGCAGTTTGGAAACACTCTGTTTGTAAAGTCTGCAAGTGGATATCTTGGCCTCTTAGAGGCCTTCGTTGGACACGCGTTTTTTCATGTAAGGTTAGACAGAGGAATTCCCAGTAACTTCCTTGTGTTGTGTGCATTCAACTCACAGAGTTGAATGATTCTTTACACCGAGTAGATTTGAGACACTCTTTTGGTGGAATTTGTAAGTGGAGAATTCAGCTGCTTTGAGGTCAACGGTAGAAAAGGAAATATCTTCGTATAAAAACTAGACAGAATGATTCTCAGAAACTGTTTTGTGATGTGTGCGTTCAACTCACAGAGTTTAACCTTTCTTTTCAAAGAGCAGTTAGGAAACACTCTGTTTGTAAAGTCTGCAAGTGGATATTCAGACCTCTTTGAAGCCTTCGTTGGAAACGGGATTTCATCATATTATGCTAGACAGATGAATTCTCAGTAACTTCCTTGTGTTGTGTGTATTCAACTCACAGAGTTGAACGATCCTTTACACAGAGCAGATTTGAAACACTGTTTTTCTGGAATTTGCAAGTGGAGATGTCAGCCGCTTTGAGGTCAATGGTAGAAAAGGAAATATCTTCGTATAAAAACTAGACAGAATGATTCTCAGAAACTCCTTTGTGATGTGTGCGTTCAACTCACAGAGTTTAACCTTTCTTTTCACAGAGCAGTTAGGAAACACTCTGTTTGTGAAGCCTGCCAGTGGATATTCGGACCTCTTTGAGGCCTTCGTTGGAAACGGGATTTCTTCATATTATGCTAGACAGAAGATTTCTCAGTAACTTCTTTGTGTTGTGTGTATGCAACTCACAGAGTTCAACCTTCCTTTAGACAGAGCAGATTTGAAACACTCTTTTTGTGGAATTTGCAAGTGGAGATTTCAAGCGCTTCGATGCCAATGGTAGAAAAGGAAATATCTTCGTATAAAAACAAGACAAACTCGTTCCCAGACACTGCGTAGTGATGTGTGTGTTTAACTCACAGAGTTTAACCTTTCTTTTCATACAGCATTCTGGAAACCCTGTGTTTGTAAAGTCTGCAAGTGGATATTTGGACCTCTTAGATGCCTTCGTTGGAAACGGGATTTCTTCATATAATGCTAGAGGGAAGAATTCTTAGTAACTTCTTTGTGTTGTGTGTATTCAACTGACAGAGTTGAACCTTCCTTTAGACAGAGCAGATTTGAAAGTCTCTTTTTGTGGAATTTGCAAGTGGAGATTTCAAGCGCTTTGAGGCCAAAAGCAGAAAAGGAAATATTTTCCTATAAAAACTCGACAGAATCTTTCTCAGAAAATGCTCTGGGATGTGTGCGTTCAACTCACAGAGTTTAACTTTTCTTTTCATTCAGCAGTTTGGAAACACTCTGTTTGGAAAGTCTGCACGTGGATATTTTGACCTCTTTGAGGCCTTCGTTGGAAACGGGTTTTTTTCATGTAAGGCTAGACAGAAGAAATCTCAGTAACTTCCTTGTGTTGTGTGTATTCAACTGACAGAGTTGAACCTTCCTTTAGACAGAGCAGATTCGAAACACTCTTTTTCTGCAATTTGCAAGTGGAGACTTCAAGCGCTTTGAGGCCAAAGGCAGAAAAGGAAATATCTTCGTGTAAAAACCCGACAGAATCATTCTCAGAAACTGCTCTGTGATGTGTGCGTTCAACTCACAGAGTTTAACTTTTCTTTTCATTCAGCAGTTTGGAAACACTCTGTTTGTAAAGTCTGCAAGTGGATATCTTGGCCTCTTAGAGGCCTTCGTTGGAAGCGGGTTTTTTCATGTAAGGTTAGACAGAGGAATTCCCAGTAACTTCCTTGTGTTGTATGCATTCAACTCACAGAGTTGAATGATTCTTTACACAGAGCAGATTTGAGACACTCTTTTGGTGGAATTTGTAAGTGGAGAATTCAGCCGCTTTGAGGTCAACGGTAGAAAAGGAAATATCTTCGTATAAAAACTAGAAAGAATGATTCTCAGAAACTGTTTTGTGATGTGTGCTTTCAACTCACAGAGTTTAACCTTTCTTTTCAAAGAGCAGTTAGGAAACACTCTGTTTGTAAAGTCTGCAAGTGGATATTCAGACCTCTTTGAGGCCTTCGTTGGAAACGGGATTTCTTCATATTATGCTAGACAGATGAATTCTCAGTAACTTCCTTGTGTTGTGTGTATTCAACTCACAGAGTTGAACGATCCTTTACACAGAGCAGATTTGAAACACTGTTTTTCTGGAATTTGCAAGTGGAGATTTCAGCTGCTTTGAGGTCAATGGTAGAAAAGGAAATATCTTCGTATAAAAACTAGACAGAATGATTCTCAGAAACTCCTTTGTGATGTGTGCGTTCAACTCACAGAGTTTAACCTTTCTTTTCACAGAGCAGTTAGGAAACACTCTGTTTGTGAAGCCTGCCAGTGGATATTCGGACCTCCTTTGAGGCCTTCGTTGGAAACGGGATTTCTTCATATTATGCTAGACAGATTTCTCAGTAACTACTTTGTGTTATGTGTATGCAACTCACAGAGTTCATCCTTCCTTTAGACAGAGCAGATTTGAAACACTCTTTTTGTGGAATTTGCAAGTGGAGATTTCAAGCGCTTCGACGCCAATGGTCGAAAAGGAAATATCTTCGTATAAAAACAAGACAAACTCGTTCCCAGACACTGCGTAGTGATGTGTGTGTTTAACTCACAGAGTTTAACCTTTCTTTTCATACAGCATTCTGGAAACCCTGTGTTTGTAAAGTCTGCAAGTGGATATTTGGACCTCTTAGATGCCTTCGTTGGAAACGGGATTTCTTCATATAATGCTAGAGGGAAGAATTCTTAGTAACTTCTTTGTGTTGTGTGTATTCAACTGACAGAGTTGAACCTTCCTTTAGACAGAGCAGATTTGAAAGTCTCTTTTTGTGGAATTTGCAAGTGGAGATTTCAAGCGCTTTGAGGCCAAAAGCAGAAAAGGAAATATTTTCCTATAAAAACTAGACAGAATCTTTCTCAGAAACTGCTCTGGGATGTGTGCGTTCAACTCACAGAGTTTAACTTTTCTTTTCATTCAGCAGTTTGGAAACACTCTGTTTGGAAAGTCTGCACGTGGATATTTTGACCTCTTTGAGGCCTTCGTTGGAAACGGGTTTTTTTCATGTAAGGCTAGACAGAAGAAATCTCAGTAACTTCCTTGTGTTGTGTGTATTCAACTGACAGAGTTGAACCTTCTTTTAGACAGAGCAGATTCGAAACACTCTTTTTCTGCAATTTGCAAGTGGAGACTTCAAGCGCTTTGAGGCCAAAGGCAGAAAAGGGAATATCTTCGTATAAAAACCCGACAGAATCATTCTCAGAAACTGCTCTGTGATGTGTGCGTTCAACTCACAGAGTTTAACTTTTCTTTTCATTCAGCAGTTTGGAAACACTCTGTTTGTAAAGTCTGCAAGTGGATATCTTGGCCTCTTAGAGGCCTTCGTTGGAAACGGGTTTTTTCATGTAAGGATACACACAGGAATTCCCAGTAACTTCCTTGTGTTGTGTGCATTCAACTCACAGAGTTGAATGATTCTTTACACAGAGCAGATTTGAGACACTCTTTTGGTGGAATTTGTAAGTGGAGAATTCAGCCGCTTTGAGGTCAACGGTAGAAAAGGAAATATCTTCGTATAAAAACTAGACAGAATGATTCTCAGAAACTGTTTTGTGATGTGTGCGTTCAACTCACAGAGTTTAACCTTTCTTTTCAAAGAGCAGTTAGGAAACACTCTGTTTGTAAAGTCTGCCAGTGGATATTCAGACCTCTTTGAGGCCTTCGTTGGAAACGGGATTTCTTCATATTATGCTGGACAGATGAATTCTCAGTAACTTCCTTGTGTTGTGTGTATTCAACTCACAGAGTTGAACCGATCCTTTACACAGAGCAGATTTGAAACACTGTTTTTCTGGAATTTGCAAGTGGAGATTTCAGCCGCTTTGAGGTCAATGGTAGAAAAGGAAATATCTTCGTATAAAAACTAGACAGAATGATTCTCAGAAACTCCTTTGTGATGTGTGCGTTCAACTCACAGAGTTTAACCTTTCTTTTCACAGAGCAGTTAGGAAACACTCTGTTTGTGAAGCCTGCCAGTGGATATTCGGACCTCTTTGAGGCCTTCGTTGGAAACGGGATTTCTTCATATTATGCTAGACAGAAGATTTCTCAGTAACTTCTTTGTGTTGTGTGTATGCAACTCACAGAGTTCAACCTTCCTTTAGACAGAGCAGATTTGAAACACTCTTTTTGTGGAATTTGCAAGTGGAGATTTCAAGCGCTTCGATGCCAATGGTAGAAAAGGAAATATCTTCGTATAAAAACAAGACAAACTCGTTCCCAGACACTGCGTAGTGATGTGTGTGTTTAACTCACAGAGTTTAACCTTTCTTTTCATACAGCATTCTGGAAACCCTCTGTTTGTAAAGTCTGCAAGTGGATATTTGGACCTCTTAGATGCCTTCGTTGGAAACGGGATTTCCTCATATAATGCTAGAGGGAAGAATTCTTAGTAACTTCTTTGTGTTGTGTGTATTCAACTGACAGAGTTGAACCTTCCTTTAGACAGAGCAGATTTGAAAGTCTCTTTTTGTGGAATTTGCAAGTGGAGATTTCAAGCGCTTTGAGGCCAAAAGCAGAAAAGGAAATATTTTCCTATAAAAACTCGACAGAATCTTTCTCAGAAACTGCTCTGGGATGTGTGCGTTCAACTCACAGAGTTTAACTTTTCTTTTCATTCAGCAGTTTGGAAACACTCTGTTTGGAAAGTCTGCACGTGGATATTTTGACCTCTTTGAGGCCTTCGTTGGAAACGGGTTTTTTTCATGTAAGGCTAGACAGAAGAAATCTCAGTAACTTCCTTGTGTTGTGTGTATTCAACTGACAGAGTTGAACCTTCTTTTAGACAGAGCAGATTCGAAACACTCTTTTTCTGCAATTTGCAAGTGGAGACTTCAAGCGCATTGAGGCCAAAGGCAGAAAAGGAAATATCTTCGTATAAGAACCCGACAGAATCTTTCTCAGAAACTGCTCTGTGATGTGTGCGTTCAACTCACAGAGTTTAACTTTTCTTTTCATTCAGCAGTTTGGAAACACTCTGTTTGTAAAGTCTGCAAGTGGATATCTTGGCCTCTTAGAGGCCTTCGTTGGAAACGGGTTTTTTCATGTAAGGATAGACAGAGGAATTCCCAGTAACTTCCTTGTGTTGTGTGCATTCAACTCACAGAGTTGAATGATTCTTTACACAGAGCAGATTTGAGACACTCTTTTGGTGGAATTTGTAAATGGAGAATTCAGCCGCTTTGAGGTCAACGGTAGAAAAGGAAATATCTTCGTATAAAAACTATACAGAATGATTCTCAGAAACTGTTTTGTGATGTGTGCGTTCAACTCACAGAGTTTAACCTTTCTTTTCAAAGAGCAGTTAGGAAACACTCTGTTTGTAAAGTCTGCAAGTGGATATTCAGACCTCTTTGAGGCCTTCTTTGGAAACGGGATTTCTTCATATTATGCTAGACAGATGAATTCTCAGTAACTTCCTTGTGTTGTGTGTATTCAACTCACAGAGTTAAACGATCCTTTACACAGAGCAGATTTGAAACACTGTTTTTCTGGAATTTGCAAGTGGAGATTTCAGCCGCTTTGAGGTCAATGGTAGAAAAGGAAATATCTTCGTATAAAAACTAGACAGAATGATTCTCAGAAACTCCTTTGTGATGTGTGCGTTCAACTCACAGGGTTTAACCTTTCTTTTCACAGAGCAGTTAGGAAACACTCTGTTTGTGAAGCCTGCCAGTGGATATTCGGACCTCTTTGAGGCCTTCGTTGGAAACGGGATTTCTTCATATTATGCTAGACAGAAGATTTCTCAGTAACTTCTTTGTGTTGTGTGTATGCAACTCACAGAGTTCAACCTTCCTTTAGACAGAGCAGATTTGAAACACTCTTTTTGTGGAATTTGCAAGTGGAGATTTCAAGCGCTTCGATGCCAATGGTAGAAAAGGAAATATCTTCGTATAAAAACAAGACAAACTCGTTCCCAGACACTGCGTAGTGATGTGTGTGTTTAACTCACAGAGTTTCACCTTTCTTTTCATACAGCATTCTGGAAACCCTCTGTTTGTAAAGTCTGCAAGTGGATATTTGGACCTCTTAGATGCCTTCGTTGGAAACGGGATTTCTTCATATAATGCTAGAGGGAAGAATTCTTAGTAACTTCTTTGTGTTGTGTGTATTCAACTGACAGAGTTGAACCTTCCTTTAGACAGAGCAGATTTGAAAGTCTCTTTTTGTGGAATTTGCAAGTGGAGATTTCAAGCGCTTTGAGGCCAAAAGCAGAAAAGGAAATATTTTCCTATAAAAACTAGACAGAATCATTCTCAGAAACTGCTCTGTGATGTGTGCGTTCAACTCACAGAGTTTAACTTTCTTTTCATTCAGCAGTTTGGAAACACTGTTTGGAAAGTCTGCACGTGGATATTTTGACCTCTTTGAGGCCTTCGTTGGAAACGGGTTTTTTTCATGTAAGGCTAGACAGAAGAAATCTCAGTAACTTCCTTGTGTTGTGTGTATTCAACTGACAGAGTTGAACCTTCCTTTAGACAGAGCAGATTCGAAACGCTCTTTTTCTGCAATTTGCAAGTGGAGACTTCAAGCGCTTTGAGGCCAAAGGCAGAAAAGGAAATATCTTCGTATAAAAACCCGACAGAATCATTCTCAGAAACTGCTCTGTGATGTGTGCGTTCAACTCACAGATTTTAACTTTTCTTTTCATTCAGCAGTTTGGAAACACTCTGTTTGTAAAGTCTGCAAGTGGATATCTTGGCCTCTTAGAGGCCTTCGTTGGAAACGCGTTTTTTCATGTAAGGTTAGACAGAGGAATTCCCAGTAACTTCCTTGTGTTGTGTGCATTCAACTCACAGAGTTGAATGATTCTTTACACAGAGCAGATTTGAGACACACTTTTGGTGGAATTTGTAAGTGGAGAATTCAGCCGCTTTGAGGTCAACGGTAGAAAAGGAAATATCTTCGTATAAAAACTAGAAAGAATGATTCTCAGAAACTGTTTTGTGATGTGTGCGTTCAACTCACAGAGTTTAACCTTTCTTTTCAAAGAGCAGTTAGGAAACACTCTGTTTGTAAAGTCTGCAAGTGGATATTCAGACCTCTTTGAAGCCTTCGTTGGAAACGGGATTTCATCATATTATGCTAGACAGATGAATTCTCAGTAACTTCCTTGTGTTGTGTGTATTCAACTCACAGAGTTGAACGATCCTTTACACAGAGCAGATTTGAAACACTTTTTCTGGAATTTGCAAGTGGAGATTTCAGCCGCTTTGAGGTCAATGGTAGAAAAGGAAATATCTTCGTATAAAAACTGGACAGAATGATTCTCAGAAACTCCTTTGTGATGTGTGCGTTCAACTCACAGAGTTTAACCTTTCTTTTCACAGAGCAGTTAGGAAACACTCTGTTTGTGAAGCCTGCCAGTGGATATTCGGACCTCTTTGAGGCCTTCGTTGGAAACGGGATTTCTTCATATTTTGCAAGACAGAAGATTTCTCAGTAACTTCTTTGTGTTGTGTGTATGCAACTCACAGAGTTCAACCTTCCTTTAGACAGAGCAGATTTGAAACACTCTTTTTGTGGAATTTGCAAGTGGAGATTTCAAGCGCTTCGATGCCAATGGTAGAAAAGGAAATATCTTCGTATAAAAACAAGACAAACTCGTTCCCAGACACTGCGTAGTGATGTGTGTGTTTAACTCACAGAGTTTCACCTTTCTTTTCATACAGCATTCTGGAAACCCTGTGTTTGTAAAGTCTGCAAGTGGATATTTGGACCTCTTAGATGCCTTCGTTGGAAACGGGATTTCTTCATATAATGCTAGAGGGAAGAATTCTTAGTAACTTCTTTGTGTTGTGTGTATTCAACTGACAGAGTTGAACCTTCCTTTAGACAGAGCAGATTTGAAAGTCTCTTTTTGTGGAATTTGCAAGTGGAGATTTCAAGCGCTTTGAGGCCAAAAGCAGAAAAGGAAATATTTTCCTATAAAAACTAGACAGAATCATTCTCAGAAACTGCTCTGTGATGTGTGCGTTCAACTCACAGAGTTTAACTTTTCTTTTCATTCAGCAGTTTGGAAACACTCTGTTTGGAAAGTCTGCACGTGGATATTTTGACCTCTTTGAGGCCTTCGTTGGAAACGGGTTTTTATCATGTAAGGCTAGACAGAAGAAATCTCAGTAAATTCCCTTGTGTTGTGTGTATTCAACTGACAGAGTTGAACCTTCCTTTAGACAGAGCAGATTCGAAACACTCTTTTTCTGCAATTTGCAAGTGGAGACTTCAAGCGCTTTGAGGCCAAAGGCAGAAAAGGAAATATCTTCGTATAAAAACCCGACAGAATCATTCTCAGAAACTGCTCTGTGATGTGTGCGTTCAACTCACAGAGTTTAACTTTTCTTTTCATTCAGCAGTTTGGAAACACTCTGTTTGTAAAGTCTGCAAGTGGATATCTTGGCCTCTTAGAGGCCTTCGTTGGAAGCGGGTTTTTTCATGTAAGGATAGACAGAGGAATTCCCAGTAACTTCCTTGTGTTTTGTGCATTCAACTCACAGAGTTGAATGATTCTTTACACAGAGCAGATTTGAGACACTCTTTTGGTGGAATTTGTAAGTGGAGAATTCAGCCGCTTTGAGGTCAACGGTAGAAAAGGAAATATCTTCGTATAAAAACTAGACAGAATGATTCTCAGAAACTGTTTTTTGATGTGTGCGTTCAACTCACAGAGTTTAACCTTTCTTTTCAAAGAGCAGTTAGGAAACACTCTGTTTGTAAAGTCTGCAAGTGGATATTCAGACCTCTTTGAGGCCTTCATTGGAAACGGGATTTCTTCATATTATGCTAGACAGATGAATTCTCAGTAACTTCCTTGTGTTGTGTGTATTCAACTCACAGAGTTGAACGATTCTTTACACAGAGCAGATTTGAAACACTGTTTTTCTGGAATTTGCAAGTGGAGATTTCAGCCGCTTTGAGGTCAATGGTAGAAAAGGAAATATCTTCGTATAAAAACTAGACAGAATGATTCTCAGAAACTCCTTTGTGATGTGTGCGTTCAACTCACAGAGTTTAACCTTTCTTTTCACAGAGCAGTTAGGAAACACTCTGTTTGTGAAGCCTGCCAGTGGATATTCGGACCTCTTTGAGGCCTTCGTTGGAAACGGGATTTCTTCATATTATGCTAGACAGAAGATTTCTCAGTAACTTCTTTGTGTTGTGTGTATGCAACTCACAGAGTTCAACCTTCCTTTAGACAGAGCAGATTTGAAACACTCTTTTTGTGGAATTTGCAAGTGGAGATTTCAAGCGCTTCGATGCCAATGGTAGAAAAGGAAATATCTTCGTATAAAAACAAGACAAACTCGTTCCCAGACACTGCGTAGTGATGTGTGTGTTTAACTCACAGAGTTTAACCTTTCTTTTCATACAGCATTCTGGAAACCCTGTGTTTGTAAAGTCTGCAAGTGGATATTTGGACCTCTTAGATGCCTTCGTTGGAAACGGGATTTCTTCATATAATGCTAGAGGGAAGAATTCTTAGTAACTTCTTTGTGTTGTGTGTATTCAACTGACAGAGTTGAACCTTCCTTTAGACAGAGCAGATTTGAAAGTCTCTTTTTGTGGAATTTGCAAGTGGAGATTTCAAGCGCTTTGAGGCCAAAAGCAGAAAAGGAAATATTTTCCTATAAAAACTAGACAGAATCTTTCTCAGAAACTGCTCTGGGATGTGTGTGTTCAACTCACAGAGTTTAACTTTTCTTTTCATTCAGCAGTTTGGAAACACTCTGTTTGGAAAGTCTGCACGTGGATATTTTGACCTCTTTGAGGCCTTCGTTGGAAACGGGTTTTTTTCATGTAAGGCTAGACAGAAGAAATCTCAGTAACTTTCCTTGTGTTGTGTGTATTCAACTGACAGAGTTGAACCTTCTTTTAGACAGAGCAGATTCGAAACACTCTTTTTCTGCAATTTGCAAGTGGAGACTTCAAGCGCTTTGAGGCCAAAGGCAGAAAAGGAAATATCTTCGTATAAAAACCCGACAGAATCATTCTCAGAAACTGCTCTGTGATGTGTGCGTTCAACTCACAGAGTTTAACTTTTCTTTTCATTCAGCAGTTTGGAAACACTCTGTTTGAAAAGTCTGCAAGTGGATATCTTGGCCTCTTAGAGGCCTTCGTTGGAAACGGGTTTTTTCATGTAAGGTTAGACAGAGGAATTCCCAGTAACTTCCTTGTGTTGTGTGCATTCAACTCACAGAGTTGAATGATTCTTTACACAGAGCAGATTTGAGACACTCTTTTGGTGGAATTTGTAAGTGGAGAATTCAGCCGCTTTGAGGTCAACGGTAGAAAAGGAAATATCTTCGTATAAAAACTAGACAGAATGATTCTCAGAAACTGTTTTGTGATGTGTGCGTTCAACTCACAGAGTTTAACCTTTCTTTTCAGAGAGCAGTTAGGAAACACTCTGTTTGTAAAGTCTGCAAGTGGATATTCAGACCTCTTTGAGGCCTTCGTTGGAAACGGGATTTCTTCATATTATGCTAGACAGATGAATTCTCAGTATCTTCCTTGTGTTGTGTGTATTCAACTCACAGAGTTTAACGATCCTTTACACAGAGCAGATTTGAAACACTGTTTTTCTGGAATTTGCAAGTGGAGATTTCAGCCGCTTTGAGGTCAATGGTAGAAAAAGAAATATCTTCGTATAAAAACTAGACAGAATGATTCTCAGAAACTCCTTTGTGATGTGTGCGTTCAACTCACAGAGTTTAACCTTTCTTTTCACAGAGCAGTTAGGAAACACTCTGTTTGTGAAGCCTGCCAGTGGATATTCGGACCTCTTTGAGGCCTTCGTTGGAAACGGGATTTCTTCATATTATGCTAGACAGAAGATTTCTCAGTAACTTCTTTGTGTTGTGTGTATGCACCTCACAGAGTTCAACCTTCCTTTAGACAGAGCAGATTTGAAACACTCTTTTTGTGGAATTTGCAAGTGGAGATTTCAAGCGCTTCGATGCCAATGGTAGAAAAGGAAATATCTTCGTATAAAAACAAGACAAACTCGTTCCCAGACACTGCGTAGTGATGTGTGTGTTTAACTCACAGAGTTTCACCTTTCTTTTCATACAGCATTCTGGAAACCCTCTGTTTGTAAAGTCTGCAAGTGGATATTTGGACCTCTTAGATGCCTTCGTTGGAAACGGGATTTCTTCATATAATGCTAGAGGGAAGAATTCTTAGTAACTTCTTTGTGTTGTGTGTATTCAACTGACAGAGTTGAACCTTCCTTTAGACAGAGCAGATTTGAAAGTCTCTTTTTGTGGAATTTGCAAGTGGAGATTTCAAGCGCTTTGAGGCCAAAAGCAGAAAAGGAAATATTTTCCTATAAAAACTAGACAGAATCTTTCTCAGAAACTGCTCTGGGATGTGTGCGTTCAACTCACAGGGTTTAACTTTTCTTTTCATTCAGCAGTTTGGAAACACTCTGTTTGGAAAGTCTGCACGTGGATATTTTGACCTCTTTGAGGCCTTCGTTGGAAACGGGTTTTTTTCATGTAAGGCTAGACAGAAGAAATCTCAGTAACTTCCTTGTGTTGTGTGTATTCAACTGACAGAGTTGAACCTTCCTTTAGACAGAGCAGATTCGAAACACTCTTTTTCTGCAATTTGCAAGTGGAGACTTCAAGCGCTTTGAGGCCAAAGGCAGAAAAGGAAATATCTTCGTATAAAAACCCGACAGAATCATTCTCAGAAACTGCTCTGTGATGTGTGCGTTCAACTCACAGAGTTTAACTTTTCTTTTCATTCAGCAGTTTGGAAACACTCTGTTTGTAAAGTCTGCAAGTGGATATCTTGGCCTCTTAGAGGCCTTCGTTGGAAACGGGTTTTTTCATGTAAGGTTAGACAGACGAATTCCCAGTAACTTCCTTGTGTTGTGTGCATTCAACTCACAGAGTTGAATGATTCTTTACACAGAGCAGATTTGAGACACTCTTTTGGTGGAATTTGTAAGTGGAGAATTCAGCTGCTTTGAGGTCAACGGTAGAAAAGGAAATATCTTCGTATAGAAACTAGACAGAATGATTCTCAGAAACTGTTTTGTGATGTGTGCTTTCAACTCACAGAGTTTAACCTTTCTTTTCAAAGAGCAGTTAGGAAACACTCTGTTTGTAAAGTCTGCAAGTGGATATTCAGACCTCTTTGAGGCCTTCGTTGGAAACGGGATTTCTTCATATTATGCTAGACAGATGAATTCTCAGTAACTTCCTTGTGTTGTGTGTATTCAACTCACAGAGTTGAACGATCCTTTACACAGAGCAGATTTGAAACACTGTTTTTCTGGAATTTGCAAGTGGAGATGTCAGCCGCTTTGAGGTCAATGGTAGAAAAGGAAATATCTTCGTATAAAAACTAGACAGAATGATTCTCAGAAACTCCTTTGTGATGTGTGCGTTCAACTCACAGAGTTTAACCTTTCTTTTCACAGAGCAGTTAGGAAACACTCTGTTTGTGAAGCCTGCCAGTGGATATTCGGACCTCTTTGAGGCCTTCGTTGGAAACGGGATTTCTTCATATTATGCTAGACAGATTTCTCAGTAACCATTTTGGGTTGTGTATATGCAACTCACAGAGTTCAACTTTCCTTTAGAGAGAGCAGATTTGAAACACTCTTTTTGTGGAATTTGCAAGTGGAGATTTCAAGCGCTTTGATGCCAATGGTAGAAAAGGAAATATCTTCGTATAAAAACAAGACAAACTCGTTCCCAGAAACTGCGTAGTGATGTGTGTGTTTAACTCACAGAGTTTAACCTTTCTCTTTATACAGAATTCTGGAAACCCTCTGTTTGTAAAGTCTGCAAGTGGATATTTGGACCTCTTAGATGCCTTCGTTGGAAACGGGATTTCTTCATATAATGCTAGAGGGAAGAATTCTTAGTAACTTCTTTGTGTTGTGTGTATTCAACTGACAGAGTTGAACCTTCCTTTAGACAGACCAGATTTGAAAGTCTCTTTTTGTGGAATTTGCAAGTGGAGATTTCAAGCGCTTTGAGGCCAAATGCAGAAAAGGAAATATTTTCCTATAAAAACTAGACAGAATCATTCTCAGAAACTGCTCTGTGATGTGTGCGTTCAACTCACAGAGTTTAACTTTTCTTTTCATTCAGCAGTTTGGAAACACTCTGTTTGTAAAGTCTGCCATGGATAATTTGACCTCTTTGAGGCCTTCGTTGGAAACGGGTTTTTTTCATGTAAGGCTAGACAGAGGAAATCTCTGTAACTTCCTTGTGTTGTGTGTATTCAACTGACAGGGTTGAACCTTCCTTTAGACAGAGCAGATTCCAAACACTCTTTTTCTGCAATTTGCAAGTGGAGACTTCAAGCGCTTTGAGGCCAAAGGCAGAAAAGGAAATATCTTCGTATAAAAACCCGACAGAATCATTCTCAGAAACTGCTCTGTGATGTGTGCGTTCAACTCACAAAGTTTAACTTTTCTTTTCATTCAGCAGTTTGGAAACACTCTGTTTGTAAAGTCTGCAAGTGGATATATTGGCCTCTTAGAGGCCTTCGTTGGAAACGGGTTTTTTTCATGTAAGGTTAGACAAAGGAATTCCCAGTAACTTCCTTGTGTTGTGTGCATTCAACCCACAGAGTTGAATGATTCTTTACACAGAGCAGATTTGAGACACTCTTTTGGTGGAATTTGTAAGTGGAGAATTCAGCCGCTTTGAGGTCAATGGTAGAAAAGGAAATATCTTCGTATAAAAACTAGACAGAATGATTCTCAGAAACTGTTTTGTGATGTGTGCGTTCAACTCACAGAGTTTAACCTTTCTTTTCACAGAGCAGTTAGGAAACACTCTGTTTGTGAAGTCTGCCAGTGGATATTCGGACCTCTTTGAGGCCTTCGTTGGAAACGGGATTTCTTCATATTATGCTAGACAGATTTCTCAGTAACTACTTTGTGTTGTGTGTATGCAACTCACAGAGTTCATCCTGCCTTTAGACAGAGCAGATTTGAAACACTCTTTTTGTGGAATTTGCAAGTGGAGATTTCAAGCGCTTCGACGCCAATGGTCGAAAAGGGAATATCTTCGTATAAAAACAAGACAAAATCATTCCCAGAAACTGCGTAGTGATGTGTGTGTTTAACTCACAGACTTTAACCTTTCTTTTCATACAGAATGCTGGAAACCCTCTGTTTGTAAAGTCTGCAAGTGTATATTTGGATCTCTTAGATGCCTTCGTTGGAAACGGGATTTCATCATATAATGGTAGAGGGAAGAATTCTTAGTAACTTCTTTGTGTTGTGTGTATTCAACTGACAGAGTTGAACCTTCCTTTAGACAGAGAAGATTTGAAAGTCTCTTTTTGTGGAATTTGCAAGTGGAGATTTCAAGCGCTTTGAGGCCAAAAGCAGAAAAGGAAATATTTTCCTATAAAAACTAGACAGAATCATTCTCAGAAACTGCTCTGTGATGTGTGTGTTCAACTCACAGAGTTTAACTTTCTTTTCATTCAGCAGTTTGGAAACACTCTGTTTGGAAAGTCTGCACGTGGATATTTTGACCTCTTTGAGGCCTTCGTTGGAAACGGGTTTTTTTCATGTAAGGCTAGACAGAAGAAATCTCAGTAACTTTCCTTGTGTTGTGTGTATTCAACTGACAGAGTTGAACCTTCTTTTAGACAGAGCAGATTCGAAACACTCTTTTTCTGCAATTTGCAAGTGGAGACTTCAAGCGCTTTGAGGCCAAAGGCAGAAAAGGAAATATCTTCGTATAAAAACCCGACAGAATCATTCTCAGAAACTGCTCTGTGATGTGTGCGTTCAACTCACAGAGTTTAACTTTTCTTTTCATTCAGCAGTTTGGAAACACTCTGTTTGTAAAGTCTGCAAGTGGATATCTTGGCCTCTTAGAGGCCTTCGTTGGAAACGGGTTTTTTCATGTAAGGATAGACAGAGGAATTCCCAGTAACTTCCTTGTGTTGTGTGCATTCAACTCACAGAGTTGAATGATTCTTTACACAGAGCAGATTTGAGACACTCTTTTGGTGGAATTTGTTAGTGGAGAATTCAGCCGCTTTGAGGTCAACGGTAGAAAAGGAAATATCTTCGTATAAAAACTAGACAGAATGATTCTCAGAAACTGTTTTGTGATGTGTGCGTTCAACTCACAGAGTTTAACCTTTCTTTTCAAAGAGCAGTTAGGAAACACTCTGTTTGTAAAGTCTGCAAGTGGATATTCAGACCTCTTTGAGGCCTTCGTTGGAAACGGGATTTCTTCATATTATGCTAGACAGATGAATTCTCAGTAACTTCCTTGTGTTGTGTGTATTCAACTCACAGAGTTGAACGATCCTTTACACAGAGCAGATTTGAAACACTGTTTTTCTGGAATTTGCAAGTGGAGATTTCAGCCGCTTTGAGGTCAATGGTAGAAAAGGAAATATCTTCGTATAAAAACTAGACAGAATGATTCTCAGAAACTCCTTTGTGATGTGTGCGTTCAACTCACAGAGTTTAACCTTTCTTTTCACAGAGCAGTTAGGAAACACTCTGTTTGTGAAGCCTGCCAGTGGATATTCGGACCTCTTTGAGGCCTTCGTTGGAAACGGGATTTCTTCATATTATGCTAGACAGAAGATTTCTCAGTAACTTCTTTGTGTTGTGTGTATGCAACTCACAGAGTTCAACCTTCCTTTAGACAGAGCAGATTTGAAACACTCTTTTTGTGGAATTTGCAAGTGGAAATTTCAAGCGCATCGATGCCAATGGTAGAAAAGGAAAATATCTTCGTATAAAAACAAGACAAAACTCGTTCCCAGCCACTGCGTAGTGATGTGTGTGTTTAACTCACAGAGTTTAACCTTTCTTTTCATACAGCATTCTGGAAACCCTGTGTTTGTAAAGTCTGCAAGTGGATATTTGGACCTTTTAGATGCCTTCGTCGGAAACGGGATTTCTTCATATAATGCTAGAGGGAAGAATTCTTAGTAACTTCTTTGTGTTGTGTGTATTCAACTGACAGAGTTGAACCTTCCTTTAGACAGAGCAGATTTGAAAGTCTCTTTTTGTGGAATTTGCAAGTGGAGATTTCAAGCGCTTTGAGGCCAAAAGCAGAAAAGGAAATATTTTCCTATAAAAACTCGACAGAATCTTTCTCAGAAACTGCTCTGGGATGTGTGCGTTCAACTCACAGAGTTTAACTTTTCTTTTCATTCAGCAGTTTGGAAACACTCTGTTTGGAAAGTCTGCACGTGGATATTTTGACCTCTTTGAGGCCTTCGTTGGAAACGGGTTTTTTTCATGTAAGGCTAGACAGAAGAAATCTCAGTAACTTCCTTGTGTTGTGTGTATTCAACTGACAGAGTTGAACCTTCCTTTAGACAGAGCAGATTCGAAACACTCTTTTTCTGCAATTTGCAAGTGGAGACTTCAAGCGCTTTGAGGCCAAAGGCAGAAAAGGAAATATCTTCGTATAAAAACCCGACAGAATCATTCTCAGAAACTGCTCTGTGATGTGTGCGTTCAACTCACAGAGTTTAACTTTTCTTTTCATTCAGCAGTTTGGAAACACTCTGTTTGTAAAGTCTGCAAGTGGATATCTTGGCCTCTTAGAGGCCTTCGTTGGAAACGGGTTTTTTCATGTAAGGATACACACAGGAATTCCCAGTAACTTCCTTGTGTTGTGTGCATTCAACTCACAGAGTTGAATGATTCTTTACACAGAGCAGATTTGAGACACTCTTTTGGTGGAATTTGTAAGTGGAGAATTCAGCCGCTTTGAGGTCAACGGTAGAAAAGGAAATATCTTCGTATAAAAACTAGACAGAATGATTCTCAGAAACTGTTTTGTGATGTGTGCGTTCAACTCACAGAGTTTAACCTTTCTTTTCAAAGAGCAGTTAGGAAACACTCTGTTTGTAAAGTCTGCAAGTGGATATTCAGACCTCTTTGAGGCCTTCGTTGGAAACGGGATTTCTTCATATTATGCTAGACAGATGAATTCTCAGTAACTTCCTTGTGTTGTGTGTATTCAACTCACAGAGTTGAACGATCCTTTACACAGAGCAGATTTGAAACACTGTTTTTCTGGAATTTGCAAGTGGAGATTTCAGCCGCTTTGAGGTCAATGGTAGAAAAGGAAATATCTTCGTATAAAAACTAGACAGAATGATTCTCAGAAACTCCTTTGTGATGTGTGCGTTCAACTCACAGAGTTTAACCTTTCTTTTCACAGAGCAGTTAGGAAACACTCTGTTTGTGAAGCCTGCCAGTGGATATTCGGACCTCTTTGAGGCCTTCGTTGGAAACGGGATTTCTTCATATTATGCTAGACAGAAGATTTCTCAGTAACTTCTTTGTGTTGTGTGTATGCAACTCACAGAGTTCAACCTTCCTTTAGACAGAGCAGATTTGAAACACTCTTTTTGTGGAATTTGCAAGTGGAGATTTCAAGCGCTTCGATGCCAATGGTAGAAAAGGAAATATCTTCGTATAAAAACAAGACAAACTCGTTCCCAGACACTGCGTAGTGATGTGTGTGTTTAACTCACAGAGTTTAACCTTTCTTTTCATACAGCATTCTGGAAACCCTGTGTTTGTAAAGTCTGCAAGTGGATATTTGGACCTCTTAGATGCCTTCGTTGGAAACGGGATTTCTTCATATAATGCTAGAGGGAAGAATTCTTAGTAACTTCTTTGTGTTGTGTGTATTCAACTGACAGAGTTGAACCTTCCTTTAGACAGAGCAGATTTGAAAGTCTCTTTTTGTGGAATTTGCAAGTGGAGATTTCAAGCGCTTTGAGGCCAAAAGCAGAAAAGGAAATATTTTCCTATAAAAACTCGACAGAATCTTTCTCAGAAACTGCTCTGGGATGTGTGCGTTCAACTCACAGAGTTTAACTTTTCTTTTCATTCAGCAGTTTGGAAACACTCTGTTTGGAAAGTCTGCACGTGGATATTTTGACCTCTTTGAGGCCTTCGTTGGAAACGGGTTTTTTTCATGTAAGGCTAGACAGAAGAAATCTCAGTAACTTCCTTGTGTTGTGTGTATTCAACTGACAGAGTTGAACCTTCCTCTAGACAGAGCAGATTCGAAACACTCTTTTTCTGCAATTTGCAAGTGGAGACTTCAAGCGCTTTGAGGCCAAAGGCAGAAAAGGAAATATCTTCGTATAAAAACCCGACAGAATCATTCTCAGAAACTGCTCTGTGATGTGTGCGTTCAACTCACAGAGTTTAACTTTTCTTTTCATTCAGCAGTTTGGAAACACTCTGTTTGTAAAGTCTGCAAGTGGATATCTTGGCCTCTTAGAGGCCTTCGTTGGAAACGGGTTTTTTCATGTAAGGTTAGACAGAGGAATTCCCAGTAACTTCCTTGTGTTGTGTGCATTCAACTCACAGAGTTGAATGATTCTTTACACAGAGCAGATTTGAGACACTCTTTTGGTGGAATTTGTAAGTGGAGAATTCAGCCGCTTTGAGGTCAACGGTAGAAAAGGAAATATCTTTCGTATAAAAACTAGACAGAATGATTCTCAGAAACTGTTTTGTGATGTGTGCGTTCAACTCACAGAGTTTAACCTTTCTTTTCAAAGAGCAGTTAGGAAACACTCTGTTTGTAAAGTCTGCAAGTGGATATTCAGACCTCTTTGAGGCCTTCGTTGGAAACGGGATTTCTTCATATTATGCTAGACAGATGAATTCTCAGTAACTTCCTTGTGTTGTGTGTATTCAACTCACAGAGTTGAACGATCCTTTACACAGAGCAGATTTGAAACACTGTTTTTCTGGAATTTGCAAGTGGAGATTTCAGCCGCTTTGAGGTCAATGGTAGAAAAGGAAATATCTTCGTATAAAAACTAGACAGAATGATTCTCAGAAACTCCTTTGTGATGTGTGCGTTCAACTCACAGAGTTTAACCTTTCTTTTCACAGAGCAGTTAGGAAACACTCTGTTTGTGAAGCCTGCCAGTGGATATTCGGACCTCTTTGAGGCCTTCGTTGGAAACGGGATTTCTTCATATTATGCTAGACAGAAGATTTCTCAGTAACTTCTTTGTGTTGTGTGTATGCAACTCACAGAGTTCAACCTTCCTTTAGACAGAGCAGATTTGAAACACTCTTTTTGTGGAATTTGCAAGTGGAGATTTCAAACGCTTCGATGCCAATGGTAGAAAAGGAAATATCTTCGTATAAAAACAAGACAAACTCGTTCCCAGACACTGCGTAGTGATGTGTGTGTTTAACTCACAGAGTTTCACCTTTCTTTTCATACAGCATTCTGGAAACCCTCTGTTTGTAAAGTCTGCAAGTGGATATTTGGACCTCTTAGATGCCTTCGTTGGAAATGGGATTTCTTCATATAATGCTAGAGGGAAGATTTCTCAGTAACTTCTTTGTGTTGTGTGTATGCAACTCACAGAGTTCAACCTTCCTTTAGACAGAGCAGATTTGAAACACTCTTTTTGTGGAATTTGCAAGTGGAGATTTCAAGCGCTTTGAGGCCAAAAGCAGAAAAGGAAATATTTTCCTATAAAAACTAGACAGAATCTTTCTCAGAAACTGCTCTGTGATGTGTGCGTTCAACTCACAGAGTTTAACTTTTCTTTTCATTCAGCAGTTTGGAAACACTCTGTTTGTAAAGTCTGCAAGTGGATATCTTGGCCTCTTAGAGGCCTTCGTTGGAAACGGGTTTTTTCATGTAAGGATAGACAGAGGAATTCCCAGTAACTTCCTTGTGTTGTGTGCATTCAACTCACAGAGTTGAATGATTCTTTACACAGAGCAGATTTGAGACACTCTTTTGGTGGAATTTGTAAATGGAGAATTCAGCCGCTTTGAGGTCAACGGTAGAAAAGGAAATATCTTCGTATAAAAACTATACAGAATGATTCTCAGAAACTGTTTTGTGATGTGTGCTTTCAACTCACAGAGTTTAACCTTTCTTTTCAAAGAGCAGTTAGGAAACACTCTGTTTGTAAAGTCTGCAAGTGGATATTCAGACCTCTTTGAGGCCTTCGTTGGAAACGGGATTTCTTCATATTATGCTAGACAGATGAATTCTCAGTAACTTCCTTGTGTTGTGTGTATTCAACTCACAGAGTTGAACGATCCTTTACACAGAGCAGATTTGAAACACTGTTTTTCTGGAATTTGCAAGTGGAGATTTCAGCCGCTTTGAGGTCAATGGTAGAAAAGGAAATATCTTCGTATAAAAACTGGACAGAATGATTCTCAGAAACTCCTTTGTGATGTGTGCGTTCAACTCACAGAGTTTAACCTTTCTTTTCACAGAGCAGTTAGGAAACACTCTGTTTGTGAAGCCTGCCAGTGGATATTCGGACCTCTTTGAGGCCTTCGTTGGAAACGGGATTTCTTCATATTTTGCTAGACAGAAGATTTCTCAGTAACTTCTTTGTGTTGTGTGTATGCAACTCACAGAGTTCAACCTTCCTTTAGACAGAGCAGATTTGAAACACTCTTTTTGTGGAATTTGCAAGTGGAGATTTCAAGCGCTTCGATGCCAATGGTAGAAAAGGAAATATCTTCGTATAAAAACAAGACAAACTCGTTCCCAGACACTGCGTAGTGATGTGTGTGTTTAACTCACAGAGTTTAACCTTTCTTTTCATACAGCATTCTGGAAACCCTCTGTTTGTAAAGTCTGCAAGTCGATATTTGGACCTCTTAGATGCCTTCTTTGGAAACGGGATTTCTTCATATAATGCTAGAGGGAAGAATTCTTAGTAACTTCTTTGTGTTGTGTGTATTCAACTGACAGAGTTGAACCTTCCTTTAGACAGAGCAGATTTGAAAGTCTCTTTTTGTGGAATTTGCAAGTGGAGATTTCAAGCGCTTTGAGGCCAAAAGCAGAAAAGGAAATATTTTCCTATAAAAACTAGACAGAATCTTTCTCAGAAACTGCTCTGGGATGTGTGCGTTCAACTCACAGAGTTTAACTTTTCTTTCCATTCAGCAGTTTGGAAACACTCTGTTTGGAAAGTCTGCACGTGGATATTTTGACCTCTTTGAGGCCTTCGTTGGAAACGGGTTTTTTTCTTGTAAGGCTAGACAGAAGAAATCTCAGTAACTTCCTTGTGTTGTGTGTATTCAACTGACAGAGTTGAACCTTCCTTTAGACAGAGCAGATTCGAAACACTCTTTTTCTGCAATTTGCAAGTGGAGACTTCAAGCGCTTTGAGGCCAAAGGCAGAAAAGGAAATATCTTCGTATAAAAACCCGACAGAATCATTCTCAGAAACTGCTCTGTGATGTGTGCGTTCAACTCACAGAGTTTAACTTTTCTTTTCATTCAGCAGTTTGGAAACACTCTGTTTGTAAAGTCTGCAAGTGGATATCTTGGCCTCTTAGAGGCCTTCGTTGGAAACGGGTTTTTTCATGTAAGGTTAGACAGAGGAATTCCCAGTAACTTCCTTGTGTTGTGTGCATTCAACTCACAGAGTTGAATGATTCTTTACACAGAGCAGATTTGAGACACTCTTTTGGTGGAATTTGTAAGTGGAGAATTCAGCCGCTTTGAGGTCAACGGTAGAAAAGGAAATATCTTCGTATAAAAACTAGACAGAATGATTCTCAGAAACTGTTTTGTGATGTGTGCGTTCAACTCACAGAGTTTAACCTTTCTTTTCAAAGAGCAGTTAGGAAACACTCTGTTTGTAAAGTCTGCAAGTGGATATTCAGACCTCTTTGAGGCCTTCGTTGGAAACGGGATTTCTTCATATTATGCTAGACAGATGAATTCTCAGTAACTTCCTTGTGTTGTGTGTATTCAACTCACAGAGTTGAACGATCCTTTACACAGAGCAGATTTGAAACACTGTTTTTCTGGAATTTGCAAGTGGAGATTTCAGCCGCTTTGAGGTCAATGGTAGAAAAGGAAATATCTTCGTATAAAAACTAGACAGAATGATTCTCAGAAACTCCTTTGTGATGTGTGCGTTCAACTCACAGAGTTTAACCTTTCTTTTCACAGAGCAGTTAGGAAACACTCTGTTTGTGAAGCCTGCCAGTGGATATTCGGACCTCTTTGAGGCCTTCGTTGGAAACGGGATTTCTTCATATTATGCTAGACAGAAGATTTCTCAGTAACTTCTTTGTGTTGTGTGTATGCAACTCACAGAGTTCAACCTTCCTTTAGACAGAGCAGATTTGAAACACTCTTTTTGTGGAATTTGCAAGTGGAGATTTCAAGCGCTTCGATGCCAATGGTAGAAAAGGAAATATCTTCGTATAAAAACAAGACAAAACTCGTTCCCAGACACTGCGTAGTGATGTGTGTGTTTAACTCACAGAGTTTAACCTTTCTTTTCATACAGCATTCTGGAAACCCTGTGTTTGTAAAGTCTGCAAGTGGATATTTGGACCTTTTAGATGCCTTCGTTGGAAACGGGATTTCTTCATATAATGCTAGAGGGAAGAATTCTTAGTAACTTCTTTGTGTTGTGTGTATTCAACTGACAGAGTTGAACCTTCCTTTAGACAGAGCAGATTTGAAAGTCTCTTTTTGTGGAATTTGCAAGTGGAGATTTCAAGCGCTTTGAGGCCAAAAGCAGAAAAGGAAATATTTTCCTATAAAAACTCGACAGAATCTTTCTCAGAAACTGCTCTGGGATGTGTGCGTTCAACTCACAGAGTTTAACTTTTCTTTTCATTCAGCAGTTTGGAAACACTCTGTTTGGAAAGTCTGCACGTGGATATTTTGACCTCTTTGAGGCCTTCGTTGGAAACGGGTTTTTTTCATGTAAGGCTAGACAGAGGAAATCTCAGTAACTTCCTTGTGTTGTGTGTATTCAACTGACAGGGTTGAACCTTCCTTTAGACAGAGCAGATTCCAAACACTCTTTTTCTGCAATTTGCAAGTGGAGACTTCAAGCGCTTTGAGGCGAAAGGCAGAAAAGGAAATATCTTCGTATAAAAACCCGACAGAATCATTCTCAAAACTGCTCTGTGATGTGTGCGTTCAACTCACAGAGTTTAACTTTTCATTCAGCAGTTTGGAAACACTCTGTTTGTAAAGTCTGCAAGTGGATATTTTGACCTCTTTGAGGCCATCGTTGGAAACGGGATTTTTCATGTAAGGCTAGACAGAAGAAATCTCAGTAACTTCCTTGTGTTGTGGGTATTCAACTGACAGAGTTGAACCTTCCTTTAGACAGAGCAGATTCGAAACACTCTTTTTGTGCAATTTGCAAGTGGAGACATCAAGCGCCTTGAGGTCAAAGGCAGAAAAGGAAATATCTTCGTATAAAAACCAGACAGAATCATTCTCAGAAACTGCTCTGGATGTGTGCGTTCAACTCACAGAGTTTAACTTTTCTTTTCATTCAGCAGTTTGGAAACACCCTGTTTGTATAGTCTGCAAGTGGATATATTGTCCTCTTAGAGGACTTCGTTGGAAACGGGTTTTTTTCATGTAAGGTTAGACAGAGGAATTCCCAGTAACTTCCTTGTGTTGTGTGCATTCAACTCACAGAGTTGAATGATTCTTTACACAGAGCAGATTTGAGACACTCTTTTGGTGGAATTTGTAAGTGGAGAATTCAGCCGCTTTGAGGTCAATGGTAGAAAAGGAAATATCTTCGTATAAAAACTAGACAGAATGATTCTCAGAAACTGTTTTGTGATGTGTGCGTTCAACTCACAGAGTTTAACCTTTCTTTTCAAAGAGCAGTTAGGAAACACTCTGTTTGTAAAGTCTGCAAGTGGATATTCAGACCTTTTTGAGGCCTTCGTTGGAAACGGGATTTCTTCATTATTCATGCTACGACAGATGAATTCTCAGTAACTTCCTTGTGTTGTGTGTATTCAACTCACAGAGTTGAACGATCCTTTACACAGAGCAGATTTGAAACACTGTTTTTCTGGAATTTGCAAGTGGAGATTTCAGCCGCTTTGAGGTCAATGGTAGAAAAGGAAATATCTTCGTATAAAAACTAGACAGAATGATTCTCAGAAACTCCTTTGTGATGTGTGCGTTCAACTCACAGAGTTTAACCTTTCTTTTCACAGAGCAGTTAGGAAACACTCTGTTTGTGAAGCCTGCCAGTGGATATTCGGACCTCTTTGAGGCCTTCGTTGGAAACGGGATTTCTTCATATTATGCTAGACAGAAGATTTCTCAGTAACTTCTTTGTGTTGTGTGTATGCAACTCACAGAGTTCAACCTTCCTTTAGACAGAGCAGATTTGAAACACTCTTTTTGTGGAATTTGCAAGTGGAGATTTCAAGCGCTTCGATGCCAATGGTAGAAAAGGAAATATCTTCGTATAAAAACAAGACAAACTCGTTCCCAGACACTGCGTAGTGATGTGTGTGTTTAACTCACAGAGTTTAACCTTTCTTTTCATACAGCATTCTGGAAACCCTGTGTTTGTAAAGTCTGCAAGTGGATATTTGGACCTCTTAGATGCCTTCGTTGGAAACGGGATTTCTTCATATAATGCTAGAGGGAAGAATTCTTAGTAACTTCTTTGTGTTGTGTGTATTCAACTGACAGAGTTGAACCTTCCTTTAGACAGAGCAGATTTGAAAGTCTCTTTTTGTGGAATTTGCAAGTGGAGATTTCAAGCGCTTTGAGGCCAAAAGCAGAAAAGGAAATATTTTCCTATAAAAACTCGACAGAATCTTTCTCAGAAACTGCTCTGGGATGTGTGCGTTCAACTCACAGAGTTTAACTTTTCTTTTCATTCAGCAGTTTGGAAACACTCTGTTTGGAAAGTCTGCACGTGGATATTTTGACCTCTTTGAGGCCTTCGTTGGAAACGGGTTTTTTTCATGTAAGGCTAGACAGAAGAAATCTCAGTAACTTCCTTGTGTTGTGTGTATTCAACTGACAGAGTTGAACCTTCCTTTAGACAGAGCAGATTCGAAACACTCTTTTTCTGCAATTTGCAAGTGGAGACTTCAAGCGCTTTGAGGCCAAAGGCAGAAAAGGAAATATCTTCGTATAAAAACCCGACAGAATCATTCTCAGAAACTGCTCTGTGATGTGTGCGTTCAACTCACAGAGTTTAACTTTTCTTTTCATTCAGCAGTTTGGAAACACTCTGTTTGTAAAGTCTGCAAGTGGATATCTTGGCCTCTTAGAGGCCTTCGTTGGAAACGGGTTTTTTCATGTAAGGTTAGACAGAGGAATTCCCAGTAACTTCCTTGTGTTGTGTGCATTCAACTCACAGAGTTGAATGATTCTTTACACAGAGCAGATTTGAGACACTCTTTGGGTGGAATTTGTAAGTGGAGAATTCAGCTGCTTTGAGGTCAACGGTAGAAAAGGAAATATCTTCGTATAAAAACTAGACAGAATGATTCTCAGAAACTGTTTTGTGATGTGTGCTTTCAACTCACAGAGTTTAACCTTTCTTTTCAAAGAGCAGTTAGGAAACACTCTGTTTGTAAAGTCTGCAAGTGGATATTCAGACCTCTTTGAGGCCTTCGTTGGAAACGGGATTTCTTCATATTATGCTAGACAGATGAATTCTCAGTAACTTCCTTGTGTTGTGTGTATTCAACTCACAGAGTTGAACGATCCTTTACACAGAGCAGATTTGAAACACTGTTTTTCTGGAATTTGCAAGTGGAGATTTCAGCCGCTTTGAGGTCAATGGTAGAAAAGGAAATATCTTCGTATAAAAACTAGACAGAATGATTCTCAGAAACTCCTTTGTGATGTGTGCGTTCAACTCACAGAGTTTAACCTTTCTTTTCACAGAGCAGTTAGGAAACACTCTGTTTGTGAAGCCTGCCAGTGGATATTCGGACCTCTTTGAGGCCTTCGTTGGAGACGGGATTTCTTCATATTATGCTAGACAGAAGATTTCTCAGTAACTTCTTTGTGTTGTGTGTATGCAACTCACAGAGTTCAACCTTCCTTTAGACAGAGCAGATTTGAAACACTCTTTTTGTGGAATTTGCAAGTGGAGATTTCAAGCGCTTCGATGCCAATGGTAGAAAAGGAAATATCTTCGTATAAAAACAAGACAAACTCGTTCCCAGACACTGCGTAGTGATGTGTGTGTTTAACTCACAGAGTTTAACCTTTCTTTTCATACAGCATTCTGGAAACCCTGTGTTTGTAAAGTCTGCAAGTGGATATTTGGACCTCTTAGATACCTTCGTTGGAAACGGGATTTCTTCATATAATGCTAGAGGGAAGAATTCTTAGTAACTTCTTTGTGTTGTGTGTATTCAACTGACAGAGTTGAACCTTCCTTTAGACAGAGCAGATTTGAAAGTCTCTTTTTGTGGAATTTGCAAGTGGAGATTTCAAGCGCTTTGAGGCCAAAAGCAGAAAAGGAAATATTTTCCTATAAAAACTAGAGAGAATCTTTCTCAGAAACTGCTCTGGGATGTGTGCGTTCAACTCACAGAGTTTAACTTTTCTTTTCATTCAGCAGTTTGGAAACACTCTGTTTGGAAAGTCTGCACGTGGATATTTTGACCTCTTTGAGGCCTTCGTTGGAAACGGGTTTTTTTCATGTAAGGCTAGACAGAAGAAATCTCAGTAACTTCCTTGTGTTGTGTGTATTCAACTGACAGAGTTGAACCTTCCTTTAGACAGAGCAGATTCGAAACACTCTTTTTCTGCAATTTGCATGTGGAGACTTCAAGCGCTTTGAGGCCAAAGGCAGAAAAGGAAATATTTTCGTATAAAAACCCGACAGAATCATTCTCAGAAACTGCTCTGTGATGTGTGCGTTCAACTCACAGAGTTTAACTTTTCTTTTCATTCAGCAGTTTGGAAACACTCTGTTTGTAAAGTCTGCAAGTGGATATCTTGGCCTCTTAGAGGCCTTCGTTGGAAACGGGTTTTTTCATGTAAGGTTAGACAGAGGAATTCCCAGTAACTTCCTTGTGTTGTGTGCATTCAACTCACAGAGTTGAATGATTCTTTACACAGAGCAGATTTGAGACACTCTTTTGGTGGAATTTGTAAGTGGAGAATTCAGCCGCTTTGAGGTCAACGGTAGAAAAGGAAATATCTTCGTATAAAAACTAGACAGAATGATTCTCAGAAACTGTTTTGTGATGTGTGCGTTCAACTCACAGAGTTTAACCTTTCTTTTCAAAGAGCAGTTAGGAAACACTCTGTTTGTAAAGTCTGCAAGTGGATATTCAGACCTCTTTGAGGCCTTCGTTGGAAACGGGATTTCTTCATATTATGCTAGACAGATGAATTCTCAGTAACTTCCTTGTGTTGTGTGTATTCAACTCACAGAGTTGAACGATCCTTTACACAGAGCAGATTTGAAACACTGTTTTTCTGGAATTTGCAAGTGGAGATTTCAGCCGCTTTGAGGTCAATGGTAGAAAAGGAAATATCTTCGTATAAAAACTAGACAGAATGATTCTCAGAAACTCCTTTGTGATGTGTGCGTTCAACTCACAGAGTTTAACCTTTCTTTTCATAGAGTAGTTAGGAAACACTCTGTTTGTGAAGTCTGCCAGTGGATATTCAGACCTCTTTGAGGCCTTCGTTGGAAATGGGGTTTCTTCATATTATGCTAGACAGAAGAATTCTCAATAACTTCCCTTGTGTTGTGTGCATTCAACTCACAGAGTTGAATGATCCTTTACACACAGCAGATTAGAAACACTCTTTTTGTGGAATTTGCAAGTGGAGATTTCAGCCGCTTTGAGGTCAATGGTAGAAAAGGAAATATCTTCGTATAAAAACTAGACAGAATGATTCTCAGAAACTCCTTTGTGATGTGTGCGTTCAACTCACAGAGTTTAACCTTTCTTTTCACAGAGCAGTTAGGAAACACTCTGTTTGTGAAGCCTGCCAGTGGATATTCGGACCTCTTTGAGGCCTTCGTTGGAAACGGGATTTCTTCATATTATGCTAGACAGAAGATTTCTCAGTAACTTCTTTGTGTTGTGTGTATGCAACTCACAGAGTTCAACCTTCCTTTAGACAGAGCAGATTTGAAACACTCTTTTTGTGGAATTTGCAAGTGGAGATTTCAAGCGCTTCGATGCCAATGGTAGAAAAGGAAATATCTTCGTATAAAAACAAGACAAACTCGTTCCCAGACACTGCGTAGTGATGTGTGTGTTTAACTCACAGAGTTTAACCTTTCTTTTCATACAGCATTCTGGAAACCCTGTGTTTGTAAAGTCTGCAAGTGGATATTTGGACCTCTTAGATGCCTTCGTTGGAAACGGGATTTCTTCATATAATGCTAGAGGGAAGAATTCTTAGTAACTTCTTTGTGTTGTGTGTATTCAACTGACAGAGTTGAACCTTCCTTTAGACAGAGCAGATTTGAAAGTCTCTTTTTGTGGAATTTGCAAGTGGAGATTTCAAGCGCTTTGAGGCCAAAAGCAGAAAAGGAAATATTTTCCTATAAAAACTAGACAGAATCATTCTCAGAAACTGCTCTGTGATGTGTGTGTTCAACTCACAGAGTTTAACTTTCTTTTCATTCAGCAGTTTGGAAACACTCTGTTTGGAAAGTCTGCACGTGGATATTTTGACCTCTTTGTGGCCTTCGTTGGAAACGGTTTTTTTCATGTAAGGCTAGACAGAAGAAATCTCAGTAACTTCCTTGTGTTGTGTGTATTCAACTGACAGAGTTGAACCTTCCTTTAGACAGAGCAGATTCGAAACACTCTTTTTCTGCAATTTGCAAGTGGAGACTTCAAGCGCTTTGAGGCCAAAGGCAGAAAAGGAAATATCTTCGTATAAAAACCCGACAGAATCATTCTCAGAAACTGCTCTGTGATGTGTGCGTTCAACTCACAGAGTTTAACTTTTCTTTTCATTCAGCAGTTTGGAAACACTCTGTTTGTAAAGTCTGCAAGTGGATATCTTGGCCTCTTAGAGGCCTTCGTTGGAAACGGGTTTTTTCATGTAAGGATAGACAGAGGAATTCCCAGTAACTTCCTTGTGTTGTGTGCATTCAACTCACAGAGTTGAATGATTCTTTACACAGAGCAGATTTGAGACACTCTTTTGGTGGAATTTGTAAGTGGAGAATTCAGCCGCTTTGAGGTCAACGGTAGAAAAGGAAATATCTTCGTATAAAAACTAGACAGAATGATTCTCAGAAACTGTTTTTTGATGTGTGCGTTCAACTCACAGAGTTTAACCTTTCTTTTCAAAGAGCAGTTAGGAAACACTCTGTTTGTAAAGTCTGCAAGTGGATATTCAGACCTCTTTGAGGCCTTCGTTGGAAACGGGATTTCTTCATATTATGCTAGACAGATGAATTCTCAGTAACTTCCTTGTGTTGTGTGTATTCAACTCACAGAGTTGAACGATCCTTTACACAGAGCAGATTTGAAACACTGTTTTTCTGGAATTTGCAAGTGGAGATGTCAGCCGCTTTGAGGTCAATGGTAGAAAAGGAAATATCTTCGTATAAAAACTAGACAGAAATGATTCTCAGAAAACTCCTTTGTGATGTGTGCGTTCAACTCACAGAGTTTAACCTTTCTTTTCACAGAGCAGTTAGGAAACACTCTGTTTGTGAAGCCTGCCAGTGGATATTCGGACCTCTTTGAGGCCTTCGTTGGAAACGGGATTTCTTCATATTATGCTAGACAGAAGATTTCTCAGTAACTTCTTTGTGTTGTGTGTATGCAACTCACAGAGTTCAACCTTCCTTTAGACAGAGCAGATTTGAAACACTCTTTTTGTGGAATTTGCAAGTGGAGATTTCAAGCGCTTCGATGCCAATGGTAGAAAAGGAAATATCTTCGTATAAAAACAAGACAAACTCGTTCCCAGACACTGCGTAGTGATGTGTGTGTTTAACTCACAGAGTTTAACCTTTCTTTTCATACAGCATTCTGGAAACCCTGTGTTTGTAAAGTCTGCAAGTGGATATTTGGACCTCTTAGATGCCTTCGTTGGAAACGGGATTTCTTCATATAATGCTAGAGGGAAGAATTCTTAGTAACTTCTTTTTGTTGTGTGTATTCAACTGACAGAGTTGAACCTTCCTTTAGACAGAGCAGATTTGAAAGTCTCTTTTTGTGGAATTTGCAAGTGGAGATTTCAAGCGCTTTGAGGCCAAAAGCAGAAAAGGAAATATTTTCCTATAAAAATTAGACAGAATCTTTCTCAGAAACTGCTCTGGGATGTGTGCGTTCAACTCACAGAGTTTAACTTTTCTTTTCATTCAGCAGTTTGGAAACACTCTGTTTGGAAAGTCTGCACGTGGATATTTTGACCTCTTTGAGGCCTTCGTTGGAAACGGGTTTTTTTCATGTAAGGCTAGACAGAAGAAATCTCAGTAAATTCCCTTGTGTTGTGTGTATTCAACTGACAGAGTTGAACCTTCCTTTAGACAGAGCAGATTCGAAACACTCTTTTTCTGCAATTTGCAAGTGGAGACTTCAAGCGCTTTGAGGCCAAAGGCAGAAAAGGAAATATCTTCGTATAAAAACCCGACAGAATCATTCTCAGAAACTGCTACTGTGATGTGTGCGTTCAACTCACAGAGTTTAACTTTTCTTTTCATTCAGCAGTTTGGAAACACTCTGTAAAGTCTGCAAGTGGATATCTTGGCCTCTTAGAGGCCTTCGTTGGAAGCGGGTTTTTTCATGTAAGGTTAGACAGAGGAATTCCCAGTAACTTCCTTGTGTTGTGTGCATTCAACTCACAGAGTTGAATGATTCTTTACACAGAGCAGATTTGAGACACTCTTTTGGTGGAATTTGTAAGTGGAGAATTCAGCCGCTTTGAGGTCAACGGTAGAAAAGGAAATATCTTCGTATAAAAACTAGACAGAATGATTCTCAGAAACTGTTTTGTGATGTGTGCGTTCAACTCACAGAGTTTAACCTTTCTTTTCAAAGAGCAGTTAGGAAACACACTGTTTGTAAAGTCTGCAAGTGGATATTCAGACCTCTTTGAGGCCTTCGTTGGAAACGGGATTTCTTCATATTATGCTAGACAGATGAATTCTCAGTAACTTCCTTGTGTTGTGTGTATTCAACTCACAGAGTTAAACGATCCTTTACACAGAGCAGATTTGAAACACTGTTTTTCTGGAATTTGCAAGTGGAGATTTCAGCCGCTTTGAGGTCAATGGTAGAAAAGGAAATATCTTCGTATAAAAACTAGACAGAATGATTCTCAGAAACTCCTTTGTGATGTGTGCGTTCAACTCACAGAGTTTAACCTTTCTTTTCACAGAGCAGTTAGGAAACACTCTGTTTGTGAAGCCTGCCAGTGGATATTCGGACCTCTTTGAGGCCTTCGTTGGAAACGGGATTTCTTCATATTATGCTAGACAGAAGATTTCTCAGTAACTTCTTTGTGTTGTGTGTATGCAACTCACAGAGTTCAACCTTCCTTTAGACAGAGCAGATTTGAAACACTCTTTTTGTGGAATTTGCAAGTGGAGATTTCAAGCGCTTCGATGCCAATGGTAGAAAAGGAAATATCTTCGTATAAAAACAAGACAAAATCATTCCCAGAAACTGCGTAGTGATGTGTGTGTTTAACTCACAGAGTTAAACCTTTCTTTTCATACAGAATTCTGGAAACCCTCTGTTTGTAAAGTCTGCAAGTGGATATTTGGACCTCTTAGATGCCTTCGTTGGAAATGGGATATCGTCATATAATGGTAGAGGGAAGAATTCTCAGTAACTTCTTTGTCTTGTGTGTATTCAACTGACAGAGTTGAACCTTCCTTTAGACAGAGCAGATTTGAAAGTCTCTTTTTGTGGAATTTGCAAGTGGAGATTTCAAGCGCTTTGAGGCCAAAAGCAGAAAAGGAAATATTTTCCTATAAAAACTAGACAGAATCATTCTCAGAAACTGCTCTGTGATGTGTGCGTTCAACTCACACAGTTTAACTTTTCTTTTCATTCAGCAGTTTGGAAACACTCTGTTTGGAAAGTCTGCACGTGGATATTTTGACCTCTTTGAGGCCTTCGTTGGAAACGGGTTTTTATCATGTAAGGCTAGACAGAGGAAATCTCAGTAACTTCCTTGTGTTGTGTGTATTCAACTGACAGGGTTGAACCTTCCTTTAGACAGAGCAGATTCGAAACACTCTTTTTCTGCAATTTGCAAGTGGAGACTTCAAGCGCTTTGAGGCCAAAGACAGAAAAGGAAATATCTTCGTATAAAAACCCGACAGAATCATTCTCAGAAACTGCTCTGTGATGTGTGCGTTCAACACACAGAGTTTAACTTTTCTTTTCATTCAGCAGTTTGGAAACACTCTGTTTGTAAAGTCTGCAAGTGGATATATTGGCCTCTTAGAGGCCTTCGTTGGAAACGGGTTTTTTTCATGTAAGGTTAGACAGAGGAATTCCCAGTAACTTCCTTGTGTTGTGCGCATTCAACTCACAGAGTTGAATGATTCTTTACACAGAGCAGATTTGAGACACTCTTTTGGTGGAATTTGTAAGTGGAGAATTCAGCCGCTTTGAGGTCAATGGTACAAAAGGAAATATCTTCGTATAAAAACTAGACAGAATGATTCTCAGAAACTGTTTTGTGATGTGTGCGTTCAACTCACAGAGTTTAACCTTTCTTTTCAAAGAGCAGTTAGGAAACACTCTGTTTGTAAAGTCTGCAAGTGGATATTCAGACCTCTTTGAGGCCTTCGTTGGAAACGGGATTTCTTCATATTATGCTAGACAGATGAATTCTCAGTAACTTCCTTGTGTTGTGTGTATTCAACTCACAGAGTTGAACGATCCTTTACACAGAGCAGATTTGAAACACTGTTTTTCTGGAATTTGCAAGTGGAGATTTCAGCCGCTTTGAGGTCAATGGTAGAAAAGGAAATATCTTCGTATAAAAACTAGACAGAATGATTCTCAGAAACTCCTTTGTGATGTGTGCGTTCAACTCACAGGGTTTAACCTTTCTTTTCACAGAGCAGTTAGGAAACACTCTGTTTGTGAAGCCTGCCAGTGGATATTCGGACCTCTTTGAGGCCTTCGTTGGAAACGGGATTTCTTCATATTATGCTAGACAGAAGATTTCTCAGTAACTTCTTTGGGTTGTGTGTATGCAACTCACAGAGTTCAACCTTCCTTTAGACAGAGCAGATTTGAAACACTCTTTTTGTGGAATTTGCAAGTGGAGATTTCAAGCGCTTCGATGCCAATGGTAGAAAAGGAAATATCTTCGTATAAAAACAAGACAAACTCGTTCCCAGACACTGCGTAGTGATGTGTGTGTTTAACTCACAGAGTTTAACCTTTCTTTTCATACAGCATTCTGGAAACCCTGTGTTTGTAAAGTCTGCAAGTGGATATTTGGACCTCTTAGATGCCTTCGTTGGAAACGGGATTTCTTCATATAATGCTAGAGGGAAGAATTCTTAGTAACTTCTTTGTGTTGTGTGTATTCAACTGACAGAGTTGAACCTTCCTTTAGACAGAGCAGATTTGAAAGTCTCTTTTTGTGGAATTTGCAAGTGGAGATTTCAAGCGCTTTGAGGCCAAAAGCAGAAAAGGAAATATTTTCCTATAAAAACTCGACAGAATCATTCTCAGAAACTGCTCTGTGATGTGTGCGTTCAACTCACAGAGTTTAACTTTTCTTTTCATTCAGCAGTTTGGAAACACTGTTTGGAAAGTCTGCACGTGGATATTTTGACCTCTTTGAGGCCTTCGTTGGAAACGGGTTTTTTTCATGTAAGGCTAGACAGAAGAAATCTCAGTAACTTCCTTGTGTTGTGTGTATTCAACTGACAGAGTTGAACCTTCCTTTAGACAGAGCAGATTCGAAACACTCTTTTTCTGCAATTTGCAAGTGGAGACTTCAAGCGCTTTGAGGCCAAAGGCAGAAAAGGAAATATCTTCGTATAAAAACCCGACAGAATCATTCTCAGAAACTGCTCTGTGATGTGTGCGTTCAACTCACAGAGTTTAACTTTTCTTTTCATTCAGCAGTTTGGAAACACTCTGTTTGTAAAGTCTGCAAGTGGATATCTTGGCCTCTTAGAGGCCTTCGTTGGAAGCGGGTTTTTTCATGTAAGGATAGACAGAGGAATTCCCAGTAACTTCCTTGTGTTGTATGCATTCAACTCACAGAGTTGAATGATTCTTTACACAGAGCAGATTTGAGACACTCTTTTGGTGGAATTTGTAAGTGGAGAATTCAGCCGCTTTGAGGTCAACGGTAGAAAAGGAAATATCTTCGTATAAAAACTAGAAAGAATGATTCTCAGAAACTGTTTTGTGATGTGTGCGTTCAACTCACAGAGTTTAACCTTTCTTTTCAAAGAGCAGTTAGGAAACACTCTGTTTGTAAAGTCTGCAAGTGGATATTCAGACCTCTTTGAGGCCTTCGTTGGAAACGGGATTTCTTCATATTATGCTAGACAGATGAATTCTCAGTAACTTCCTTGTGTTGTGTGTATTCAACTCACAGAGTTAAACGATCCTTTACACAGAGCAGATTTGAAACACTGTTTTTCTGGAATTTGCAAGTGGAGATTTCAGCCGCTTTGAGGTCAATGGTAGAAAAGGAAATATCTTCGTATAAAAACTAGACAGAATGATTCTCAGAAACTCCTTTGTGATGTGTGCGTTCAACTCACAGAGTTTAACCTTTCTTTTCACAGAGCAGTTAGGAAACACTCTGTTTGTGAAGCCTGCCAGTGGATATTCGGACCTCTTTGAGGCCTTCGTTGGAAACGGGATTTCTTCATATTATGCTAGACAGAAGATTTCTCAGTAACTTCTTTGTGTTGTGTGTATGCAACTCACAGAGTTCAACCTTCCTTTAGACAGAGCAGATTTGAAACACTCTTTTTGTGGAATTTGCAAGTGGAGATTTCAAGCGCTTCGATGCCAATGGTAGAAAAGGAAATATCTTCGTATAAAAACAAGACAAACTCGTTCCCAGACACTGCGTAGTGATGTGTGTGTTTAACTCACAGAGTTTAACCTTTCTTTTCATACAGCATTGTGGAAACCCTCTGTTTGTAAAGTCTGCAAGTGGATATTTGGACCTCTTAGATGCCTTCGTTGGAAACGGGATTTCTTCATATAATGCTAGAGGGAAGAATTCTTAGTAACTTCTTTGTGTTGTGTGTATTCAACTGACAGAGTTGAACCTTCCTTTAGACAGAGCAGATTTGAAAGTCTCTTTTTGTGGAATTTGCAAGTGGAGATTTCAAGCGCTTTGAGGCCAAAAGCAGAAAAGGAAATATTTTCCTATAAAAACTCGACAGAATCTTTCTCAGAAACTGCTCTGGGATGTGTGCGTTCAACTCACAGAGTTTAACTTTTCTTTTCATTCAGCAGTTTGGAAACACTCTGTTTGGAAAGTCTGCACGTGGATATTTTGACCTCTTTGAGGCCTTCGTTGGAAACGGGTTTTTTTCATGTAAGGCTAGACAGAAGAAATCTCAGTAACTTCCTTGTGTTGTGTGTATTCAACTGACAGAGTTGAACCTTCCTTTAGACAGAGCAGATTCGAAACACTCTTTTTCTGCAATTTGCAAGTGGAGACTTCAAGCGCTTTGAGGCCAAAGGCAGAAAAGGAAATATCTTCGTATAAAAACCCTACAGAATCATTCTCAGAAACTGCTCTGTGATGTGTGCGTTCAACTCACAGAGTTTAACTTTTCTTTTCATTCAGCAGTTTGGAAACACTCTGTTTGTAAAGTCTGCAAGTGGATATCTTGGCCTCTTAGAGGCCTTCGTTGGAAACGGGTTTTTTCATGTAAGGTTAGACAGAGGAATTCCCAGTAACTTCCTTGTGTTGTGTGCATTCAACTCACAGAGTTGAATGATTCTTTACACAGAGCAGATTTGAGACACTCTTTTGGTGGAATTTGTAAGTGGAGAATTCAGCCGCTTTGAGGTCAACGGTAGAAAAGCAAATATCTTCGTATAAAAACTAGACAGAATGATTCTCAGAAACTGTTTTGTGATGTGTGCGTTCAACTCACAGAGTTTAACCTTTCTTTTCAAAGAGCAGTTAGGAAACACTCTGTTTGTAAAGTCTGCAAGTGGATATTCAGACCTACTTTGAGGCCTTCGTTGGAAACGGGATTTCTTCATATTATGCTAGACAGAAGATTTCTCAGTAACTTCTTTGTGTTGTGTGTATGCAACTCACAGAGTTCAACCTTCCTTTAGACAGAGCAGATTTGAAACACTCTTTTTGTGGAATTTGCAAGTGGAGATTTCAAGCGCTTCGATGCCAATGGTAGAAAAGGAAATATCTTCGTATAAAAACAAGACAAACTCGTTCCCAGACACTGCGTAGTGATGTGTGTGTTTAACTCACAGAGTTTAACCTTTCTTTTCATACAGCATTCTGGAAACCCTCTGTTTGTAAAGTCTGCAAGTGGATATTTGGACCTCTTAGATGCCTTCGTTGGAAACGGGATTTCTTCATATAATGCTAGAGGGAAGAATTCTTAGTAACTTCTTTGTGTTGTGTGTATTCAACTGACAGAGTTGAACCTTCCTTTAGACAGAGCAGATTTGAAAGTCTCTTTTTGTGGAATTTGCAAGTGGAGATTTCAAGCGCTTTGAGGCCAAAAGCAGAAAAGGAAATATTTTCCTATAAAAACTCGACAGAATCATTCTCAGAAACTGCTCTGTGATGTGTGTGTTCAACTCACAGAGTTTAACTTTCTTTTCATTCAGCAGTTTGGAAACACTCTGTTTGGAAAGTCTGCACGTGGATATTTTGACCTCTTTGAGGCCTTCGTTGGAAACGGGTTTTTTTCATGTAAGGCTAGACAGAAGAAATCTCAGTAACTTCCTTGTGTTGTGTGTATTCAACTGACAGAGTTGAACCTTCCTTTAGACAGAGCAGATTCGAAACACTCTTTTTCTGCAATTTGCAAGTGGAGACTTCAAGCGCTTTGAGGCCAAAGGCAGAAAAGGAAATATCTTCGTATAAAAACCCGACAGAATCATTCTCAGAAACTGCTCTGTGATGTGTGCGTTCAACTCACAGAGTTTAACTTTTCTTTTCATTCAGCAGTTTGGAAACACTCTGTTTGTAAAGTCTGCAAGTGGATATCTTGGCCTCTTAGAGGCCTTCGTTGGAAACGGGTTTTTTCATGTAAGGTTAGACAGAGGAATTCCCAGTAACTTCCTTGTGTTGTGTGCATTCAACTCACAGAGTTGAATGATTCTTTACACAGAGCAGATTTGAGACACTCTTTTGGTGGAATTTGTAAGTGGAGAATTCAGCCGCTTTGAGGTCAACGGTAGAAAAGGAAATATCTTTGTATAAAAACTAGACAGAATGATTCTCAGAAACTCCTTTGTGATGTGTGCGTTCAACTCACAGAGTTTAACCTTTCTTTTCACAGAGCAGTTAGGAAACACTCTGTTTGTGAAGCCTGCCAGTGGATATTCGGACCTCTTTGAGGCCTTCGTTGGAAACGGGATTTGTTCATATTATGCTAGACAGAAGATTTCTCAGTAACTTCTTTGTGTTGTGTGTATGCAACTCACAGAGTTCAACCTTCCTTTAGACAGAGCAGATTTGAAACACTCTTTTTGTGGAATTTGCAAGTGGAGATTTCAAGCGCTTCGATGCCAATGGTAGAAAAGGAAATATCTTCGTATAAAAACAAGACAAACTCGTTCCCAGACACTGCGTAGTGATGTGTGTGTTTAACTCACAGAGTTTCACCTTTCTTTTCATACAGCATTCTGGAAACCCTCTGTTTGTAAAGTCTGCAAGTGGATATTTGGACCTCTTAGATGCCTTCGTTGGAAACGGGATTTCTTCATATAATGCTAGAGGGAAGAATTCTTAGTAACTTCTTTGTGTTGTGTGTATTCAACTGACAGAGTTGAACCTTCCTTTAGACAGAACAGATTTGAAAGTCTCTTTTTGTGGAATTTGCAAGTGGAGATTTCAAGCGCTTTGAGGCCAAAAGCAGAAAAGGAAATGTTTTCCTATAAAAACTAGACAGAATCTTTCTCAGAAACTGCTCTGGGATGTGTGCATTCAACTCACAGAGTTTAACTTTTCTTTTCATTCAGCAGTTTGGAAACACTCTGTTTGGAAAGTCTGCACGTGGATATTTTGACCTCTTTGAGGCCTTCGTTGGAAACGGGTTTTTTTCATGTAAGGCTAGACAGAAGAAATCTCAGTAACTTCCTTGTGTTGTGTGTATTCAACTGACAGAGTTGAACCTTCTTTTAGACAGAGCAGATTCGAAACACTCTTTTTCTGCAATTTGCAAGTGGAGACTTCAAGCGCTTTGAGGCCAAAGGCAGAAACGGAAATATCTTCGTATAAAAACCCGACAGAATCACTCTCAGAAACTGCTCTGTGATGTGTGCGTTCAACTCACAGAGTTTAACTTTTCTTTTCATTCAGCAGTTTGGAAACACTCTGTTTGTAAAGTCTGCAAGTGGATATCTTGGCCTCTTAGAGGCCTTCGTTGGAAACGGGTTTTTTCATGTAAGGATAGACAGAGGAATTCCCAGTAACTTCCTTGTGTTGTGTGCATTCAACTCACAGAGTTGAACGATTCTTTACACAGAGCAGATTTGAGACACTCTTTTGGTGGAATTTGTAAGTGGAGAATTCAGCCGCTTTGAGGTCAACGGTAGAAAAGGAAATATCTTCGTATAAAAACTAGACAGAATGATTCTCAGAAACTGTTTTGTGATGTGTGCGTTCAACTCACAGAGTTTAACCTTTCTTTTCAAAGAGCAGTTAGGAAACACTCTGTTTGTAAAGTCTGCAAGTGGATATTCAGACCTCTTTGAGGCCTTCGTTGGAAACGGGATTTCTTCATATTATGCTAGACAGATGAATTCTCAGTAACTTCCTTGTGTTGTGTGTATTCAACTCACAGAGTTGAACGATCCTTTACACAGAGCAGATTTGAAACACTGTTTTTCTGGAATTTGCAAGTGGAGATTTCAGCCGCTTTGAGGTCAATGGTAGAAAAGGAAATATCTTCGTATAAAAACTAGACAGAATGATTCTCAGAAACTCCTTTGTGATGTGTGCGTTCAACTCACAGAGTTTAACCTTTCTTTTCACAGAGCAGTTAGGAAACACTCTGTTTGTGAAGCCTGCCAGTGGATATTCGGACCTCTTTGAGGCCTTCGTTGGAAACGGGATTTCTTCATATTATGCTAGACAGAAGATTTCTCAGTAACTTCTTTGTGTTGTGTGTATGCAACTCACAGAGTTCAACCTTCCTTTAGACAGAGCAGATTTGAAACACTCTTTTTGTGGAATTTGCAAGTGGAGATTTCAAGCGCTTCGATGCCAATGGTAGAAAAGGAAATATCTTCGTATAAAAACAAGACAAACTCGTTCCCAGACACTGCGTAGTGATGTGTGTGTTTAACTCACAGAGTTTCACCTTTCTTTTCATACAGCATTCTGGAAACCCTCTGTTTGTAAAGTCTGCAAGTGGATATTTGGACCTCTTAGATGCCCTCGTTGGAAACGGGATTTCTTCATATAATGCTAGAGGGAAGAATTCTTAGTAACTTCTTTGTGTTGTGTGTATTCAACTGACAGAGTTGAACCTTCCTTTAGACAGAGCAGATTTGAAAGTCTCTTTTTGTGGAATTTGCAAGTGGAGATTTCAAGCGCTTTGAGGCCAAAAGCAGAAAAGGAAATATTTTCCTATAAAAACTAGACAGAATCATTCTCAGAAACTGCTCTGTGATGTGTGTGTTCAACTCACAGAGTTTAACTTTCTTTTCATTCAGCAGTTTGGAAACACTCTGTTTGGAAAGTCTGCACGTGGATATTTTGACCTCTTTGAGGCCTTCGTTGGAAACGGGTTTTTTTCATGTAAGGCTAGACAGAAGAAATCTCAGTAACTTCCTTGTGTTGTGTGTATTCAACTGACAGAGTTGAACCTTCCTTTAGACAGAGCAGATTCGAAACACTCTTTTTCTGCAATTTGCAAGTGGAGACTTCAAGCGCTTTGAGGCCAAAGGCAGAAAAGGAAATATCTTCGTATAAAAACCCGACAGAATCATTCTCAGAAACTGCTCTGTGATGTGTGCGTTCAACTCACAGAGTTTAACTTTTCTTTTCATTCAGCAGTTTGGAAACACTCTGTTTGTAAAGTCTGCAAGTGGATATCTTGGCCTCTTAGAGGCCTTCGTTGGAAACGGGTTTTTTCATGTAAGGTTAGACAGAGGAATTCCCAGTAACTTCCTTGTGTTGTGTGCATTCAACTCACAGAGTTGAATGATTCTTTACACAGAGTAGATTTGAGACACTCTTTTGGTGGAATTTGTTAGTGGAGAATTCAGCCGCTTTGAGGTCAACGGTAGAAAAGGATATATCTTCGTATAAAAACTAGACAGAATGATTCTCAGAAACTGTTTTGTGATGTGTGCGTTCAACTCACAGAGTTTAACCTTTCTTTTCAAAGAGCAGTTAGGAAACACTCTGTTTGTAAAGTCTGCAAGTGGATATTCAGACCTCTTTGAGGCCTTCGTTGGAAACGGGATTTCTTCATATTATGCTAGACAGATGAATTCTCAGTAACTTCCTTGTGTTGTGTGTATTCAACTCACAGAGTTGAACGATCCTTTACACAGAGCAGATTTGAAACACTGTTTTTCTGGAATTTGCAAGTGGAGATTTCAGCCGCTTTGAGGTCAATGGTAGAAAAGGAAATATCTTCGTATAAAAACTAGACAGAATGATTCTCAGAAACTCCTTTGTGATGTGTGCGTTCAACTCACAGAGTTTAACCTTTCTTTTCACAGAGCAGTTAGGAAACACTCTGTTTGTGAAGCCTGCCAGTGGATATTCGGACCTCTTTGAGGCCTTCGTTGGAAACGGGATTTCTTCATATTATGCTAGACAGAAGATTTCTCAGTAACTTCTTTGTGTTGTGTGTATGCAACTCACAGAGTTCAACCTTCCTTTAGGCAGAGCAGATTTGAAACACTCTTTTTGTGGAATTTGCAAGTGGAGATTTCAAGCGCTTCGATGCCAATGGTAGAAAAGGAAATATCTTCGTATAAAAACAAGACAAACTCGTTCCCAGACACTGCGTAGTGATGTGTGTGTTTAACTCACAGAGTTTCACCTTTCTTTTCATACAGCATTCTGGAAACCCTGTGTTTGTAAAGTCTGCAAGTGGATATTTGGACCTCTTAGATGCCTTCGTTGGAAACGGGATTTCTTCATATAATGCTAGAGGGAAGAATTCTTAGTAACTTCTTTGTGTTGTGTGTATTCAACTGACAGAGTTGAACCTTCCTTTAGACAGAGCAGATTTGAAAGTCTCTTTTTGTGGAATTTGCAAGTGGAGATTTCAAGCGCTTTGAGGCCAAAAGCAGAAAAGGAAATGTTTTCCTATAAAAACTAGACAGAATCTTTCTCAGAAACTGCTCTGGGATGTGTGCGTTCAACTCACAGAGTTTAACTTTTCTTTTCATTCAGCAGTTTGGAAACACTCTGTTTGGAAAGTCTGCACGTGGATATTTTGACCTCTTTGAGGCCTTCGTTGGAAACGGGTTTTTTTCATGTAAGGCTAGACAGAAGAAATCTCAGTAACTTCCCTTGTGTTGTGTGTATTCAACTGACAGAGTTGAACCTTCCTTTAGACAGAGCAGATTCGAAACACTCTTTTTCTGCAATTTGCAAGTGGAAACTTCAAGCGCTTTGAGGCCAAAGGCAGAAAAGGAAATATCTTCGTATAAAAACCCGACAGAATCATTCTCAGAAACTGCTCTGTGATGTGTGCGTTCAACTCACAGAGTTTAACTTTTCTTTTCATTCAGCAGTTTGGAAACACTCTGTTTGTAAAGTCTGCAAGTGGATATCTTGGCCTCTTAGAGGCCTTCGTTGGAAACGGGTTTTATCATGTAAGGTTAGACAGAGGAATTCCCAGTAACTTCCTTGTGTTGTGTGCATTCAACTCACAGAGTTGAATGATTCTTTACACAGAGCAGATTTGAGACACTCTTTTGGTGGAATTTGTAAGTGGAGAATTCAGCCGCTTTGAGGTCAACGGTAGAAAAGGAAATATCTTCGTATAAAAACTAGACAGAATGATTCTCAGAAACTGTTTTGTGATGTGTGCGTTCAACTCACAGAGTTTAACCTTTCTTTTCAAAGAGCAGTTAGGAAACACTCTGTTTGTAAAGTCTGCAAGTGGATATTCAGACCTCTTTGAGGCCTTCGTTGGAAACGGGATTTCTTCATATTATGCTAGACAGATGAATTCTCAGTAACTTCCTTGTGTTGTGTGTATTCAACTCACAGAGTTGAACCGATCCTTTACACAGAGCAGATTTGAAACACTGTTTTTCTGGAATTTGCAAGTGGAGATTTCAGCCGCTTTGAGGTCAATGGTAGAAAAGGAAATATCTTCGTATAAAAACTAGACAGAATGATTCTCAGAAACTCCTTTGTGATGTGTGCGTTCAACTCACAGAGTTTAACCTTTCTTTTCACAGAGCAGTTAGGAAACACTCTGTTTGTGAAGCCTGCCAGTGGATATTCGGACCTCTTTGAGGCCTTCGTTGGAAACGGGATTTCTTCATATTATGCTAGACAGAAGATTTCTCAGTAACTTCTTTGTGTTGTGTGTATGCAACTCACAGAGTTCAACCTTCCTTTAGACAGAGCAGATTTGAAACACTCTTTTTGTGGAATTTGCAAGTGGAGATTTCAAGCGCTTCGATGCCAATGGTAGAAAAGGAAATATCTTCGTATAAAAACAAGACAAACTCGTTCCCAGACACTGCGTAGTGATGTGTGTGTTTAACTCACAGAGTTTCACCTTTCTTTTCATACAGCATTCTGGAAACCCTGTGTTTGTAAAGTCTGCAAGTGGATATTTGGACCTCTTAGATGCCTTCGTTGGAAACGGGATTTCTTCATATAATGCTAGAGGGAAGAATTCTTAGTAACTTCTTTGTGTTGTGTGTATTCAACTGACAGAGTTGAACCTTCCTTTAGACAGAGCAGATTTGAAAGTCTCTTTTTGTGGAATTTGCAAGTGGAGATTTCAAGCGCTTTGAGGCCAAAAGCAGAAAAGGAAATATTTTCCTATTAAAAACTCGACAGAATCTTTCTCAGAAACTGCTCTGGGATGTGTGCGTTCAACTCACAGAGTTTAACTTTTCTTTCCATTCAGCAGTTTGGAAACACTCTGTTTGGAAAGTCTGCACGTGGATATTTTGACCTCTTTGAGGCCTTCGTTGGAAACGGGTTTTTTTCATGTAAGGCTAGACAGAAGAAATCTCAGTAACTTCCTTGTGTTGTGTGTATTCAACTGACAGAGTTGAACCTTCCTTTAGACAGAGCAGATTCGAAACACTCTTTTTCTGCAATTTGCAAGTGGAGACTTCAAGCGCTTTGAGGCCAAAGGCAGAAAAGGAAATATCTTCGTATAAAAACCCGACAGAATCATTCTCAGAAACTGCTCTGTGATGTGTGCGTTCAACTCACAGAGTTTAACTTTTCTTTTCATTCAGCAGTTTGGAAACACTCTGTTTGTAAAGTCTGCAAGTGGATATCTTGGCCTCTTAGAGGCCTTCGTTGGAAACGGGTTTTTTCATGTAAGGTTAGACAGAGGAATTCCCAGTAACTTCCTTGTGTTGTGTGCATTCAACTCACAGAGTTGAATGATTCTTTACACAGAGGAGATTTGAGACACTCTTTTGGTGGAATTTGTAAGTGGAGAATTCAGCCGCTTTGAGGTCAACGGTAGAAAAGGAAATATCTTCGTATAAAAACTAGACAGAATGATTCTCAGAAACTGTTTTGTGATGTGTGCGTTCAACTCACAGAGTTTAACCTTTCTTTTCAAAGAGCAGTTAGGAAACACTCTGTTTGTAAAGTCTGCAAGTGGATATTCAGACCTCTTTGAGGCCTTCGTTGGAAACGGGATTTCTTCATATTATGCTAGACAGATGAATTCTCAGTAACTTCCTTGTGTTGTGTGTATTCAACTCACAGAGTTGAACGATCCTTTACACAGAGCAGATTTGAAACACTGTTTTTCTGGAATTTGCAAGTGGAGATTTCAGCCGCTTTGAGGTCAATGGTAGAAAAGGAAATATCTTCGTATAAAAACTAGACAGAATGATTCTCAGAAACTCCTTTGTGATGTGTGCGTTCAACTCACAGAGTTTAACCTTTCTTTTCACAGAGCAGTTAGGAAACACTCTGTTTGTGAAGCCTGCCAGTGGATATTCGGACCTCTTTGAGGCCTTCGTTGGAAACGGGATTTCTTCATATTATGCTAGACAGAAGATTTCTCAGTAACTTCTTTGTGTTGTGTGTATGCAACTCACAGAGTTCAACCTTCCTTTAGACAGAGCAGATTTGAAACACTCTTTTTGTGGAATTTGCAAGTGGAGATTTCAAGCGCTTCGATGCCAATGGTAGAAAAGGAAATATCTTCGTATAAAAACAAGACAAACTCGTTCCCAGACACTGCGTAGTGATGTGTGTGTTTAACTCACAGAGTTTCACCTTTCTTTTCATACAGCATTCTGGAAACCCTCTGTTTGTAAAGTCTGCAAGTGGATATTTGGACCTCTTAGATGCCTTCGTTGGAAACGGGATTTCTTCATATAATGCTAGAGGGAAGAATTCTTAGTAACTTCTTTGTGTTGTGTGTATTCAACTGACAGAGTTGAACCTTCCTTTAGACAGAGCAGATTTGAAAGCCTCTTTCTATGGAATTTGCAAGTGGAGATTTCAAGCGCTTTGAGGCCAAAAGCAGAAAAGGAAATATTTTCCTATAAAAACTCGACAGAATCTTTCTCAGAAACTGCTCTGGGATGTGTGCGTTCAACTCACAGAGTTTAACTTTTCTTTTCATTCAGCAGTTTGGAAACACTCTGTTTGGAAAGTCTGCACGTAGATATTTTGACCTCTTTGAGGCCTTCGTTGGAAACGGGTTTTTTTCATGTAAGGCTAGACAGAAGAAATCTCAGTAACTTCCTTGTGTTGTGTGTATTCAACTGACAGAGTTGAACCTTCCTTTAGACAGAGCAGATTCGAAACACTCTTTTTCTGCAATTTGCAAGTGGAAACTTCAAGCGCTTTGAGGCCAAAGGCAGAAAAGGAAATATCTTCGTATAAAAACCCGACAGAATCATTCTCAGAAACTGCTCTGTGATGTGTGCGTTCAACTCACAGAGTTTAACTTTTCTTTTCATTCAGCAGTTTGGAAACACTCTGTTTGTAAAGTCTGCAAGTGGATATCTTGGCCTCTTAGAGGCCTTCGTTGGAAACGGGTTTTTTCATGTAAGGATAGACACAGGAATTCCCAGTAACTTCCTTGTGTTGTGTGCATTCAACTCACAGAGTTGAATGATTCTTTACACAGAGCAGATTTGAGACACTCTTTTGGTGGAATTTGTAAGTGGAGAATTCAGCCGCTTTGAGGTCAACGGTAGAAAAGGAAATATCTTCGTATAAAAACTAGACAGAATGATTCTCAGAAACTGTTTTGTGATGTGTGCGTTCAACTCACAGAGTTTAACCTTTCTTTTCAAAGAGCAGTTAGGAAACACTCTGTTTGTAAAGTCTGCAAGTGGATATTCAGACCTCTTTGAGGCCTTCGTTGGAAACGGGATTTCTTCATATTATGCTAGACAGATGAATTCTCAGTAACTTCCTTGTGTTGTGTGTATTCAACTCACAGAGTTGAACGATCCTTTACACAGAGCAGATTTGAAACACTGTTTTTCTGGAATTTGCAAGTGGAGATTTCAGCCGCTTTGAGGTCAATGGTAGAAAAGGAAATATCTTCGTATAAAAACTGGACAGAATGATTCTCAGAAACTCCTTTGTGATGTGTGCGTTCAACTCACAGAGTTTAACCTTTCTTTTCACAGAGCAGTTAGGAAACACTCTGTTTGTGAATCCTGCCAGTGGATAATCGGACCTCTTTGAGGCCTTCGTTGGAAACGGGATTTCTTCATATTATGCTATTCAGAAGATTTCTCAGTAACTTCTTTGTGTTGTGTGTATGCAACTCACAGAGTTCAACCTTCCTTTAGACAGAGCATATTTGAAACACTCTTTTTGTGGAATTTGCAAGTGGAGATTTCAAGCGCTTCGATGCCAATGGTAGAAAAGGAAATATCTTCATATAAAAACAAGACAAACTCGTTCCCAGACACTGCGTAGTGATGTGTGTGTTTAACTCACAGAGTTTCACCTTTCTTTTCATACAGCATTCTGGAAACCCTGTGTTTGTAAAGTCTGCAAGTGGATATTTGGACCTCTTAGATGCCTTCGTTGGAAACGGGATTTCTTCATATAATGCTAGAGGGAAGAATTCTTAGTAACTTCTTTGTGTTGTGTGTATTCAGCTGACAGAGTTGAACCTTCCTTTAGACAGAGCAGATTTGAAAGTCTCTTTTTGTGGAATTTGCAAGTGGAGATTTCAAGCGCTTTGAGGCCAAAAGCAGAAAAGGAAATATTTTCCTATAAAAACTCGACAGAATCTTTCTCAGAAACTGCTCTGGGATGTGTGCGTTCAACTCACAGAGTTTAACTTTTCTTTCCATTCAGCAGTTTGGAAACACTCTGTTTGGAAAGTCTGCACGTGGATATTTTGACCTCTTTGAGGCCTTCGTTGGAAACGGGTTTTTTTCTTGTAAGGCTAGACAGAAGAAATCTCAGTAACTTCCTTGTGTTGTGTGTATTCAACTGACAGAGTTGAACCTTCCTTTAGACAGAGCAGATTCGAAACACTCTTTTTCTGCAATTTGCAAGTGGAGACTTCAAGCGCTTTGAGGCCAAAGGCAGAAAAGGAAATATCTTCGTATAAAAACCCGACAGAATCATTCTCAGAAACTGCTCTGGGATGTGTGCGTTCAACTCACAGAGTTTAACTTTTCTTTTCATTCAGCAGTTTGGAAACACTCTGTTTGTAAAGTCTGCAAGTGGATATCTTGGCCTCTTAGAGGCCTTCGTTGGAAACGGGTTTTTTCATGTAAGGTTAGACAGAGGAATTCCCAGTAACTTCCTTGTGTTGTATGCATTCAACTCACAGAGTTGAATGATTCTTTACACAGAGCAGATTTGAGACACTCTTTTGGTGGAATTTGTAAGTGGAGAATTCAGCCGCTTTGAGGTCAACGGTAGAAAAGGAAATATCTTCGTATAAAAACTAGAAAGAATGATTCTCAGAAACTGTTTTGTGATGTGTGCTTTCAACTCACAGAGTTTAACCTTTCTTTTCAAAGAGCAGTTAGGAAACACTCTGTTTGTAAAGTCTGCAAGTGGATATTCAGACCTCTTTGAGGCCTTCGTTGGAAACGGGATTTCTTCATATTATGCTAGACAGATGAATTCTCAGTAACTTCCTTGTGTTGTGTGTATTCAACTCACAGAGTTAAACGATCCTTTACACAGAGCAGATTTGAAACACTGTTTTTCTGGAATTTGCAAGTGGAGATTTCAGCCGCTTTGAGGTCAATGGTAGAAAAGGAAATATCTTCGTATAAAAACTAGACAGAATGATTCTCAGAAACTCCTTTGTGATGTGTGCGTTCAACTCACAGAGTTTAACCTTTCTTTTCACAGAGCAGTTAGGAAACACTCTGTTTGTGAAGCCTGCCAGTGGATATTCGGACCTCTTTGAGGCCTTCGTTGGAAACGGGATTTCTTCATATTATGCTAGACAGAAGATTTCTCAGTAACTTCTTTGTGTTGTGTGTATGCAACTCACAGAGTTCAACCTTCCTTTAGACAGAGCAGATTTGAAACACTCTTTTTGTGGAATTTGCAAGTGGAGATTTCAAGCGCTTCGATGCCAATGGTAGAAAAGGAAATATCTTCGTATAAAAACAAGACAAACTCGTTCCCAGACACTGCGTAGTGATGTGTGTGTTTAACTCACAGAGTTTCACCTTTCTTTTCATACAGCATTCTGGAAACCCTCTGTTTGTAAAGTCTGCAAGTGGATATTTGGACCTCTTAGATGCCTTCGTTGGAAACGGGATTTCTTCATATAATGCTAGAGGGAAGAATTCTTAGTAACTTCTTTGTGTTGTGTGTATTCAACTGACAGAGTTGAACCTTCCTTTAGACAGAGCAGATTTGAAAGTCTCTTTTTGTGGAATTTGCAAGTGGAGATTTCAAGCGCTTTGAGGCCAAAAGCAGAAAAGGAAATATTTTCCTATAAAAACTCGACAGAATCTTTCTCAGAAACTGCTCTGGGATGTGTGCGTTCAACTCACAGAGTTTAACTTTTCTTTTCATTCAGCAGTTTGGAAACACTCTGTTTGGAAAGTCTGCACGTGGATATTTTGACCTCTTTGAGGCCTTCGTTGGAAACGGGTTTTTTTCATGTAAGGCTAGACAGAAGAAATCTCAGTAACTTCCTTGTGTTGTGTGTATTCAACTGACAGAGTTGAACCTTCCTTTAGACAGAGCAGATTTGAAACACTCTTTTTCTGCAATTTGCAAGTGGAGACTTCAAGCGCTTTGAGGCCAAAGGCAGAAAAGGAAATATCTTCGTATAAAAACCCGACAGAATCATTCTCAGAAACTGCTCTGTGATGTGTGCGTTCAACTCACAGAGTTTAACTTTTCTTTTCATTCAGCAGTTTGGAAACACTCTGTTTGTAAAGTCTGCAAGTGGATATCTTGGCCTCTTAGAGGCCTTCGTTGGAAACGGGTTTTTTCATGTAAGGTTAGACAGAGGAATTCCCAGTAACTTCCTTGTGTTGTGTGCATTCAACTCACAGAGTTGAATGATTCTTTACACAGAGCAGATTTGAGACACTCTTTTGGTGGAATTTGTAAGTGGAGAATTCAGCCGCTTTGAGGTCAACGGTAGAAAAGCAAATATCTTCGCATAAAAACTAGACAGAATGATTCTCAGAAACTGTTTTGTGATGTGTGCGTTCAACTCACAGAGTTTAACCTTTCTTTTCAAAGAGCAGTTAGGAAACACTCTGTTTGTAAAGTCTGCAAGTGGATATTCAGACCTACTTTGAGGCCTTCGTTGGAAACGGGATTTCTTCATATTATGCTAGACAGATGAATTCTCAGTAACTTCCTTGTGTTGTGTGTATTCAACTCACAGAGTTGAACGATCCTTTACACAGAGCAGATTTGAAACACTGTTTTTCTGGAATTTGCAAGTGGAGATTTCAGCCGCTTTGAGGTCAATGGTAGAAAAGGAAATATCTTCGTATAAAAACTAGACAGAATGATTCTCAGAAACTCCTTTGTGATGTGTGCGTTCAACTCACAGAGTTTAACCTTTCTTTTCACAGAGCAGTTAGGAAACACTCTGTTTGTGAAGCCTGCCAGTGGATATTCGGACCTCTTTGAGGCCTTCGTTGGAAACGGGATTTCTTCATATTATGCTAGACAGAAGATTTCTCAGTAACTTCTTTGTGTTGTGTGTATGCAACTCACAGAGTTCAACCTTCCTTTAGACAGAGCAGATTTGAAACACTCTTTTTGTGGAATTTGCAAGTGGAGATTTCAAGCGCTTCGATGCCAATGGTAGAAAAGGAAATATCTTCGTATAAAAACAAGACAAACTCGTTCCCAGACACTGCGTAGTGATGTGTGTGTTTAACTCACAGAGTTTCACCTTTCTTTTCATACAGCATTCTGGAAACCCTGTGTTTGTAAAGTCTGCAAGTGGATATTTGGACCTCTTAGATGCCTTCGTTGGAAACGGGATTTCTTCATATAATGCTAGAGGGAAGAATTCTTAGTAACTTCTTTGTGTTGTGTGTATTCAACTGACAGAGTTGAACCTTCCTTTAGACAGAGCAGATTTGAAAGTCTCTTTTTGTGGAATTTGCAAGTGGAGATTTCAAGCGCTTTGAGGCCAAAAGCAGAAAAGGAAATATTTTCCTATAAAAACTAGACAGAATCTTTCTCAGAAACTGCTCTGGGATGTGTGCGTTCAACTCACAGTAGTTTAACTTTTCTTTTCATTCAGCAGTTTGGAAACACTCTGTTTGGAAAGTCTGCACGTGGATATTTTGACCTCTTTGAGGCCTTCGTTGGAAACGGGTTTTTTTCATGTAACGCTAGACAGAAGAAATCTCAGTAACTTCCTTGTGTTGTGTGTATTCAACTGACAGAGTTGAACCTTCCTTTAGACAGAGCAGATTCGAAACACTCTTTTTCTGCAATTTGCAAGTGGAGACTTCAAGCGCTTTGAGGCCAAAGGCAGAAAAGGAAATATCTTCGTATAAAAACCCGACAGAATCATTCTCAGAAACTGCTCTGTGATGTGTGCGTTCAACTCACAGAGTTTAACTTTTCTTTTCATTCAGCAGTTTGGAAACACTCTGTTTGTAAAGTCTGCAAGTGGATATCTTGGCCTCTTAGAGGCCTTCGTTGGAAACGGGTTTTTTCATGTAAGGTTAGACAGAGGAATTCCCAGTAACTTCCTTGTGTTGTGTGCATTCAACTCACAGAGTTGAATGATTCTTTACACAGAGCAGATTTGAGACACTCTTTGGGTGGAATTTGTAAGTGGAGAATTCAGCCGCTTTGAGGTCAACGGTAGAAAAGGAAATATCTTCGTATAAAAACTAGACAGAATGATTCTCAGAAACTGTTTTGTGATGTGTGCGTTCAACTCACAGAGTTTAACCTTTCTTTTCAAAGAGCAGTTAGGAAACACTCTGTAAAGTCTGCAAGTGGATATTCAGACCTCTTTGAGGCCTTCGTTGGAAACGGGATTTCTTCATATAATGCTAGAGGGATGAATTCTCAGTAACTTCCTTGTGTTGTGTGTATTCAACTCACAGAGTTGAACGATCCTTTACACAGAGCAGATTTGAAACACTGTTTTTCTGGAATTTGCAAGTGGAGATTTCAGCCGCTTTGAGGTCAATGGTAGAAAAGGAAATATCTTCGTATAAAAACTAGACAGAATGATTCTCAGAAACTCCTTTGTGATGTGTGCTTTCAACTCACAGAGTTTATCCTTTCTTTTCATAGAGTAGTTAGGAAACACTCTGTTTGTGAAGTCTGCCAGTGGATATTCAGACCTCTTTGAGGCCTTCCTTGGAAACGGGATTTCTTCATATTATGCTAGACAGAAGATTTCTCAGTAACTTCTTTGTGTTGTGTGTATGCAACTCACAGAGTTCAACCTTCCTTTAGACAGAGCAGATTTGAAACACTCTTTTTGTGGAATTTGCAAGTGGAGATTTCAAGCGCTTCGATGCCAATGGTAGAAAAGGAAATATCTTCGTATAAAAACAAGACAAACTCGTTCCCAGACACTGCGTAGTGATGTGTGTGTTTAACTCACAGAGTTTCACCTTTCTTTTCATACAGCATTCTGGAAACCCTCTGTTTGTAAAGTCTGCAAGTGAATATTTGGACCTCTTAGATGCCTTCGTTGGAAACGGGATTTCTTCATATAATGCTAGAGGGAAGATTTCTCAGTAACTTCTTTGTGTTGTGTGTATGCAACTCACAGAGTTCAACCTTCCTTTAGACAGAGCAGATTTGAAACACTCTTTTTGTGGAATTTGCAAGTGGAGATTTCAAGCGCTTTGAGGCCAAAAGCAGAAAAGGAAATATTTTCCTATAAAAACTAGACAGAATCTTTCTCAGAAACTGCTCTGGGATGTGTGCGTTCAACTCACAGAGTTTAACTTTTCTTTCCATTCAGCAGTTTGGAAACACTCTGTTTGGAAAGTCTGCACGTGGATATTTTGACCTCTTTGAGGCCTTCGTTGGAAACGGGTTTTTTTCTTGTAAGGCTAGACAGAAGAAATCTCAGTAACTTCCTTGTGTTGTGTGTATTCAACTGACAGAGTTGAACCTTCCTTTAGACAGAGCAGATTCGAAACACTCTTTTTCTGCAATTTGCAAGTGGAGACTTCAAGCGCTTTGAGGCCAAAGGCAGAAAAGGAAATATCTTCGTATAAAAACCCGACAGAATCATTCTCAGAAACTGCTCTGTGATGTGTGCGTTCAACTCACAGAGTTTAACTTTTCTTTTCATTCAGCAGTTTGGAAACACTCTGTTTGTAAAGTCTGCAAGTGGATATCTTGGCCTCTTAGAGGCCTTCGTTGGAAACGGGTTTTTTCATGTAAGGTTAGACAGAGGAATTCCCAGTAACTTCCTTGTGTTGTGTGCATTCAACTCACAGAGTTGAATGATTCTTTACACAGAGCAGATTTGAGACACTCTTTTGGTGGAATTTGTAAGTGGAGAATTCAGCCGCTTTGAGGTCAACGGTAGAAAAGGAAATATCTTCGTATAAAAACTAGACAGAATGATTCTCAGAAACTGTTTTGTGATGTGTGCGTTCAACTCACAGAGTTTAACCTTTCTTTTCAAAGAGCAGTTAGGAAACACTCTGTTTGTAAAGTCTGCAAGTGGATATTCAGACCTCTTTGAGGCCTTCGTTGGAAACGGGATTTCTTCATATTATGCTAGACAGATGAATTCTCAGTAACTTCCTTGTGTTGTGTGTATTCAACTCACAGAGTTGAACGATCCTTTACACAGAGCAGATTTGAAACACTGTTTTTCTGGAATTTGCAAGTGGAGATTTCAGCCGCTTTGAGGTCAATGGTAGAAAAAGAAATATCTTCGTATAAAAACTAGACAGAATGATTCTCAGAAACTCCTTTGTGATGTGTGCGTTCAACTCACAGAGTTTAACCTTTCTTTTCACAGAGCAGTTAGGAAACACTCTGTTTGTGAAGCCTGCCAGTGGATATTCGGACCTCTTTGAGGCCTTCGTTGGAAACGGGATTTCTTCATATTTTGCTAGACAGAAGATTTCTCAGTAACTTCTTTGTGTTGTGTGTATGCAACTCACAGAGTTCAACCTTCCTTTAGACAGAGCAGATTTGAAACACTCTTTTTGTGGAATTTGCAAGTGGAGATTTCAAGCGCTTCGATGCCAATGGTAGAAAAGGAAATATCTTCGTATAAAAACAAGACAAACTCGTTCCCAGACACTGCGTAGTGATGTGTGTGTTTAACTCACAGAGTTTAACCTTTCTTTTCATACAGCATTCTGGAAACCCTCTGTTTGTAAAGTCTGCAAGTGGATATTTGGACCTCTTAGATGCCTTCGTTGGAAACGGGATTTCTTCATATAATGCTAGAGGGAAGAATTCTTAGTAACTTCTTTGTGTTGTGTGTATTCAACTGACAGAGTTGAACCTTCCTTTAGACAGAGCAGATTTGAAAGTCTCTTTTTGTGGAATTTGCAAGTGGAGATTTCAAGCGCTTTGAGGCCAAAAGCAGAAAAGGAAATATTTTCCTATAAAAACTCGACAGAATCTTTCTCAGAAACTGCTCTGGGATGTGTGCGTTCAACTCACAGAGTTTAACTTTTCTTTTCATTCAGCAGTTTGGAAACACTCTGTTTGGAAAGTCTGCACGTGGATATTTTGACCTCTTTGAGGCCTTCGTTGGAAACGGGTTTTTTTCATGTAAGGCTAGACAGAAGAAATCTCAGTAACTTCCTTGTGTTGTGTGTATTCAACTGACAGAGTTGAACCTTCTTTTAGACAGAGCAGATTCGAAACACTCTTTTTCTGCAATTTGCAAGTGGAGACTTCAAGCGCTTTGAGGCCAAAGGCAGAAAAGGAAATATCTTCGTATAAAAACCCGACAGAATCATTCTCAGAAACTGCTCTGTGATGTGTGCGTTCAACTCACAGAGTTTAACTTTTCTTTTCATTCAGCAGTTTGGAAACACTCTGTTTGTAAAGTCTGCAAGTGGATATCTTGGCCTCTTAGAGGCCTTCGTTGGAAACGGGTTTTTTCATGTAAGGTTAGACAGAGGAATTCCCAGTAACTTCCTTGTGTTGTGTGCATTCAACTCACAGAGTTGAATGATTCTTTACACAGAGCAGATTTGAGACACTCTTTTGGTGGAATTTGTAAGTGGAGAATTCAGCCGCTTTGAGGTCAACGGTAGAAAAGGAAATATCTTCGTATAAAAACTAGACAGAATGATTCTCAGAAACTGTTTTGTGATGTGTGCGTTCAACTCACAGAGTTTAACCTTTCTTTTCAAAGAGCAGTTAGGAAACACTCTGTTTGTAAAGTCTGCAAGTGGATATTCAGACCTCTTTGAGGCCTTCGTTGGAAACGGGATTTCTTCATATTATGCTAGACAGATGAATTCTCAGTAACTTCCTTGTGTTGTGTGTATTCAACTCACAGAGTTGAACGATCCTTTACACAGAGCAGATTTGAAACACTGTTTTTCTGGAATTTGCAAGTGGAGATTTCAGCCGCTTTGAGGTCAATGGTAGAAAAGGAAATATCTTCGTATAAAAACTAGACAGAATGATTCTCAGAAACTCCTTTGTGATGTGTGCGTTCAACTCACAGAGTTTAACCTTTCTTTTCACAGAGCAGTTAGGAAACACTCTGTTTGTGAAGCCTGCCAGTGGATATTCGGACCTCTTTGAGGCCTTCGTTGGAAACGGGATTTCTTCATATTATGCTAGACAGAAGATTTCTCAGTAACTTCTTTGTGTTGTGTGTATGCAACTCACAGAGTTCAACCTTCCTTTAGACAGAGCAGATTTGAAACACTCTTTTTGTGGAATTTGCAAGTGGAGATTTCAAGCGCTTCGATGCCAATGGTAGAAAAGGAAATATCTTCGTATAAAAACAAGACAAACTCGTTCCCAGACACTGCGTAGTGATGTGTGTGTTTAACTCACAGAGTTTAACCTTTCTTTTCATACAGCATTCTGGAAACCCTGTGTTTGTAAAGTCTGCAAGTGGATATTTGGACCTCTTAGATGCCTTCGTTGGAAACGGGATTTCTTCATATAATGCTAGAGGGAAGAATTCTTAGTAACTTCTTTGTGTTGTGTGTATTCAACTGACAGAGTTGAACCTTTCCTTTAGACAGAGCAGATTTGAAAGTCTCTTTTTGTGGAATTTGCAAGTGGAGATTTCAAGCGCTTTGAGGCCAAAAGCAGAAAAGGAAATATTTTCCTATAAAAACTAGACAGAATCTTTCTCAGAAACTGCTCTGGGATGTGTGCGTTCAACTCACAGAGTTTAACTTTTCTTTTCATTCAGCAGTTTGGAAACACTCTGTTTGGAAAGTCTGCACGTGGATATTTTGACCTCTTTGAGGCCTTCGTTGGAAACGGGTTTTTTTCATGTAAGGCTAGACAGAAGAAATCTCAGTAACTTCCTTGTGTTGTGTGTATTCAACTGACAGAGTTGAACCTTCCTTTAGACAGAGCAGATTCGAAACACTCTTTTTCTGCAATTTGCAAGTGGAAACTTCAAGCGCTTTGAGGCCAAAGGCAGAAAAGGAAATATCTTCGTATAAAAACCCGACAGAATCATTCTCAGAAACTGCTCTGTGATGTGTGCGTTCAACTCACAGAGTTTAACTTTTCTTTTCATTCAGCAGTTTGGAAACACTCTGTTTGTAAAGTCTGCAAGTGGATATCTTGGCCTCTTAGAGGCCTTCGTTGGAAACGGGTTTTTTCATGTAAGGATAGACAGAGGAATTCCCAGTAACTTCCTTGTGTTGTGTGCATTCAACTCACAGAGTTGAATGATTCTTTACACAGAGCAGATTTGAGACACTCTTTTGGTGGAATTTGAAAGTGGAGAATTCAGCCGCTTTGAGGTCAACGGTAGAAAAGGAAATATCTTCGTATAAAAACTAGACAGAATGATTCTCAGAAACTGTTTTGTGATGTGTGCGTTCAACTCACAGAGTTTAACCTTTCTTTTCAAAGAGCAGTTAGGAAACACTCTGTTTGTAAAGTCTGCAAGTGGATATTCAGACCTCTTTGAGGCCTTCGTTGGAAACGGGATTTCTTCATATTATGCTAGACAGATGAATTCTCAGTAACTTCCTTGTGTTGTGTGTATTCAACTCACAGAGTTGAACGATCCTTTACACAGAGCAGATTTGAAACACTGTTTTTCTGGAATTTGCAAGTGGAGATTTCAGCCGCTTTGAGGTCAATGGTAGAAAAGGAAATATCTTCGTATAAAAACTAGACAGAATGATTCTCAGAAACTCCTTTGTGATGTGTGCGTTCAACTCACAGAGTTTAACCTTTCTTTTCACAGAGCAGTTAGGAAACACTCTGTTTGTGAAGCCTGCCAGTGGATATTCGGACCTCTTTGAGGCCTTCGTTGGAAACGGGATTTCTTCATATTATGCTAGACAGAAGATTTCTCAGTAACTTCTTTGTGTTGTGTGTATGCAACTCACAGAGTTCAACCTTCCTTTAGACAGAGCAGATTTGAAACACTCTTTTTGTGGAATTTGCAAGTGGAGATTTCAAGCGCTTCGATGCCAATGGTAGAAAAGGAAATATCTTCGTATAAAAACAAGACAAACTCGTTCCCAGACACTGCGTAGTGATGTGTGTGTTTAACTCACAGAGTTTAACCTTTCTTTTCATACAGCATTCTGGAAACCCTCTGTTTGTAAAGTCTGCAAGTGGATATTTGGACCTCTTAGATGCCTTCGTTGGAAACGGGATTTCTTCATATAATGCTAGAGGGAAGAATTCTTAGTAACTTCTTTGTGTTGTGTGTATTCAACTGACAGAGTTGAACCTTCCTTTAGACAGAGCAGATTTGAAAGTCTCTTTTTGTGGAATTTGCAAGTGGAGATTTCAAGCGCTTTGAGGCCAAAAGCAGAAAAGGAAATATTTTCCTATAAAAACTAGACAGAATCATTCTCAGAAACTGCTCTGTGATGTGTGTGTTCAACTCACAGAGTTTAACTTTCTTTTCATTCAGCAGTTTGGAAACACTCTGTTTGGAAAGTCTGCACGTGGATATTTTGACCTCTTTGAGGCCTTCGTTGGAAACGGGTTTTTTCATGTAAGGCTAGACAGAAGAAATCTCAGTAACTTCCTTGTGTTGTGTGTATTCAACTGACAGAGTTGAACCTTCCTTTAGACAGAGCAGATTCGAAACACTCTTTTTCTGCAATTTCCAAGTGGAGACTTCAAGCGCTTTGAGGCCAAAGGCAGAAAAGGAAATATCTTCGTATAAAAACCCGACAGAATCATTCTCAGAAACTGCTCTGTGATGTGTGCGTTCAACTCACAGAGTTTAACTTTTCTTTTCATTCAGCAGTTTGGAAACACTCTGTTTGTAAAGTCTGCAAGTGGATATCTTGGCCTCTTAGAGGCCTTCGTTGGAAACGGGTTTTTTCATGTAAGGATAGACAGAGGAATTCCCAGTAACTTCCTTGTGTTGTGTGCATTCAACTCACAGAGTTGAATGATTCTTTACACAGAGCAGATTTGAGACACTCTTTGGGTGGAATTTGTAAGTGGAGAATTCAGCCGCTTTGAGGTCAACGGTAGAAAAGGAAATATCTTCGTATAAAATCTAGACAGAATGATTCTCAGAAACTGTTTTGTGATGTGTGCGTTCAACTCACAGAGTTTAACCTTTCTTTTCAAAGAGCAGTTAGGAAACACTCTGTTTGTAAAGTCTGCAAGTGGATATTCAGACCTCTTTGAGGCCTTCGTTGGAAACGGGATTTCTTCATATTATGCTAGACAGATGAATTCTCAGTAACTTCCTTGTGTTGTGTGTATTCAACTCACAGAGTTGAACGATCCTTTACACAGAGCAGATTTGAAACACTGTTTTTCTGGAATTTGCAAGTGGAGATTTCAGCCGCTTTGAGGTCAATGGTAGAAAAAGAAATATCTTCGTATAAAAACTAGACAGAATGATTCTCAGAAACTCCTTTGTGATGTGTGCGTTCAACTCACAGAGTTTAACCTTTCTTTTCACAGAGCAGTTAGGAAACACTCTGTTTGTGAAGCCTGCCAGTGGATATTCGGACCTCTTTGAGGCCTTCGTTGGAAACGGGATTTCTTCATATTATGCTAGACAGAAGATTTCTCAGTAACTTCTTTGTGTTGTGTGTATGCAACTCACAGAGTTCAACCTTCCTTTAGACAGAGCAGATTTGAAACACTCTTTTTGTGGAATTTGCAAGTGGAGATTTCAAGCGCTTCGATGCCAATGGTAGAAAAGGAAATATCTTCGTATAAAAACAAGACAAACTCGTTCCCAGACACTGCGTAGTGATGTGTGTGTTTAACTCACAGAGTTTAACCTTTCTTTTCATACAGCATTCTGGAAACCCTCTGTTTGTAAAGTCTGCAAGTGGATATTTGGACCTCTTAGATGCCTTCGTTGGAAACGGGATTTCTTCATATAATGCTAGAGGGAAGAATTCTTAGTAACTTCTTTGTGTTGTGTGTATTCAACTGACAGAGTTGAACCTTCCTTTAGACAGAGCAGATTTGAAAGTCTCTTTTTGTGGAATTTGCAAGTGGAGATTTCAAGCGCTTTGAGGCCAAAAGCAGAAAAGGAAATATTTTCCTATAAAAACTCGACAGAATCTTTCTCAGAAACTGCTCTGGGATGTGTGCGTTCAACTCACAGAGTTTAACTTTTCTTTTCATTCAGCAGTTTGGAAACACTCTGTTTGGAAAGTCTGCACGTGGATATTTTGACCTCTTTGAGGCCTTCGTTGGAAACGGGTTTTTTTCATGTAAGGCTAGACAGAAGAAATCTCAGTAAATTCCCTTGTGTTGTGTGTATTCAACTGACAGAGTTGAACCTTCCTTTAGACAGAGCAGATTCGAAACACTCTTTTTCTGCAATTTGCAAGTGGAGACTTCAAGCGCTTTGAGGCCAAAGGCAGAAAAGGAAATATCTTCGTATAAAAACCCGACAGAATCATTCTCAGAAACTGCTCTGTGATGTGTGCGTTCAACTCACAGAGTTTAACTTTTCTTTTCATTCAGCAGTTTGGAAACACTCTGTTTGTAAAGTCTGCAAGTGGATATCTTGGCCTCTTAGAGGCCTTCGTTGGAAACGGGTTTTTTCATGTAAGGATAGACAGAGGAATTCCCAGTAACTTCCTTGTGTTGTGTGCATTCAACTCACAGAGTTGAATGATTCTTTACACAGAGCAGATTTGAGACACTCTTTTGGTGGAATTTGTAAGTGGAGAATTCAGCCGCTTTGAGGTCAACGGTAGAAAAGGAAATATCTTCGTATAAAAACTAGACAGAATGATTCTCAGAAACTGTTTTGTGATGTGTGCGTTCAACTCACAGAGTTTAACCTTTCTTTTCAAAGAGCAGTTAGGAAACACTCTGTTTGTAAAGTCTGCAAGTGGATATTCAGACCTCTTTGAGGCCTTCGTTGGAAACGGGATTTCTTCATATTATGCTAGACAGATGAATTCTCAGTAACTTCCTTGTGTTGTGTGTATTCAACTCACAGAGTTGAACGATCCTTTACACAGAGCAGATTTGAAACACTGTTTTTCTGGAATTTGCAAGTGGAGATTTCAGCCGCTTTGAGGTCAATGGTAGAAAAGGAAATATCTTCGTATAAAAACTAGACAGAATGATTCTCAGAAACTCCTTTGTGATGTGTGCGTTCAACTCACAGAGTTTAACCTTTCTTTTCACAGAGCAGTTAGGAAACACTCTGTTTGTGAAGCCTGCCAGTGGATATTCGGACCTCTTTCAGGCCTTCGTTGGAAACGGGATTTCTTCATATTATGCTAGACAGAAGATTTCTCAGTAACTTCTTTGGGTTGTGTGTATGCAACTCACAGAGTTCAACCTTCCTTTAGAGAGAGCATATTTGAAACACTCTTTTTGTGGAATTTGCAAGTGGAGATTTCAAGCGCTTCGATGCCAATGGTAGAAAAGGAAATATCTTCGTATAAAAACAAGACAAACTCGTTCCCAGACACTGCGTAGTGATGTGTGTGTTTAACTCACAGAGTTTCACCTTTCTTTTCATACAGCATTCTGGAAACCCTGTGTTTGTAAAGTCTGCAAGTGGATATTTGGACCTCTTAGATGCCTTCGTTGGAAACGGGATTTCTTCATATAATGCTAGAGGGAAGAATTCTTAGTAACTTCTTTGTGTTGTGTGTATTCAACTGACAGAGTTGAACCTTCCTTTAGACAGAGCAGATTTGAAAGTCTCTTTTTGTGGAATTTGCAAGTGGAGATTTCAAGCGCTTTGAGGCCAAAAGCAGAAAAGGAAATATTTTCCTATAAAAACTAGACAGAATCATTCTCAGAAACTGCTCTGTGATGTGTGTGTTCAACTCACAGAGTTTAACTTTCTTTTCATTCAGCAGTTTGGAAACATTCTGTTTGGAAAGTCTGCACGTGGATATTTTGACCTCTTTGAGGCCTTCGTTGGAAACGGGTTTTTTTCATGTAAGGCTAGACAGAAGAAATCTCAGTAACTTCCTTGTGTTGTGTGTATTCAACTGACAGAGTTGAACCTTCCTTTAGACAGAGCAGATTCGAAACACTCTTTTTCTGCAATTTGCAAGTGGAGACTTCAAGCGCTTTGAGGCCAAAGGCAGAAAAGGAAATATCTTCGTATAAAAACCCGACAGAATCATTCTCAGAAACTGCTCTGTGATGTGTGCGTTCAACTCACAGAGTTTAACTTTTCTTTTCATTCAGCAGTTTGGAAACACTCTGTTTGTAAAGTCTGCAAGTGGATATCTTGGCCTCTTAGAGGCCTTCGTTGGAAACGCGTTTTTTCATGTAAGGTTAGACAGAGGAATTCCCAGTAACTTCCTTGTGTTGTGTGCATTCAACTCACAGAGTTGAATGATTCTTTACACAGAGCTGATTTGAGACACACTTTTGGTGGAATTTGTAAGTGGAGAATTCAGCCGCTTTGAGGTCAACGGTAGAAAAGGAAATATCTTCGTATAAAAACTAGAAAGAATGATTCTCAGAAACTGTTTTGTGATGTGTGCGTTCAACTCACAGAGTTTAACCTTTCTTTTCAAAGAGCAGTTAGGAAACACTCTGTTTGTAAAGTCTGCAAGTGGATATTCAGACCTACTTTAAAGCCTTCGTTGGAAACGGGATTTCATCATATTATGCTAGACAGATGAATTCTCAGTAACTTCCTTGTGTTGTGTGTATTCAACTCACAGAGTTGAACGATCCTTTACACAGAGCAGATTTGAAACACTGTTTTTCTGGAATTTGCAAGTGGAGATTTCAGCCGCTTTGAGGTCAATGGTAGAAAAGGAAATATCTTCGTATAAAAACTAGACAGAATGATTCTCAGAAACTCCTTTGTGATGTGTGCGTTCAACTCACAGAGTTTAACCTTTCTTTTCACAGAGCAGTTAGGAAACACTCTGTTTGTGAAGCCTGCCAGTGGATATTCGGACCTCTTTGAGGCCTTCGTTGGAAACGGGATTTCTTCATATTATGCTAGACAGAAGATTTCTCAGTAACTTCTTTGGGTTGTGTGTATGCAACTCACAGAGTTCAACCTTCCTTTAGAGAGAGCATATTTGAAACACTCTTTTTGTGGAATTTGCAAGTGGAGATTTCAAGCGCTTCGATGCCAATGGTAGAAAAGGAAATATCTTCGTATAAAAACAAGACAAACTCGTTCCCAGACACTGCGTAGTGATGTGTGTGTTTAACTCACAGAGTTTAACCTTTCTTTTCATACAGCATTCTGGAAACCTTGTGTTTGTAAAGTCTGCAAGTGGATATTTGGACCTCTTAGATGCCTTCGTTGGAAACGGGATTTCTTCATATAATGCTAGAGGGAAGAATTCTTAGTAACTTCTTTGTGTTGTGTGTATTCAACTGACAGAGTTGAACCTTCCTTTAGACAGAGCAGATTTGAAAGTCTCTTTTTGTGGAATCTGCAAGTGGAGATTTCAAGCGCTTTGAGGCCGAAAGCAGAAAAGGAAATATTTTCCTATAAAAACTCGACAGAATCTTTCTCAGAAACTGCTCTGGGACGTGTGCGTTCAACTCACAGAGTTTAACTTTTCTTTTCATTCAGCAGTTTGGAAACACTCTGTTTGGAAAGTCTGCACGTGGATATTTTGACCTGCTTTGAGGCCTTTGTTGGAAACGGGTTTTTTTCATGTAAGGCTAGACAGAAGAAATCTCAGTAACTTCCTTGTGTTGTGTGTATTCAACTGACAGAGTTGAACCTTCCTTTAGACAGAGCAGATTCGAAACACTCTTTTTCTGCAATTTGCAAGTGGAGACTTCAAGCGCTTTGAGGCCAAAGGCAGAAAAGGAAATATCTTCGTATAAAAACCCGACAGAATCATTCTCAGAAACTGCTCTGTGATGTGTGCGTTCAACTCACAGAGTTTAACTTTTCTTTTCATTCAGCAGTTTGGAAACACTCTGTTTGTAAAGTCTGCAAGTGGATATCTTGGCCTCTTAGAGGCCTTCGTTGGAAACGGGTTTTTTCATGTAAGGTTAGACAGAGGAATTCCCAGTAACTTCCTTGTGTTGTGTGCATTCAACTCACAGAGTTGAATGATTCTTTACACAGAGCAGATTTGAGACACTCTTTTGGTGGAATTTGTAAGTGGAGAATTCAGCCGCTTTGAGGTCAACGGTAGAAAAGGAAATATCTTCGTATAAAAACTAGACAGAATGATTCTCAGAAACTGTTTTGTGATGTGTGCGTTCAACTCACAGAGTTTAACCTTTCTTTTCAAAGAGCAGTTAGGAAACACTCTGTTTGTAAAGTCTGCAAGTGGATATTCAGACCTCTTTGAGGCCTTCGTTGGAAACGGGATTTCTTCATATTATGCTAGACAGATGAATTCTCAGTAACTTCCTTGTGTTGTGTGTATTCAACTCACAGAGTTGAACGATCCTTTACACAGAGCAGATTTGAAACACTGTTTTTCTGGAATTTGCAAGTGGAGATTTCAGCCGCTTTGAGGTCAATGGTAGAAAAGGAAATATCTTCGTATAAAAACTAGACAGAATGATTCTCAGAAACTCCTTTGTGATGTGTGCGTTCAACTCACAGAGTTTAACCTTTCTTTTCACAGAGCAGTTAGGAAACACTCTGTTTGTGAAGCCTGCCAGTGGATATTCGGACCTCTTTGAGGCCTTCGTTGGAAACGGGATTTCTTCATATTATGCTAGACAGAAGATTTCTCAGTAACTTCTTTGTGTTGTGTGTATGCAACTCACAGAGTTCAACCTTCCTTTAGACAGAGCAGATTTGAAACACTCTTTTTGTGGAATTTGCAAGTGGAGATTTCAAGCGCTTCGATGCCAATGGTAGAAAAGGAAATATCTTCGTATAAAAACAAGACAAACTCGTTCCCAGACACTGCGTAGTGATGTGTGTGTTTAACTCACAGAGTTTCACCTTTCTTTTCATACAGCATTCTGGAAACCCTCTGTTTGTAAAGTCTGCAAGTGGATATTTGGACCTCTTAGATGCCTTCGTTGGAAACGGGATTTCTTCATATAATGCTAGAGGGAAGAATTCTTAGTAACTTCTTTGTGTTGTGTGTATTCAACTGACAGAGTTGAACCTTCCTTTAGACAGAGCAGATTTGAAAGTCTCTTTTTGTGGAATTTGCAAGTGGAGATTTCAAGCGCTTTGAGGCCAAAAGCAGAAAAGGAAATATTTTCCTATAAAAACTCGACAGAATCTTTCTCAGAAACTGCTCTGGGATGTGTGCGTTCAACTCACAGAGTTTAACTTTTCTTTTCATTCAGCAGTTTGGAAACACTCTGTTTGGAAAGTCTGCACGTGGATATTTTGACCTCTTTGAGGCCTTCGTTGGAAACGGGTTTTTTTCATGTAAGGCTAGACAGAAGAAATCTCAGTAACTTCCTTGTGTTGTGTGTATTCAACTGACAGAGTTGAACCTTCCTTTAGACAGAGCAGATTCGAAACGCTCTTTTTCTGCAATTTGCAAGTGGAGACTTCAAGCGCTTTGAGGCCAAAGGCAGAAAAGGAAATATCTTCGTATAAAAACCCGACAGAATCATTCTCAGAAACTGCTCTGTGATGTGTGCGTTCAACTCACAGAGTTTAACTTTTCTTTTCATTCAGCAGTTTGGAAACACTCTGTTTGTAAAGTCTGCAAGTGGATATCTTGGCCTCTTAGAGGCCTTCGTTGGAAACGGGTTTTTTCATGTAAGGTTAGACAGAGGAATTCCCACTAACTTCCTTGTGTTGTGTGCATTCAACTCACAGAGTTGAATGATTCTTTACACAGAGCAGATTTGAGACACTCTTTTGGTGGAATTTGTAAGTGGAGAATTCAGCCGCTTTGAGGTCAACGGTAGAAAAGGAAATATCTTCGTATAAAAACTAGACAGAATGATTCTCAGAAACTGTTTTGTGATGTGTGCGTTCAACTCACAGAGTTTAACCTTTCTTTTCAAAGAGCAGTTAGGAAACACTCTGTTTGTAAAGTCTGCAAGTGGATATTCAGACCTCTTTGAGGCCTTCGTTGGAAACGGGATTTCTTCATATTATGCTAGACAGATGAATTCTCAGTAACTTCCTTGTGTTGTGTGTATTCAACTCACAGAGTTGAACGATCCTTTACACAGAGCAGATTTGAAACACTGTTTTTCTGGAATTTGCAAGTGGAGATTTCAGCCGCTTTGAGGTCAATGGTAGAAAAGGAAATATCTTCGTATAAAAACTAGACAGAATGATTCTCAGAAACTCCTTTGTGATGTGTGCGTTCAACTCACAGAGTTTAACCTTTCTTTTCACAGAGCAGTTAGGAAACACTCTGTTTGTGAAGCCTGCCAGTGGATATTCGGACCTCTTTGAGGCCTTCGTTGGAAACGGGATTTCTTCATATTATGCTAGACAGAAGATTTCTCAGTAACTTCTTTGTGTTGTGTGTATGCAACTCACAGAGTTCAACCTTCCTTTAGACAGAGCAGATTTGAAACACTCTTTTTGTGGAATTTGCAAGTGGAGATTTCAAGCGCTTCGATGCCAATGGTAGAAAAGGAAATATCTTCGTATAAAAACAAGACAAACTCGTTCCCAGACACTGCGTAGTGATGTGTGTGTTTAACTCACAGAGTTTAACCTTTCTTTTCATACAGCATTCTGGAAACCCTGTGTTTGTAAAGTCTGCAAGTGGATATTTGGACCTCTTAGATGCCTTCGTTGGAAACGGGATTTCTTCATATAATGCTAGAGGGAAGAATTCTTAGTAACTTCTTTGTGTTGTGTGTATTCAACTGACAGAGTTGAACCTTCCTTTAGACAGAGCAGATTTGAAAGTCTCTTTTTGTGGAATTTGCAAGTGGAGATTTCAAGCGCTTTGAGGCCAAAAGCAGAAAAGGAAATATTTTCCTATAAAAACTAGACAGAATCATTCTCAGAAACTGCTCTGTGATGTGTGCGTTCAACTCACAGAGTTTAACTTTTCTTTTCATTCAGCAGTTTGGAAACACTCTGTTTGGAAAGTCTGCACGTGGATATTTTGACCTCTTTGAGGCCTTCGTTGGAAACGGGTTTTTATCATGTAAGGCTAGACAGAAGAAATCTCAGTAACTTCCTTGTGTTGTGTGTATTCAACTGACAGAGTTGAACCTTCCTTTAGACAGAGCAGATTCGAAACACTCTTTTTCTGCAATTTGCAAGTGGAGACTTCAAGCGCTTTGAGGCCAAAGGCAGAAAAGGAAATATCTTCGTATAAAAACCCGACAGAATCATTCTCAGAAACTGCTCTGTGATGTGTGCGTTCAACTCACAGAGTTTAACTTTTCTTTTCATTCAGCAGTTTGGAAACACTCTGTTTGTAAAGTCTGCAAGTGGATATCTTGGCCTCTTAGAGGCCTTCGTTGGAAACGGGTTTTTTCATGTAAGGTTAGACAGAGGAATTCCCAGTAACTTCCTTGTGTTGTGTGCATTCAACTCACAGAGTTGAATGATTCTTTACACAGAGCAGATTTGAGACACTCTTTTGGTGGAATTTGTAAGTGGAGAATTCAGCCGCTTTGAGGTCAACGGTAGAAAAGGAAATATCTTCGTATAAAAACTAGACAGAATGATTCTCAGAAACTGTTTTGTGATGTGTGCGTTCAACTCACAGAGTTTAACCTTTCTTTTCAAAGAGCAGTTAGGAAACACTCTGTTTGTAAAGTCTGCAAGTGGATATTCAGACCTCTTTGAGGCCTTCGTTGGAAACGGGATTTCTTCATATTATGCTAGACAGATGAATTCTCAGTAACTTCCTTGTGTTGTGTGTATTCAACTCACAGAGTTGAACGATCCTTTACACAGAGCAGATTTGAAACACTGTTTTTCTGGAATTTGCAAGTGGAGATTTCAGCCGCTTTGAGGTCAATGGTAGAAAAGGAAATATCTTCGTATAAAAACTAGACAGAATGATTCTCAGAAACTCCTTTGTGATGTGTGCGTTCAACTCACAGAGTTTAACCTTTCTTTTCACAGAGCAGTTAGGAAACACTCTGTTTGTGAAGCCTGCCAGTGGATATTCGGACCTCTTTGAGGCCTTCGTTGGAAACGGGATTTCTTCATATTATGCTAGACAGAAGATTTCTCAGTAACTTCTTTGTGTTGTGTGTATGCAACTCACAGAGTTCAACCTTCCTTTAGACAGAGCAGATTTGAAACACTCTTTTTGTGGAATTTGCAAGTGGAGATTTCAAGCGCTTCGATGCCAATGGTAGAAAAGGAAATATCTTCGTATAAAAACAAGACAAACTCGTTCCCAGACACTGCGTAGTGATGTGTGTGTTTAACTCACAGAGTTTCACCTTTCTTTTCATACAGCATTCTGGAAACCCTCTGTTTGTAAAGTCTGCAAGTCGATATTTGGACCTCTTAGATGCCTTCGTTGGAAACGGGATTTCTTCATATAATGCTAGAGGGAAGAATTCTTAGTAACTTCTTTGTGTTGTGTGTATTCAACTGACAGAGTTGAACCTTCCTTTAGACAGAGCAGATTTGAAAGTCTCTTTTTGTGGAATTTGCAAGTGGAGATTTCAAGCGCTTTGAGGCCAAAAGCAGAAAAGGAAATATTTTCCTATAAAAACTAGACAGAATCATTCTCAGAAACTGCTCTGTGATGTGTGCGTTCAACTCACAGAGTTTAACTTTTCTTTTCAATCAGCAGTTTGGAAACACTGTTTGGAAAGTCTGCACGTGGATATTTTGACCTCTTAGAGGCCTTCGTTGGAAACGGGTTTTTTTCATGTAAGGCTAGACAGAAGAAATCTCAGTAACTTCCTTGTGTTGTGTGTATTCAACTGACAGAGTTGAACCTTCCTTTAGACAGAGCAGATTCGAAACACTCTTTTTCTGCAATTTGCAAGTGGAGACTTCAAGCGCTTTGAGGCCAAAGGCAGAAAAGGAAATATCTTCGTATAAAAACCCGACAGAATCATTCTCAGAAACTGCTCTGTGATGTGTGCGTTCAACTCACAGAGTTTAACTTTTCTTCTCATTCAGCAGTTTGGAAACACTCTGTTTGTAAAGTCTGCAAGTGGATATCTTGGCCTCTTAGAGGCCTTCGTTGGAAACGGGTTTTTTCATGTAAGGATAGACAGAGGAATTCCCAGTAACTTCCTTGTGTTGTGTGCATTCAACTCACAGAGTTGAACGATTCTTTACACAGAGCAGATTTGAGACACTCTTTTGGTGGAATTTGTAAGTGGAGAATTCAGCCGCTTTGAGGTCAACGGTAGAAAAGGAAATATCTTCGTATAAAAACTAGACAGAATGATTCTCAGAAACTGTTTTGTGATGTGTGCGTTCAACTCACAGAGTTTAACCTTTCTTTTCAAAGAGCAGTTAGGAAACACTCTGTTTGTAAAGTCTGCAAGTGGATATTCAGACCTACTTTGAGGCCTTCGTTGGAAACGGGATTTCTTCATATTATGCTAGACAGATGAATTCTCAGTAACTTCCTTGTGTTGTGTGTATTCAACTCACAGAGTTGAACGATCCTTTACACAGAGCAGATTTGAAACACTGTTTTTCTGGAATTTGCAAGTGGAGATGTCAGCCGCTTTGAGGTCAATGGTAGAAAAGGAAATATCTTCGTATAAAAACTAGACAGAATGATTCTCAGAAACTCCTTTGTGATGTGTGCGTTCAACTCACAGAGTTTAACCTTTCTTTTCACAGAGCAGTTAGGAAACACTCTGTTTGTGAAGCCTGCCAGTGGATAATCGGACCTCTTTGAGGCCTTCGTTGGAAACGGGATTTCTTCATATTATGCTAGACAGAAGATTTCTCAGTAACTTCTTTGTGTTGTGTGTATGCAACTCACAGAGTTCAACCTTCCTTTAGACAGAGCAGATTTGAAACACTCTTTTTGTGGAATTTGCAAGTGGAGATTTCAAGCGCTTCGATGCCAATGGTAGAAAAGGAAATATCTTCGTATAAAAACAAGACAAACTCGTTCCCAGACACTGCGTAGTGATGTGTGTGTTTAACTCACAGAGTTTAACCTTTCTTTTCATACAGCATTCTGGAAACCCTGTGTTTGTAAAGTCTGCAAGTGGATATTTGGACCTCTTAGATGCCTTCGTTGGAAACGGGATTTCTTCATATAATGCTAGAGGGAAGAATTCTTAGTAACTTCTTTGTGTTGTGTGTATTCAACTGACAGAGTTGAACCTTCCTTTAGACAGAGCAGATTTGAAAGTCTCTTTTTGTGGAATTTGCAAGTGGAGATTTCAAGCGCTTTGAGGCCAAAAGCAGAAAAGGAAATATTTTCCTATAAAAACTAGACAGAATCATTCTCAGAAACTTCTCTGGGATGTGTGCGTTCAACTCACAGAGTTTAACTTTTCTTTTCATTCAGCAGTTTGGAAACACTCTGTTTGGAAAGTCTGCACGTGGATATTTTGACCTCTTTGAGGCCTTCGTTGGAAACGGGTTTTTTTCATGTAAGGCTAGACAGAAGAAATCTCAGTAACTTCCTTGTGTTGTGTGTATTCAACTGACAGAGTTGAACCTTCCTTTAGACAGAGCAGATTCGAAACACTCTTTTTCTGCAATTTGCAAGTGGAGACTTCAAGCGCTTTGAGGCCAAAGGCAGAAAAGGAAATATCTTCGTATAAAAACCCGACAGAATCATTCTCAGAAACTGCTCTGTGATGTGTGCGTTCAACTCACAGAGTTTAACTTTTCTTTTCATTCAGCAGTTTGGAAACAGTCTGTTTGTAAAGTCTGCAAGTGGATATATTGGCCTCTTTGAGGCCTTCGTTGGAAACGGGTTTTTTTCATGTAAGGCTAGACAGAGGAATTCCCAGTAACTTCCTTGTGTTGTGTGCATTCAACTCACAGAGTTGAATGATTCTTCACACAGAGGAGATTTGAGACACTCTTTTGGTGGAATTTGTAATTGGAGAAATCAGCAGCTTTGAGGTCAATGGTAGAAAAGGAAATATCTTCGTATAAAAACTAGACAGAATGATTCTCAGAAACTGTTTTGTGATATGTGCGTTCAACTCACAGAGTTTAACCTTTCTTTTCAAAGAGCAGTTAGGAAACACTCTGTAAAGTCTGCAAGTGGATATTCAGACCCCTTTGAGGCCTTCGTTGGAAACGGGATTTCTTCATATAATGCTAGAGGGATGAATTCTCAGTAACTTCCTTGTGTTGTGTGTATTCAACTCACAGAGTTGAACGATCCTTTACACAGAGCAGATTTGAAACACTGTTTTTCTGGAATTTGCAAGTGGAGATTTCAGCCGCTTTGAGGTCAATGGTAGAAAAGGAAATATCTTCGTATAAAAACTAGACAGAATGATTCTCAGAAACTCCTTTGTGATGTGTGCGTTCAACTCACAGAGTTTAACCTTTCTTTTCACAGAGCAGTTAGGAAACACTCTGTTTGTGAAGCCTGCCAGTGGATATTCGGACCTCTTTGAGGCCTTCGTTGGAAACGGGATTTCTTCATATTATGCTAGACAGAAGATTTCTCAGTAACTTCTTTGTGTTGTGTGTATGCAACTCACAGAGTTCAACCTTCCTTTAGACAGAGCAGATTTGAAACACTCTTTTTGTGGAATTTGCAAGTGGAGATTTCAAGCGCTTCGATGCCAATGGTAGAAAAGGAAATATCTTCGTATAAAAACAAGACAAACTCGTTCCCAGAACACTGCGTAGTGATGTGTGTGTTTAACTCACAGAGTTTAACCTTTCTTTTCATACAGCATTCTGGAAACCCTCTGTTTGTAAAGTCTGCAAGTGGATATTTGGACCTCTTAGATGCCTTCGTTGGAAACGGGATTTCTTCATATAATGCTAGAGGGAAGAATTCTTAGTAACTTCTTTGTGTTGTGTGTATTCAACTGACAGAGTTGAACCTTCCTTTAGACAGAGCAGATTTGAAAGTCTCTTTTTGTGGAATTTGCAAGTGGAGATTTCAAGCGCTTTGAGGCCAAAAGCAGAAAAGGAAATATTTTCCTATAAAAACTCGACAGAATCATTCTCAGAAACTGCTCTGTGATGTGTGTGTTCAACTCACAGAGTTTAACTTTCTTTTCATTCAGCAGTTTGGAAACACTCTGTTTGGAAAGTCTGCACGTGGATATTTTGACCTCTTTGAGGCCTTCGTTGGAAACGGGTTTTTTTCATGTAAGGCTAGACAGAGGAAATCTCAGTAACTTCCTTGTGTTGTGTGTATTCAACTGACAAGGTTGAACCTTCCTTTAGACAGAGCAGATTCCAAACACTCTTTTTCTGCAATTTGCAAGTGGAGACTTCAAGCGCTTTGAGGCCAAAGGCAGAAAAGGAAATATCTTCGTATAAAAACCCGACAGAATCATTCTCAGAAACTGCTCTGTGATGTGTGCGTTCAACTCACAGAGTTTAACTTTTCTTTTCATTCAGCAGTTTGGAAACACTCTGTTTCTAAAGTCTGCAAGTGGATATGTTGGCCTCTTAGAGGCCTTCGTTGGAAACGGGTTTTTTTCATGTAAGGTTAGACAGAGGAATTCCCAGTAACTTCCTTGTGTTGTGTGCATTCAACTCACAGTGTTGAATGATTCTTTACACAGAGCAGATTTGAGACACTCTTTTGGTGGAATTTGTAAGTGGAGAATTCAGCCGCTTTGAGGTCAATGGTAGAAAAGGAAATATCTTCGTATAAAAACTAGACAGAATGATTCTCAGAAACTGTTTTGTGATGTGTGCGTTCAACTCACAGAGTTTAACCTTTCTTTTCAAAGAGCAGTTAGGAAACACTCTGTTTGTAAAGTCTGCAAGTGGATATTTGGACCTCTTAGATGCCTTCGTTGGAAACGGGATTTCTTCATATTATGCTAGACAGAAGAATTCTCAGTAACTTCCTTGTGTTGTGTGTATTCAACTCACAGAGTTGAACGATCCTTTACACAGAGCAGATTTGAAACACTCTTTTTCTGGAATTTGCAAGTGGAGATTTCAGCCGCTTTGTGGTCAATGGTAGAAAAGGAAATATCTTCATATAAAAACTAGACAGAATGATTCTCAGAAACTCCTTTGTGATGTGTGCGTTCAACTCACAGAGTTTAACCTTTCTTTTCACAGAGCAGTTAGGAAACACTCTGTTTGTAAAGTCTGCAAGTGGATATTCAGACCTCTTTGAGGCCTTCGTTGGAAACGGGATTTCTTCATGTTATGCTAGACAGATGAATTCTCAGTAACTTCCTTGTGTTGTGTGTATTCAACTCACAGAGTTAAACGATCCTTTACACAGAGCAGATTTGAAACACTGTTTTTCTGGAATTTGCAAGTGGAGATTTCAGCCGCTTTGAGGTCAATGGTAGAAAAGGAAATATCTTCGTATAAAAACTAGACAGAATGATTCTCAGAAACTCCTTTGTGATGTGTGCGTTCAACTCACAGAGTTTAACCTTTCTTTTCACAGAGCAGTTAGGAAACACTCTGTTTGTGAAGCCTGCCAGTGGATATTCGGACCTCTTTGAGGCCTTCGTTGGAAACGGGATTTCTTCATATTATGCTAGACAGAAGATTTCTCAGTAACTTCTTTGTGTTGTGTGTATGCTACTCACAGAGTTCAACCTTCCTTTAGACAGAGCAGATTTGAAACACTCTTTTTGTGGAATTTGCAAGTGGAAATTTCAAGCGCATCGATGCCAATGGTAGAAAAGGAAACATCTTCGTATAAAAACAAGACAAACTCGTTCCCAGACACTGCGTAGTGATGTGTGTGTTTAACTCACAGAGTTTAACCTTTCTTTTCATACAACATTCTGGAAACCCTCTGTTTGTAAAGTCTGGAAGTGGATATTTGGACCTCTTAGATGCCTTCGTTGGAAACGGGATTTCTTCATATAATGCTAGAGGGAAGAATTCTTAGTAACTTCTTTGTGTTGTGTGTATTCAACTGACAGAGTTGAACCTTCCTTTAGACAGAGCAGATTTGAAAGTCTCTTTTTGTGGAATTTGCAAGTGGAGATTTCAAGCGCTTTGAGGCCAAAAGCAGAAAAGGAAATATTTTCCTATAAAAACTAGACAGAATCATTCTCAGAAACTGCTCTGGGATGTGTGCATTCAACTCACAGAGTTTAACTTTTCTTTTCATTCAGCAGTTTGGAAACACTCTGTTTGGAAAGTCTGCACGTGGATATTTTGACCTCTTTGAGGCCTTCGTTGGAAACGGGTTTTTTTCATGTAAGGCTAGACAGAAGAAATCTCAGTAACTTTCCTTGTGTTGTGTGTATTCAACTGACAGAGTTGAACCTTCTTTTAGACAGAGCAGATTCGAAACACTCTTTTTCTGCAATTTGCAAGTGGAGACTTCAAGCGCTTTGAGGCCAAAGGCAGAAAAGGAAATATCTTCGTATAAAAACCCGACAGAATCATTCTCAGAAACTGCTCTGTGATGTGTGCGTTCAACTCACAGAGTTTAACTTTTCTTTTCATTCAGCAGTTTGGAAACACTCTGTTTGTAAAGTCTGCAAGTGGATATCTTGGCCTCTTAGAGGCCTTCGTTGGAAACGGGTTTTTTCATGTAAGGTTAGACAGAGGAATTCCCAGTAACTTCCTTGTGTTGTGTGCATTCAACTCACAGAGTTGAATGATTCTTTACACAGAGCAGATTTGAGACACTCTTTTGGTGGAATTTGTAAGTGGAGAATTCAGCCGCTTTGAGGTCAACGGTAGAAAAGGAAATATCTTCGTATAAAAACTAGAAAGAATGATTCTCAGAAACTGTTTTGTGATGTGTGCGTTCAACTCACAGAGTTTAACCTTTCTTTTCAAAGAGCAGTTAGGAAACACTCTGTTTGTAAAGTCTGCAAGTGGATATTCAGACCTCTTTGAAGCCTTCGTTGGAAACGGGATTTCATCATATTATGCTAGACAGATGAATTCTCAGTAACTTCCTTGTGTTGTGTGTATTCAACTCAGAGAGTTGAACGATCCTTTACACAGAGCAGATTTGAAACACTGTTTTTCTGGAATTTGCAAGTGGAGATTTCAGCCGCTTTGAGGTCAATGGTAGAAAAGGAAATATCTTCGTATAAAAACTAGACAGAATGATTCTCAGAAACTCCTTTGTGATGTGTGCGTTCAACTCACAGAGTTTAACCTTTCTTTTCACAGAGCAGTTAGGAAACACTCTGTTTGTGAAGCCTGCCAGTGGATATTCGGACCTCTTTGAGGCCTTCGTTGGAAACGGGATTTCTTCATATTATGCTAGACAGAAGATTTCTCAGTAACTTCTTTGTGTTGTGTGTATGCAACTCACAGAGTTCAACCTTCCTTTAGACAGAGCAGATTTGAAACACTCTTTTTGTGGAATTTGCAAGTGGAGATTTCAAGCGCTTCGATGCCAATGGTAGAAAAGGAAATATCTTCGTATAAAAACAAGACAAACTCGTTCCCAGACACTGCGTAGTGATGTGTGTGTTTAACTCACAGAGTTTCACCTTTCTTTTCATACAGCATTCTGGAAACCCTGTGTTTGTAAAGTCTGCAAGTGGATATTTGGACCTCTTAGATGCCTTCGTTGGAAACGGGATTTCTTCATATAATGCTAGAGGGAAGAATTCTTAGTAACTTCTTTGTGTTGTGTGTATTCAACTGACAGAGTTGAACCTTCCTTTAGACAGAGCAGATTTGAAAGTCTCTTTTTGTGGAATTTGCAAGTGGAGATTTCAAGCGCTTTGAGGCCAAAAGCAGAAAAGGAAATATTTTCCTATAAAAACTCGACAGAATCTTTCTCAGAAACTGCTCTGGGATGTGTGCGTTCAACTCACAGAGTTTAACTTTTCTTTTCATTCAGCAGTTTGGAAACACTCTGTTTGGAAAGTCTGCACGTGGATATTTTGACCTCTTTGAGGCCTTCGTTGGAAACGGGTTTTTTTCATGTAAGGCTAGACAGAAGAAATCTCAGTAACTTCCTTGTGTTGTGTGTATTCAACTGACAGAGTTGAACCTTCCTTTAGACAGAGCAGATTTGAAACACTCTTTTTCTGCAATTTGCAAGTGGAGACTTCAAGCGCTTTGAGGCCAAAGGCAGAAAAGGAAATATCTTCGTATAAAAACCCGACAGAATCATTCTCAGAAACTGCTCTGTGATGTGTGCGTTCAACTCACAGAGTTTAACTTTTCTTTTCATTCAGCAGTTTGGAAACACTCTGTTTGTAAAGTCTGCAAGTGGATATCTTGGCCTCTTAGAGGCCTTCGTTGGAAACGGGTTTTTTCATGTAAGGATAGACAGAGGAATTCCCAGTAACTTCCTTGTGTTGTGTGCATTCAACTCACAGAGTTGAATGATTCTTTACACAGAGTAGATTTGAGACACTCTTTTGGTGGAATTTGTTAGTGGAGAATTCAGCCGCTTTGAGGTCAACGGTAGAAAAGGATATATCTTCGTATAAAAACTAGACAGAATGATTCTCAGAAACTGTTTTGTGATGTGTGCGTTCAACTCACAGAGTTTAACCTTTCTTTTCAAAGAGCAGTTAGGAAACACTCTGTTTGTAAAGTCTGCAAGTGGATATTCAGACCTCTTTGAGGCCTTCGTTGGAAACGGGATTTCTTCATATTATGCTAGACAGAGGAATTCCCAGTAACTTCTTTGTGTTGTGTGCATTCAACTCACAGAGTTGAATGATTCTTTACATAGAGCAGATTTGAGACACTCTTTTGGTGGAATTTGTAAGTGGAGAAATCAGCAGCTTTGAGGTCAATGGTAGAAAAGGAAATATCTTCGTATAAAAACTAGACAGAATGATTCTCAGAAACTCCTTTGTGATGTGTGCGTTCAACTCACAGAGTTTAACCTTTCTTTTCATAGAGCAGTTAGGAAACACTCTGTTTGGGAACTCTGCCAGTGGATATTCGGACCTCTTTAAAGCCTTCGTTGGAAAAGGGATTTCTTCATATTATGCTAGACAGAAGATTTCTGAGTAACTACTTTTTGTTGTGTGTATGCAACTCACAGAGTTCAACCTTCCTTTAGACAGAGCAGATTTGAAACAGTCTTTTTGTGGAATTTGCTTGTGGAGATTTAAGGCCCTTCGATGCCAATGGTAGAAAAGGATATATCTTCGTATAAAAACAAGACAAAATCATTCCCAGAATCTGCGTAGTGATGTGTGTGTTTAACTCACAGAGTTTAACCTTTCTTTTCATACAGCATTCTGGGAACACTCTGTTTGTAAAGTCTGCAAGTGGATATTTGGACCGCTTAGATGCCTTCGTTGGAAAAGGGATTTCTTCATATAATGCTAGAGGGAAGAATTCTTAGTAACTTCTTTGTGTTGTGTGTATTCAACTGACAGCAGTTGAACCTTCCTTTAGACAGAGCAGATTTGAAAGTCTCTTTTTGTGGAATTTGCAAGTGGAGATTTCAAGCGCTTTGAGGCCAAAAGCAGAAAAGGAAATATTTTCCTATAAAAACTAGAGAGAATCATTCTCAGAAACTGCTCTGTGATGTGTGTGTTCAACTCACAGAGTTTAACTTTCTTTTCATTCAGCAGTTTGGAAACACTCTGTTTGGAAAGTCTGCACGTGGATATTTTGACCTCTTTGAGGCCTTCGTTGGAAACGGGTTTTTTTCATGTAAGGCTAGACAGAAGAAATCTCAGTAACTTCCTTGTGTTGTGTGTATTTAACTGACAGAGTTGAACCTTCCTTTAGACAGAGCAGATTCGAAACGCTCTTTTTCTGCAATTTGCAAGTGGAGACTTCAAGCGCTTTGAGGCCAAGGCAGAAAAGGAAATATCTTCGTATAAAAACCCGACAGAATCATTCTCAGAAACTGCTCTGTGATGTGTGCGTTCAACTCACAGAGTTTAACTTTTCTTTTCATTCAGCAGTTTGGAAACACTCTGTTTGTAAAGTCTGCAAGTGGATATCTTGGCCTCTTAGAGGCCTTCGTTGGAAACGGGTTTTTTCATGTAAGGTTAGACAGAGGAATTCCCAGTAACTTCCTTGTGTTGTGTGCATTCAACTCACAGAGTTGAATGATTCTTTACACAGAGCAGATTTGAGACACACTTTTGGTGGAATTTGTAAGTGGAGAATTCAGCCGCTTTGAGGTCAACGGTAGAAAAGGAAATATCTTCGTATAAAAACTAGAAAGAATGATTCTCAGAAACTGTTTTGTGATGTGTGCGTTCAACTCACAGAGTTTAACCTTTCTTTTCAAAGAGCAGTTAGGAAACACTCTGTTTGTAAAGTCTGCAAGTGGATATTCAGACCTCTTTGAAGCCTTCGTTGGAAACGGGATTTCTTCATATTATGCTAGACAGATGAATTCTCAGTAACTTTCCTTGTGTTGTGTGTATTCAACTCACAGAGTTGAACGATCCTTTACACAGAGCAGATTTGAAACACTGTTTTTCTGGAATTTGCAAGTGGAGATTTCAGCCGCTTTGAGGTCAATGGTAGAAAAGGAAATATGCTTCGTATAAAAACTAGACAGAATGATTCTCAGAAACTCCTTTGTGATGTGTGCGTTCAACTCACAGAGTTTAACCTTTCTTTTCACAGAGCAGTTAGGAAACACTCTGTTTGTGAAGCCTGCCAGTGGATATTCGGACCTCTTTGAGGCCTTCGTTGGAAACGGGATTTCTTCATATTATGCTAGACAGAAGATTTCTCAGTAACTTCTTTGTGTTGTGTGTATGCAACTCACAGAGTTCAACCTTCCTTTAGACAGAGCAGATTTGAAACACTCTTTTTGTGGAATTTGCAAGTGGAGATTTCAAGCGCTTCGATGCCAATGGTAGAAAAGGAAATATCTTCGTATAAAAACAAGACAAACTCGTTCCCAGACACTGCGTAGTGATGTGTGTGTTTAACTCACAGAGTTTAACCTTTCTTTTCATACAGCATTCTGGAAACCCTGTGTTTGTAAAGTCTGCAAGTGGATATTTGGACCTCTTAGATGCCTTCGTTGGAAACGGGATTTCTTCATATAATGCTAGAGGGAAGAATTCTTAGTAACTTCTTTGTGTTGTGTGTATTCAACTGACAGAGTTGAACCTTCCTTTAGACAGAGCAGATTTGAAAGTCTCTTTTTGTGGAATTTGCAAGTGGAGATTTCAAGCGCTTTGAGGCCAAAAGCAGAAAAGGAAATATTTTCCTATAAAAACTAGACAGAATCTTTCTCAGAAACTGCTCTGGGATGTGTGCGTTCAACTCACAGAGTTTAACTTTTCTTTTCATTCAGCAGTTTGGAAACACTCTGTTTGGAAAGTCTGCACGTGGATATTTTGACCTCTTTGAGGCCTTCGTTGGAAACGGGTTTTTTTCATGTAAGGCTAGACAGAAGAAATCTCAGTAACTTCCTTGTGTTGTGTGTATTCAACTGACAGAGTTGAACCTTCTTTTAGACAGAGCAGATTCGAAACACTCTTTTTCTGCAATTTGCAAGTGGAGACTTCAAGCGCTTTGAGGCCAAAGGCAGAAAAGGAAATATCTTCGTATAAAAACCCGACAGAATCATTCTCAGAAACTGCTCTGTGATGTGTGCGTTCAACTCACAGAGTTTAACTTTTCTTTTCATTCAGCAGTTTGGAAACACTCTGTTTGTAAAGTCTGCAAGTGGATATATTGGCCTCTTAGAGGCCTTCGTTGGAAACGGGTTTTTTTCATCTAAGGTTAGACAGAAGGAATTCCCAGTAACTTCCTTGTGTTGTGTGCATTCAACTCACAGAGTTGAATGATTCTTTACACAGAGCACATTTGAGACACTCTTTTGGTGGAATTTGTAAGTGGAGAATTCAGCCGCTTTGAGGTCAACGATAGAAAAGCAAATATCTTCGTATAAAAACTAGACAGAATGATTCTCAGAAACTGTGTTGTGATGTGTGCGTTCAACTCACAGAGTTTAACCTTTCTTTTCAAAGAGCAGTTAGGAAACACTCTGTTTGTAAAGTCTGCAAGTGGATATTCAGACCTCTTTGAGGCCTTCGTTGGAAACGGGATTTCTTCATATTATGCTAGACAGATGAATTCTCAGTAACTTCCTTGTGTTGTGTGTATTCAACTCACAGAGTTGAACGATCCTTTACACAGAGCAGATTTGAAACACTGTTTTTCTGGAATTTGCAAGTGGAGATGTCAGCCGCTTTGAGGTCAATGGTAGAAAAGGAAATATCTTCGTATAAAAACTAGACAGAATGATTCTCAGAAACTCCTTTGTGATGTGTGCGTTCAACTCACAGAGTTTAACCTTTCTTTTCACAGAGCAGTTAGGAAACACTCTGTTTGTGAAGCCTGCCAGTGGATATTCGGACCTCTTTGAGGCCTTCGTTGGAAACGGGATTTCTTCATATTATGCTAGACAGAAGATTTCTCAGTAACTTCTTTGTGTTGTGTGTATGCAACTCACAGAGTTCAACCTTCCTTTAGACAGAGCAGATTTGAAACACTCTTTTTGTGGAATTTGCAAGTGGAGATTTCAAGCGCTTCGATGCCAATGGTAGAAAAGGAAATATCTTCGTATAAAAACAAGACAAACTCGTTCCCAGACACTGCGTAGTGATGTGTGTGTTTAACTCACAGAGTTTAACCTTTCTTTTCATACAGCATTCTGGAAACCCTGTGTTTGTAAAGTCTGCAAGTGGATATTTGGACCTCTTAGATGCCTTCGTTGGAAACGGGATTTCTTCATATAATGCTAGAGGGAAGAATTCTTAGTAACTTCTTTGTGTTGTGTGTATTCAACTGACAGAGTTGAACCTTCCTTTAGACAGAGCAGATTTGAAAGTCTCTTTTTGTGGAATTTGCAAGTGGAGATTTCAAGCGCTTTGAGGCCAAAAGCAGAAAAGGAAATATTTTCCTATAAAAACTCGACAGAATCTTTCTCAGAAACTGCTCTGGGATGTGTGCGTTCAACTCACAGAGTTTAACTTTTCTTTTCATTCAGCAGTTTGGAAACACTCTGTTTGGAAAGTCTGCACGTGGATATTTTGACCTCTTTGAGGCCTTCGTTGGAAACGGGTTTTTTTCATGTAAGGCTAGACAGAAGAAATCTCAGTAACTTCCTTGTGTTGTGTGTATTCAACTGACAGAGTTGAACCTTCCTTTAGACAGAGCAGATTCGAAACACTCTTTTTCTGCAATTTGCAAGTGGAGACTTCAAGCGCTTTGAGGCCAAAGGCAGAAAAGGAAATATCTTCGTATAAAAACCCGACAGAATCATTCTCAGAAACTGCTCTGTGATGTGTGCGTTCAACTCACAGAGTTTAACTTTTCTTTTCATTCAGCAGTTTGGAAACACTCTGTTTGTAAAGTCTGCAAGTGGATATCTTGGCCTCTTAGAGGCCTTCGTTGGAAACGGGTTTTTTCATGTAAGGATAGACAGAGGAATTCCCAGTAACTTCCTTGTGTTGTGTGCATTCAACTCACAGTAGTTGAATGATTCTTTACACAGAGCAGATTTGAGACACTCTTTTGGTGGAATTTGTTAGTGGAGAATTCAGCCGCTTTGAGGTCAATGGTAGAAAAGGAAATATCTTCGTATAAAAACTAGACAGAATGATTCTCAGAAACTGTTTTGTGATGTGTGCGTTCAACTCACAGAGTTTAACCTTTCTTTTCAAAGAGCAGTTAGGAAACACTCTGTTTGTAAAGTCTGCAAGTGGATATTCAGACCTCTTTGAGGCCTTCGTTGGAAACGGGATTTCTTCATATTATGCTAGACAGATGAATTCTCAGTAACTTCCTTGTGTTGTGTGTATTCAACTCACAGAGTTGAACGATCCTTTACACAGAGCAGATTTGAAACACTGTTTTTCTGGAATTTGCAAGTGGAGATTTCAGCCGCTTTGAGGTCAATGGTAGAAAAGGAAATATCTTCGTATAAAAACTAGACAGAATGATTCTCAGAAACTCCTTTGTGATGTGTGCGTTCAACTCACAGAGTTTAACCTTTCTTTTCACAGAGCAGTTAGGAAACACTCTGTTTGTGAAGCCTGCCAGTGGATATTCGGACCTCTTTGAGGCCTTCGTTGGAAACGGGATTTCTTCATATTATGCTAGACAGAAGATTTCTCAGTAACTTCTTTGTGTTGTGTGTATGCAACTCACAGAGTTCAACCTTCCTTTAGACAGAGCAGATTTGAAACACTCTTTTTGTGGAATTTGCAAGTGGAGATTTCAAGCGCTTCGATGCCAATGGTAGAAAAGGAAATATCTTCGTATAAAAACAAGACAAACTCGTTCCCAGACACTGCGTAGTGATGTGTGTGTTTAACTCACAGAGTTTCACCTTTCTTTTCATACAGCATTCTGGAAACCCTCTGTTTGTAAAGTCTGCAAGTGGATATTTGGACCTCTTAGATGCCTTCGTTGGAAACGGGATTTCTTCATATAATGCTAGAGGGAAGAATTCTTAGTAACTTCTTTGTGTTGTGTGTATTCAACTGACAGAGTTGAACCTTCCTTTAGACAGAGCAGATTTGAAAGTCTCTTTTTGTGGAATTTGCAAGTGGAGATTTCAAGCGCTTTGAGGCCGAAAGCAGAAAAGGAAATATTTTCCTATAAAAACTCGACAGAATCTTTCTCAGAAACTGCTCTGGGATGTGTGCGTTCAACTCACAGAGTTTAACTTTTCTTTTCATTCAGCAGTTTGGAAACACTCTGTTTGGAAAGTCTGCACGTGGATATTTTGACCTCTTTGAGGCCTTCGTTGGAAACGGGTTTTTTTCATGTAAGGCTAGACAGAAGAAATCTCAGTAACTTCCTTGTGTTGTGTGTATTCAACTGACAGAGTTGAACCTTCCTTTAGACAGAGCAGATTCGAAACGCTCTTTTTCTGCAATTTGCAAGTGGAGACTTCAAGCGCTTTGAGGCCAAAGGCAGAAAAGGAAATATCTTCGTATAAAAACCAGACAGAATCATTCTCAGAAACTGCTCTGTGATGTGTGCGTTCAACTCACAGAGTTTAACTTTTCTTTTCATTCAGCAGTTTGGAAACACTCTGTTTGTAAAGTCTGCAAGTGGATATCTTGGCCTCTTAGAGGCCTTCGTTGGAAACGGGTTTTTTCATGTAAGGATAGACAGAGGAATTCCCAGTAACTTCCTTGTGTTGTGTGCATTCAACTCACAGAGTTGAATGATTCTTTACACAGAGCAGATTTGAGACACTCTTTTGGTGGAATTTGTTAGTGGAGAATTCAGCCGCTTTGAGGTCAACGGTAGAAAAGGAAATATCTTCGTATAAAAACTAGACAGAATGATTCTCAGAAACTGTTTTGTGATGTGTGCGTTCAACTCACAGAGTTTAACCTTTCTTTTCAAAGAGCAGTTAGGAAACACTCTGTTTGTAAAGTCTGCAAGTGGATATTCAGACCTCTTTGAAGCCTTCGTTGGAAACGGGATTTCATCATATGCTAGACAGATGAATTCTCAGTAACTTCCTTGTGTTGTGTGTATTCAACTCACAGAGTTGAACGATCCTTTACACAGAGCAGATTTGAAACACTGTTTTTCTGGAATTTGCAAGTGGAGATTTCAGCCGCTTTGAGGTCAATGGTAGAAAAGGAAATATCTTCGTATAAAAACTAGACAGAATGATTCTCAGAAACTCCTTTGTGATGTGTGCGTTCAACTCACAGGGTTTAACCTTTCTTTTCACAGAGCAGTTAGGAAACACTCTGTTTGTGAAGCCTGCCAGTGGATATTCGGACCTCTTTGAGGCCTTCGTTGGAAACGGGATTTCTTCATATTATGCTAGACAGAAGATTTCTCAGTAACTTCTTTGTGTTGTGTGTATGCAACTCACAGAGTTCAACCTTCCTTTAGACAGAGCAGATTTGAAACACTCTTTTTGTGGAATTTGCAAGTGGAGATTTCAAGCGCTTCGATGCCAATGGTAGAAAAGGAAATATCTTCGTATAAAAACAAGACAAACTCGTTCCCAGACACTGCGTAGTGATGTGTGTGTTTAACTCACAGAGTTTCACCTTTCTTTTCATACAGCATTCTGGAAACCCTGTGTTTGTAAAGTCTGCAAGTGGATATTTGGACCTCTTAGATGCCTTCGTTGGAAACGGGATTTCTTCATATAATGCTAGAGGGAAGAATTCTTAGTAACTTCTTTGTGTTGTGTGTATTCAACTGACAGAGTTGAACCTTCCTTTAGACAGAGCAGATTTGAAAGTCTCTTTTTGTGGAATTTGCAAGTGGAGATTTCAAGCGCTTTGAGGCCAAAAGCAGAAAAGGAAATATTTTCCTATAAAAACTAGACAGAATCTTTCTCAGAAACTGCTCTGGGATGTGTGCGTTCAACTCACAGAGTTTAACTTTTCTTTTCATTCAGCAGTTTGGAAACACTCTGTTTGGAAAGTCTGCACGTGGATATTTTGACCTCTTTGAGGCCTTCGTTGGAAACGGGTTTTTTTCATGTAAGGCTAGACAGAAGAAATCTCAGTAACTTCCTTGTGTTGTGTGTATTCAACTGACAGAGTTGAACCTTCCTTTAGACAGAGCAGATTCGAAACACTCTTTTTCTGCAATTTGCAAGTGGAGACTTCAAGCGCTTTGAGGCCAAAGGCAGAAAAGGAAATATCTTCGTATAAAAACCCGACAGAATCATTCTCAGAAACTGCTCTGTGATGTGTGCGTTCAACTCACAGAGTTTAACTTTTCTTTTCATTCAGCAGTTTGGAAACACTCTGTTTGTAAAGTCTGCAAGTGGATATCTTGGCCTCTTAGAGGCCTTCGTTGGAAACGGGTTTTTTCATGTAAGGATAGACAGAGGAATTCCCAGTAACTTCCTTGTGTTGTGTGCATTCAACTCACAGAGTTGAATGATTCTTTACACAGAGCAGATTTGAGACACTCTTTTGGTGGAATTTGTAAGTGGAGAATTCAGCCGCTTTGAGGTCAACGGTAGAAAAGGAAATATCTTCGTATAAAAACTAGAAAGAATGATTCTCAGAAACTGTTTTGTTATGTGTGCGTTCAACTCACAGAGTTTAACCTTTCTTTTCAAAGAGCAGTTAGGAAACACTCTGTTTGTGAAGTCTGCCAGTGGATATTCGGACCTCTTTGAGGCCTTCCTTGGAAACGGGATTTCTTCATATTATGCTAGACAGATGAATTCTCAGTAACTTCCTTGTGTTGTGTGTATTCAACTCACAGAGTTGAACGATCCTTTACACAGAGCAGATTTGAAACACTGTTTTTCTGGAATTTGCAAGTGGAGATTTCAGCCGCTTTGAGGTCAACGGTAGAAAAGGAAATATCTTCGTATAAAAACTAGACAGAATGATTCTCAGAAACTCCTTTGTGATGTGTGCGTTCAACTCACAGAGTTTAACCTTTCTTTTCACAGAGCAGTTAGGAAACACTCTGTTTGTGAAGCCTGCCAGTGGATATTCGGACCTCTTTGAGGCCTTCGTTGGAAACGGGATTTCTTCATATTTTGCTAGACAGAAGATTTCTCAGTAACTTCTTTGTGTTGTGTGTATGCAACTCACAGAGTTCAACCTTCCTTTAGACAGAGCAGATTTGAAACACTCTTTTTGTGGAATTTGCAAGTGGAGATTTCAAGCGCTTCGATGCCAATGGTAGAAAAGGAAATATCTTCGTATAAAAACAAGACAAACTCGTTCCCAGACACTGCGTAGTGATGTGTGTGTTTAACTCACAGAGTTTCACCTTTCTTTTCATACAGCATTCTGGAAACCCTCTGTTTGTAAAGTCTGCAAGTGGATATTTGGACCTCTTAGATGCCTTCGTTGGAAACGGGATTTCTTCATATAATGCTAGAGGGAAGAATTCTTAGTAACTTCTTTGTGTTGTGTGTATTCAACTGACAGAGTTGAACCTTCCTTTAGACAGAGCAGATTTGAAAGTCTCTTTTTGTGGAATTTGCAAGTGGAGATTTCAAGCGCTTTGAGGCCAAAAGCAGAAAAGGAAATATTTTCCTATAAAAACTAGACAGAATCTTTCTCAGAAACTGCTCTGGGATGTGTGCGTTCAACTCACAGAGTTTAACTTTTCTTTTCATTCAGCAGTTTGGAAACACTCTGTTTGGAAAGTCTGCACGTGGATATTTTGACCTCTTTGAGGCCTTCGTTGGAAACGGGTTTTTTTCATGTAAGGCTAGACAGAAGAAATCTCAGTAACTTCCTTGTGTTGTGTGTATTCAACTGACAGAGTTGAACCTTCCTTTAGACAGAGCAGATTCGAAACACTCTTTTTCTGCAATTTGCAAGTGGAGACTTCAAGCGCTTTGAGGCCAAAGGCAGAAAAGGAAATATCTCGTATAAAAACCCGACAGAATCATTCTCAGAAACTGCTCTGTGATGTGTGCGTTCAACTCACAGAGTTTAACTTTTCTTTTCATTCAGCAGTTTGGAAACACTCTGTTTGTAAAGTCTGCAAGTGGATATCTTGGCCTCTTAGAGGCCTTCGTTGGAAACGGGTTTTTTCATGTAAGGTTAGACAGAGGAATTCCCAGTAACTTCCTTGTGTTGTGTGCATTCAACTCACAGAGTTGAATGATTCTTTACACAGAGCAGATTTGAGACACTCTTTTGGTGGAATTTGTAAGTGGAGAATTCAGCCGCTTTGAGGTCAACGGTAGAAAAGGAAATATCTTCGTATAAAAACTAGACAGAATGATTCTCAGAAACTGTTTTTTGATGTGTGCGTTCAACTCACAGAGTTTAACCTTTCTTTTCAGAGAGCAGTTAGGAAACACTCTGTTTGTAAAGTCTGCAAGTGGATATTCAGACCTCTTTGAGGCCTTCGTTGGAAACGGGATTTCTTCATATTATGCTAGACAGATGAATTCTCAGTAACTTCCTTGTGTTGTGTGTATTCAACTCACAGAGTTGAACGATCCTTTACACAGAGCAGATTTGAAACACTGTTTTTCTGGAATTTGCAAGTGGAGATTTCAGCCGCTTTGAGGTCAATGGTAGAAAAGGAAATATCTTCGTATAAAAACTAGACAGAATGATTCTCAGAAACTCCTTTGTGATGTGTGCGTTCAACTCACAGAGTTTAACCTTTCTTTTCACAGAGCAGTTAGGAAACACTCTGTTTGTGAAGCCTGCCAGTGGATATTCGGACCTCTTTGAGGCCTTCGTTGGAAACGGGATTTCTTCATATTATGCTAGACAGAAGATTTCTCAGTAACTTCTTTGTGTTGTGTGTATGCAACTCACAGAGTTCAACCTTCCTTTAGACAGAGCAGATTTGAAACACTCTTTTTGTGGAATTTGCAAGTGGAGATTTCAAGCGCTTCGATGCCAATGGTAGAAAAGGAAATATCTTCGTATAAAAACAAGACAAACTCGTTCCCAGACACTGCGTAGTGATGTGTGTGTTTAACTCACAGAGTTTAACCTTTCTTTTCATACAGCATTCTGGAAACCCTGTGTTTGTAAAGTCTGCAAGTGGATATTTGGACCTCTTAGATGCCTTCGTTGGAAACGGGATTTCTTCATATAATGCTAGAGGGAAGAATTCTTAGTAACTTCTTTGTGTTGTGTGTATTCAACTGACAGAGTTGAACCTTCCTTTAGACAGAGCAGATTTGAAAGTCTCTTTTTGTGGAATTTGCAAGTGGAGATTTCAAGCGCTTTGAGGCCAAAAGCAGAAAAGGAAATATTTTCCTATAAAACCTCGACAGAATCTTTCTCAGAAACTGCTCTGGGATGTGTGCGTTCAACTCACAGAGTTTAACTTTTCTTTTCATTCAGCAGTTTGGAAACACTCTGTTTGGAAAGTCTGCACGTGGATATTTTGACCTCTTTGAGGCCTTCGTTGGAAACGGGTTTTTTTCATGTAAGGCTAGACAGAAGAAATCTCAGTAACTTCCTTGTGTTGTGTGTATTCAACTGACAGAGTTGAACCTTCCTTTAGACAGAGCAGATTCGAAACACTCTTTTTCTGCAATTTGCAAGTGGAGACTTCAAGTGCTTTGAGGCCAAAGGCAGAAAAGGAAATATCTTCGTATAAAAACCCGACAGAATCATTCTCAGAAACTGCTCTGTGATGTGTGCGTTCAACTCACAGAGTTTAACTTTTCTTTTCATTCAGCAGTTTGGAAACACTCTGTTTGTAAAGTCTGCAAGTGGATATCTTGGCCTCTTAGAGGCCTTCGTTGGAAGCGGGTTTTTTCATGTAAGGATAGACAGAGGAATTCCCAGTAACTTCCTTGTGTTGTGTGCATTCAACTCACAGAGTTGAATGATTCTTTACACAGAGCAGATTTGAGACACTCTTTTGGTGGAATTTGTAAGTGGAGAATTCAGCCGCTTTGAGGTCAACGGTAGAAAAGGAAATATCTTCGTATAAAAACTAGACAGAATGATTCTCAGAAACTGTTTTGTGATGTGTGCGTTCAACTCACAGAGTTTAACCTTTCTTTTCAAAGAGCAGTTAGGAAACACTCTGTTTGTAAAGTCTGCAAGTGGATATTCAGACCTCTTTGAGGCCTTCGTTGGAAACGGGATTTCTTCATATTATGCTAGACAGATGAATTCTCAGTAACTTCCTTGTGTTGTGTGTATTCAACTCACAGAGTTGAACGATCCTTTACACAGAGCAGATTTGAAACACTGTTTTTCTGGAATTTGCAAGTGGAGATTTCAGCCGCTTTGAGGTCAATGGTAGAAAAGGAAATATCTTCGTATAAAAACTAGACAGAATGATTCTCAGAAACTCCTTTGTGATGTGTGCGTTCAACTCACAGAGTTTAACCTTTCTTTTCACAGAGCAGTTAGGAAACACTCTGTTTGTGAAGCCTGCCAGTGGATATTCGGACCTCTTTGAGGCCTTCGTTGGAAACGGGATTTCTTCATATTATGCTAGACAGAAGATTTCTCAGTAACTTCTTTGTGTTGTGTGTATGCAACTCACAGAGTTCAACCTTCCTTTAGACAGAGCAGATTTGAAACACTCTTTTTGTGGAATTTGCAAGTGGAGATTTCAAGCGCTTCGATGCCAATGGTAGAAAAGGAAATATCTTCGTATAAAAACAAGACAAACTCGTTCCCAGACACTGCGTAGTGATGTGTGTGTTTAACTCACAGAGTTTAACCTTTCTTTTCATACAGCATTCTGGAAACCCTCTGTTTGTAAAGTCTGCAAGTCGATATTTGGACCTCTTAGCATGCCTTCGTTGGAAACGGGATTTCTTCATATAATGCTAGAGGGAAGAATTCTTAGTAACTTCTTTGTGTTGTGTGTATTCAACTGACAGAGTTGAACCTTCCTTTAGACAGAGCAGATTTGAAAGTCTCTTTTTGTGGAATTTGCAAGTGGAGATTTCAAGCGCTTTGAGGCCAAAAGCAGAAAAGGAAATATTTTCCTATAAAAACTCGACAGAATCTTTCTCAGAAACTGCTCTGGGATGTGTGCGTTCAACTCACAGAGTTTAACTTTTCTTTTCATTCAGCAGTTTGGAAACACTCTGTTTGGAAAGTCTGCACGTGGATATTTTGACCTCTTTGAGGCCTTCGTTGGAAACGGGTTTTTTTCATGTAAGGCTAGACAGAAGAAATCTCAGTAAATTCCCTTGTGTTGTGTGTATTCAACTGACAGAGTTGAACCTTCCTTTAGACAGAGCAGATTCGAAACACTCTTTTTCTGCAATTTGCAAGTGGAGACTTCAAGCGCTTTGAGGCCAAAGGCAGAAAAGGAAATATCTTCGTATAAAAACCCGACAGAATCATTCTCAGAAACTGCTCTGTGATGTGTGCGTTCAACTCACAGAGTTTAACTTTTCTTTTCATTCAGCAGTTTGGAAACACTCTGTTTGTAAAGTCTGCAAGTGGATATCTTGGCCTCTTAGAGGCCTTCGTTGGAAACGGGTTTTTTCATGTAAGGTTAGACAGAGGAATTCCCAGTAACTTCCTTGTGTTGTGTGCATTCAACTCACAGAGTTGAATGATTCTTTACACAGAGCAGATTTGAGACACTCTTTTGGTGGAATTTGTAAGTGGAGAATTCAGCCGCTTTGAGGTCAACGGTAGAAAAGGAAATATCTTCGTATAAAAACTAGACAGAATGATTCTCAGAAACTGTTTTGTGATGTGTGCGTTCAACTCACAGAGTTTAACCTTTCTTTTCAAAGAGCAGTTAGGAAACACTCTGTTTGTAAAGTCTGCAAGTGGATATTCAGACCTCTTTGAGGCCTTCGTTGGAAACGGGATTTCTTCATATTATGCTAGACAGATGAATTCTCAGTAACTTCCTTGTGTTGTGTGTATTCAACTCACAGAGTTGAACGATCCTTTACACAGAGCAGATTTGAAACACTGTTTTTCTGGAATTTGCAAGTGGAGATTTCAGCCGCTTTGAGGTCAATGGTAGAAAAGGAAATATCTTCGTATAAAAACTAGACAGAATGATTCTCAGAAACTCCTTTGTGACGTGTGCGTTCAACTCACAGAGTTTAACCTTTCTTTTCACAGAGCAGTTAGGAAACACTCTGTTTGTGAAGCCTGCCAGTGGATATTCGGACCTCTTTGAGGCCTTCGTTGGAAACGGGATTTCTTCATATTATGCTAGACAGAAGATTTCTCAGTAACTTCTTTGTGTTGTGTGTATGCAACTCACAGAGTTCAACCTTCCTTTAGAAAGAGCAGATTTGAAACACTCTTTTTGTGGAATTTGCAAGTGGAGATTTCAAGCGCTTCGATGCCAATGGTAGAAAAGGAAATATCTTCGTATAAAAACAAGACAAACTCGTTCCCAGACACTGCGTAGTGATGTGTGTGTTTAACTCACAGAGTTTAACCTTTCTTTTCATACAGCATTCTGGAAACCCTGTGTTTGTAAAGTCTGCAAGTGGATATTTGGACCTCTTAGATGCCTTCGTTGGAAACGGGATTTCTTCATATAATGCTAGAGGGAAGAATTCTTAGTAACTTCTTTGTGTTGTGTGTATTCAACTGACAGAGTTGAACCTTCCTTTAGACAGAGCAGATTTGAAAGTCTCTTTTTGTGGAATTTGCAAGTGGAGATTTCAAGCGCTTTGAGGCCAAAAGCAGAAAAGGAAATATTTTCCTATAAAAACTCGACAGAATCATTCTCAGAAACTGCTCTGTGATGTGTGTGTTCAACTCAGAGAGTTTAACTTTCTTTTCATTCAGCAGTTTGGAAACACTCTGTTTGGAAAGTCTGCACGTGGATATTTTGACCTCTTTGAGGCCTTCGTTGGAAACGAGTTTTTTTCATGTAAGGCTAGACAGAAGAAATCTCAGTAACTTCCTTGTGTTGTGTGTATTCAACTGACAGAGTTGAACCTTCCTTTAGACAGAGCAGATTCGAAACACTCTTTTTCTGCAATTTGCAAGTGGAGACTTCAAGCGCTTTGAGGCCAAAGGCAGAAAAGGAAATATCTTCGTATAAAAACCCGACAGAATCACTCTCAGAAACTGCTCTGTGATGTGTGCGTTCAACTCACAGAGTTTAACTTTTCTTTTCATTCAGCAGTTTGGAAACACTCTGTTTGTAAAGTCTGCAAGTGGATATCTTGGCCTCTTAGAGGCCTTCGTTGGAAACGGGTTTTTTCATGTAAGGATAGACAGAGGAATTCCCAGTAACTTCCTTGTGTTGTATGCATTCAACTCACAGAGTTGAATGATTCTTTACACAGAGCAGATTTGAGACACTCTTTTGGTGGAATTTGTAAGTGGAGAATTCAGCCGCTTTGAGGTCAACGGTAGAAAAGGAAATATCTTCGTATAAAAACTAGAAAGAATGATTCTCAGAAACTGTTTTGTGATGTGTGCGTTCAACTCACAGAGTTTAACCTTTCTTTTCAAAGAGCAGTTAGGAAACACTCTGTTTGTAAAGTCTGCAAGTGGATATTCAGACCTCTTTGAGGCCTTCGTTGGAAACGGGATTTCTTCATATTATGCTAGACAGATGAATTCTCAGTAACTTCCTTGTGTTGTGTGTATTCAACTCACAGAGTTGAACGATCCTTTACACAGAGCAGATTTGAAACACTGTTTTTCTGGAATTTGCAAGTGGAGATTTCAGCCGCTTTGAGGTCAATGGTAGAAAAGGAAATATCTTCGTATAAAAACTAGACAGAATGATTCTCAGAAACTCCTTTGTGATGTGTGCGTTCAACTCACAGAGTTTAACCTTTCTTTTCACAGAGCAGTTAGGAAACACTCTGTTTGTGAAGCCTGCCAGTGGATATTCGGACCTCTTTGAGGCCTTCGTTGGAAACGGGATTTCTTCATATTATGCTAGACAAAAGATTTCTCAGTAACTTCTTTGTGTTGTGTATATGCAACTCACAGAGTTCAACCTTCCTTTAGACAGAGCAGATTTGAAACACTCTTTTTGTGGAATTTGCAAGTGGAGATTTCAAGCGCTTCGATGCCAATGGTAGAAAAGGAAATATCTTCGTATAAAAACAAGACAAACTCGTTCCCAGACACTGCGTAGTGATGTGTGTGTTTAACTCACAGAGTTTCACCTTTCTTTTCATACAGCATTCTGGAAACCCTGTGTTTGTAAAGTCTGCAAGTGGATATTTGGACCTCTTAGATGCCTTCGTTGGAAACGGGATTTCTTCATATAATGCTAGAGGGAAGAATTCTTAGTAACTTCTTTGTGTTGTGTGTATTCAACTGACAGATTTGAACCTTCCTTTAGACAGAGCAGATTTGAAAGTCTCTTTTTGTGGAATTTGCAAGTGGAGATTTCAAGCGCTTTGAGGCCAAAAGCAGAAAAGGAAATATTTTCCTATAAAAACTAGAGAGAATCTTTCTCAGAAACTGCTCTGGGATGTGTGCGTTCAACTCACAGAGTTTATCTTTTCTTTTCATTCAGCAGTTTGGAAACACTCTGTTTGGAAAGTCTGCACGTGGATATTTTGACCTCTTTGAGGCCTTCGTTGGAAACGGGTTTTTTTCATGTAAGGCTAGACAGAAGAAATCTCAGTAAATTCCCTTGTGTTGTGTGTATTCAACTGACAGAGTTGAACCTTCCTTTAGACAGAGCAGATTCGAAACACTCTTTTTCTGCAATTTGCAAGTGGAGACTTCAAGCGCTTTGAGGCCAAAGGCAGAAAAGGAAATATCTTCGTATAAAAACCCGACAGAATCATTCTCAGAAACTGCTCTGTGATGTGTGCATTCAACTCACAGAGTTTAACTTTTCTTTTCATTCAGCAGTTTGGAAACACTCTGTTTGTAAAGTCTGCAAGTGGATATCTTGGCCTCTTAGAGGCCTTCGTTGGAAACGGGTTTTGTCATGTAAGGTTAGACAGAGGAATTCCCAGTAACTTCCTTGTGTTGTGTGCATTCAACTCACAGAGTTGAATGATTCTTTACACAGAGCAGTTTTGAGACACTCTTTTGGTGGAATTTGTAAGTGGAGAATTCAGCCGCTTTGAGGTCAACGGTAGAAAAGGAAATATCTTCGTATAAAAACTAGACAGAATGATTCTCAGAAACTGTTTTGTGATGTGTGCGTTCAACTCACAGAGTTTAACCTTTCTTTTCAAAGAGCAGTTAGGAAACACTCTGTTTGTAAAGTCTGCAAGTGGATATTCAGACCTCTTTGAAGCCTTCGTTGGAAACGGGATTTCATCATATTATGCTAGACAGATGAATTCTCAGTAACTTCCTTGTGTTGTGTGTATTCAACTCACAGAGTTGAACGATCCTTTACACAGAGCAGATTTGAAACACTGTTTTTCTGGAATTTGCAAGTGGAGATTTCAGCCGCTTTGAGGTCAATGGTAGAAAAGGAAATATCTTCGTATAAAAACTAGACAGAATGATTCTCAGAAACTCCTTTGTGATGTGTGCGTTCAACTCACAGAGTTTAACCTTTCTTTTCACAGAGCAGTTAGGAAACACTCTGTTTGTGAAGCCTGCCAGTGGATATTCGGACCTCTTTGAGGCCTTCGTTGGAAACGGGATTTCTTCATATTATGCTAGACAGAAGATTTCTCAGTAACTTCTTTGTGTTGTGTGTATGCAACTCACAGAGTTCAACCTTCCTTTAGAGAGAGCATATTTGAAACACTCTTTTTGTGGAATTTGCAAGTGGAGATTTCAAGCGCTTCGATGCCAATGGTAGAAAAGGAAATATCTTCGTATAAAAACAAGACAAACTCGTTCCCAGAAACTGCGTAGTGATGTGTGTGTTTAACTCACAGAGTTTCACCTTTCTTTTCATACAGCATTCTGGAAACCCTGTGTTTGTAAAGTCTGCAAGTGGATATTTGGACCTCTTAGATGCCTTCGTTGGAAACGGGATTTCTTCATATAATGCTAGAGGGAAGAATTCTTAGTAACTTCTTTGTGTTGTGTGTATTCAACTGACAGAGTTGAACCTTCCTTTAGACAGAGCAGATTTGAAAGTCTCTTTTTGTGGAATTTGCAAGTGGAGATTTCAAGCGCTTTGAGGCCAAAAGCAGAAAAGGAAATATTTTCCTATAAAAACTCGACAGAATCTTTCTCAGAAACTGCTCTGGGATGTGTGCGTTCAACTCACAGAGTTTAACTTTTCTTTCCATTCAGCAGTTTGGAAACACTCTGTTTGGAAAGTCTGCACGTGGATATTTTGACCTCTTTGAGGCCTTCGTTAGAAACGGGTTTTTTTCATGTAAGGCTAGACAGAAGAAATCTCAGTAACTTCCTTGTGTTGTGTGTATTCAACTGACAGAGTTGAACCTTCCTTTAGACAGAGCAGATTCGAAACACTCTTTTTCTGCAATTTGCAAGTGGAGACTTCAAGCGCTTTGAGGCCAAAGGCAGAAAAGGAAATATCTTCGTATAAAAACCCGACAGAATCATTCTCAGAAACTGCTCTGTGATGTGTGCGTTCAACTCACAGAGTTTAACTTTTCTTTTCATTCAGCAGTTTGGAAACACTCTGTTTGTAAAGTCTGCAAGTGGATATCTTGGCCTCTTAGAGGCCTTCGTTGGAAACGGGTTTTTTCATGTAAGGTTAGACAGAGGAATTCCCAGTAACTTCCTTGTGTTGTGTGCATTCAACTCACAGAGTTGAATGATTCTTTACACAGAGCAGATTTGAGACACTCTTTTGGTGGAATTTGTAAGTGGAGAATTCAGCCGCTTTGAGGTCAACGGTAGAAAAGGAAATATCTTCGTATAAAAACTAGACAGAATGATTCTCAGAAACTGTTTTGTGATGTGTGCGTTCAACTCACAGAGTTTAACCTTTCTTTTCAAAGAGCAGTTAGGAAACACTCTGTTTGTAAAGTCTGCAAGTGGATATTCAGACCTCTTTGAGGCCTTCGTTGGAAACGGGATTTCTTCATATTATGCTAGACAGATGAATTCTCAGTAACTTCCTTGTGTTGTGTGTATTCAACTCACAGAGTTGAACGATCCTTTACACAGAGCAGATTTGAAACACTGTTTTTCTGGAATTTGCAAGTGGAGATTTCAGCCGCTTTGAGGTCAATGGTAGAAAAGGAAATATCTTCGTATAAAAACTAGACAGAATGATTCTCAGAAACTCCTTTGTGATGTGTGCGTTCAACTCACAGAGTTTAACCTTTCTTTTCACAGAGCAGTTAGGAAACACTCTGTTTGTGAAGCCTGCCAGTGGATAATCGGACCTCTTTGAGGCCTTCGTTGGAAACGGGATTTCTTCATATTATGCTAGACAGAAGATTTCTCAGTAACTTCTTTGTGTTGTGTGTATGCAACTCACAGAGTTCAACCTTCCTTTAGACAGAGCAGATTTGAAACACTCTTTTTGTGGAATTTGCAAGTGGAGATTTCAAGCGCTTCGATGCCAATGGTAGAAAAGGAAATATCTTCGTATAAAAACAAGACAAACTCGTTCCCAGACACTGCGTAGTGATGTGTGTGTTTAACTCACAGAGTTTAACCTTTCTTTTCATACAGCATTCTGGAAACCCTGTGTTTGTAAAGTCTGCAAGTGGATATTTGGACCTCTTAGATGCCTTCGGTTGGAAACGGGATTTCTTCATATAATGCTAGAGGGAAGAATTCTTAGTAACTTCTTTGTGTTGTGTGTATTCAACTGACAGAGTTGAACCTTCCTTTAGACAGAGCAGATTTGAAAGTCTCTTTTTGTGGAATTTGCAAGTGGAGATTTCAAGCGCTTTGAGGCCAAAAGCAGAAAAGGAAATATTTTCCTATAAAAACTAGACAGAATCTTTCTCAGAAACTGCTCTGGGATGTGTGCGTTCAACTCACAGAGTTTAACTTTTCTTTTCATTCAGCAGTTTGGAAACACTCTGTTTGGAAAGTCTGCACGTGGATATTTTGACCTCTTTGAGGCCTTCGTTGGAAACGGGTTTTTTTAATGTAACGCTAGACAGAAGAAATCTCAGTAACTTCCTTGTGTTGTGTGTATTCAACTGACAGAGTTGAACCTTCCTTTAGACAGAGCAGATTCGAAACACTCTTTTTCTGCAATTTGCAAGTGGAGACTTCAAGCGCTTTGAGGCCAAAGGCAGAAAAGGAAATATCTTCGTATAAAAACCCGACAGAAATCATTCTCAGAAACTGCTCTGTGATGTGTGCGTTCAACTCACAGAAATTTAACTTTTCTTTTCATTCAGCAGTTTGGAAACACTCTGTTTGTAAAGTCTGCAAGTGGATATCTTGGCCTCTTAGAGGCCTTCGTTGGAAACGGGTTTTTTCATGTAAGGTTAGACAGAGGAATTCCCAGTAACTTCCTTGTGTTGTGTGCATTCAACTCACAGAGTTGAATGATTCTATACACAGAACAGATTTGAGACACTCTTTTGGTGGAATTTGTAAGTGGAGAATTCAGCTGCTTTGAGGTCAACGGTAGAAAAGGAAATATCTTCGTATAAAAACTAGACAGAATGATTCTCAGAAACTGTTTTGTGATGTGTGCGTTCAACTCACAGAGTTTAACCTTTCTTTTCAAAGAGCAGTTAGGAAACACTCTGTTTGTAAAGTCTGCAAGTGGATATTCAGACCTCTTTGAGGCCTTCGTTGGAAACGGGATTTCTTCATATTATGCTAGACAGATGAATTCTCAGTAACTTCCTTGTGTTGTGTGTATTCAACTCACAGAGTTGAACGATCCTTTACACAGAGCAGATTTGAAACACTGTTTTTCTGGAATTTGCAAGTGGAGATTTCAGCTGCTTTGAGGTCAATGGTAGAAAAGGAAATATCTTCGTATAAAAACTAGACAGAATGATTCTCAGAAACTCCTTTGTGATGTGTGCGTTCAACTCACAGAGTTTAACCTTTCTTTTCACAGAGCAGTTAGGAAACACTCTGTTTGTGAAGCCTGCCAGTGGATATTCGGACCTCTTTGAGGCCTTCGTTGGAAACGGGATTTCTTCATATTATGCTAGACAGAAGATTTCTCAGTAACTTCTTTGTGTTGTGTGTATGCAACTCACAGAGTTCAACCTTCCTTTAGACAGAGCAGATTTGAAACACTCTTTTTGTGGAATTTGCAAGTGGAAATTTCAAGCGCATCGATGCCAATGGTAGAAAAGGAAATATCTTCGTATAAAAACAAGACAAACTCGTTCCCAGACACTGCGTAGTGATGTGTGTGTTTAACTCACAGAGTTTAACCTTTCTTTTCATACAGCATTCTGGAAACCCTCTGTTTGTAAAGTCTGCAAGTGGATATTTGGACCTCTTAGATGCCTTCGTTGGGAACGGGATTTCTTCATATAATGCTAGAGGGAAGAATTCTTAGTAACTTCTTTGTGTTGTGTGTATTCAACTGACAGAGTTGAACCTTCCTTTAGACAGAGCAGATTTGAAAGTCTCTTTTTGTGGAATTTGCAAGTGGAGATTTCAAGCGCTTTGAGGCCAAAAGCAGAAAAGGAAATATTTTCCTATAAAAACTCGACAGAATCTTTCTCAGAAACTGCTCTGGGATGTGTGCGTTCAACTCACAGAGTTTAACTTTTCTTTTCATTCAGCAGTTTGGAAACACTCTGTTTGGAAAGTCTGCACGTGGATATTTTGACCTCTTTGAGGCCTTCGTTGGAAACGGGTTTTTTTCATGTAAGGCTAGACAGAAGAAATCTCAGTAACTTCCTTGTGTTGTGTGTATTCAACTGACAGAGTTGAACCTTCCTTTAGACAGAGCAGATTCGAAACACTCTTTTTCTGCAATTTGCAAGTGGAGACTTCAAGCGCTTTGAGGTCAAAGGCAGAAAAGAAAATATCTTCGTATAAAAACCCGACAGAATCATTCTCAGAAACTGCTCTGTGATGTGTGCGTTCAACTCACAGAGTTTAACTTTTCTTTTCATTCAGCAGTTTGGAAACACTCTGTTTGTAAAGTCTGCAAGTGGATATCTTGGCCTCTTAGAGGCCTTCGTTGGAAACGGGTTTTTTCATGTAAGGTTAGACAGAGGAATTCCCAGTAACTTCCTTGTGTTGTGTGCATTCAACTCACAGAGTTGAATGATTCTTTACACAGAGCAGATTTGAGACACTCTTTTGGTGGAATTTGAAAGTGGAGAATTCAGCCGCTTTGAGGTCAACGGTAGAAAAGGAAATATCTTCGTATAAAAACTAGACAGAATGATTCTCAGAAACTGTTTTGTGATGTGTGCGTTCAACTCACAGAGTTTAACCTTTCTTTTCAAAGAGCAGTTAGGAAACACTCTGTTTGTAAAGTCTGCAAGTGGATATTCAGACCTCTTTGAGGCCTTCGTTGGAAACGGGATTTCTTCATATTATGCTAGACAGATGAATTCTCAGTAACTTCCTTGTGTTGTGTGTATTCAACTCACAGAGTTGAACGATCCTTTACACAGAGCAGATTTGAAACACTGTTTTTCTGGAATTTGCAAGTGGAGATTTCAGCCGCTTTGAGGTCAATGGTAGAAAAGGAAATATCTTCGTATAAAAACTAGACAGAATGATTCTCAGAAACTCCTTTGTGATGTGTGCGTTCAACTCACAGAGTTTAACCTTTCTTTTCACAGAGCAGTTAGGAAACACTCTGTTTGTGAAGCCTGCCAGTGGATATTCGGACCTCTTTGAGGCCTTCGTTGGAAACGGGATTTCTTCATATTATGCTAGACAGAAGATTTCTCAGTAACTTCTTTGTGTTGTGTGTATGCAACTCACAGAGTTCAACCTTCCTTTAGACAGAGCAGATTTGAAACACTCTTTTTGTGGAATTTGCAAGTGGAGATTTCAAGCGCTTCGATGCCAATGGTAGAAAAGGAAATATCTTCGTATAAAAACAAGACAAACTCGTTCCCAGACACTGCGTAGTGATGTGTGTGTTTAACTCACAGAGTTTCACCTTTCTTTTCATACAGCATTCTGGAAACCCTCTGTTTGTAAAGTCTGCAAGTGGATATTTGGACCTCTTAGATGCCTTCGTTGGAAACGGGATTTCTTCATATAATGCTAGAGGGAAGAATTCTTAGTAACTTCTTTGTGTTGTGTGTATTCAACTGACAGAGTTGAACCTTCCTTTAGACAGAGCAGATTTGAAAGTCTCTTTTTGTGGAATTTGCAAGTGGAGATTTCAAGCGCTTTGAGGCCAAAAGCAGAAAAGGAAATATTTTCCTATAAAAACTAGACAGAATCTTTCTCAGAAACTGCTCTGGGATGTGTGCGTTCAACTCACAGAGTTTAACTTTTCTTTTCATTCAGCAGTTTGGAAACACTCTGTTTGGAAAGTCTGCACGTGGATATTTTGACCTCTTTGAGGCCTTCGTTGGAAACGGGTTTTTTTCATGTAAGGCTAGACAGAAGAAATCTCAGTAACTTCCTTGTGTTGTGTGTATTCAACTGACAGAGTTGAACCTTCCTTTAGACAGAGCAGATTCGAAACACTCTTTTTCTGCAATTTGCAAGTGGAGACTTCAAGCGCTTTGAGGCCAAAGGCAGAAAAGGAAATATCTTCGTATAAAAACCCGACAGAATCATTCTCAGAAACTGCTCTGTGATGTGTGCGTTCAACTCACAGAGTTTAACTTTTCTTTTCATTCAGCAGTTTGGAAACACTCTGTTTGTAAAGTCTGCAAGTGGATATCTTGGCCTCTTAGAGGCCTTCGTTGGAAACGGGTTTTTTCATGTAAGGATAGACAGAGGAATTCCCAGTAACTTCCTTGTGTTGTGTGCATTCAACTCACAGAGTTGAATGATTCTTTACACAGAGCAGATTTGAGACACTCTTTTGGTGGAATTTGTAAGTGGAGAATTCAGCTGCTTTGAGGTCAACGGTAGAAAAGGAAATATCTTCGTATAAAAACTAGACAGAATGATTCTCAGAAACTGTTTTGTGATGTGTGCGTTCAACTCACAGAGTTTAACCTTTCTTTTCAAAGAGCATTTAGGAAACACTCTGTTTGTAAAGTCTGCAAGTGGATATTCAGACCTCTTTGAGGCCTTCGTTGGAAACGGGGTTTCTTCATATTATGCTAGACAGATGAATTCTCAGTAACTTCCTTGTGTTGTGTGTATTCAACTCACAGAGTTGAACGATCCTTTACACAGAGCAGATTTGAAACACTGTTTTTCTGGAATTTGCAAGTGGAGATTTCAGCCGCTTTGAGGTCAATGGTAGAAAAGGAAATATCTTCGTATAAAAACTAGACAGAATGATTCTCAGAAACTCCTTTGTGATGTGTGCGTTCAACTCACAGAGTTTAACCTTTCTTTTCACAGAGCAGTTAGGAAACACTCTGTTTGTGAAGCCTGCCAGTGGATATTCGGACCTCTTTGAGGCCTTCGTTGGAAACGGGATTTCTTCATATTATGCTAGACAAAAGATTTCTCAGTAACTTCTTTGTGTTGTGTATATGCAACTCACAGAGTTCAACCTTCCTTTAGACAGAGCAGATTTGAAACACTCTTTTTGTGGAATTTGCAAGTGGAGATTTCAAGCGCTTCGATGCCAATGGTAGAAAAGGAAATATCTTCGTATAAAAACAAGACAAACTCGTTCCCAGACACTGCGTAGTGATGTGTGTGTTTAACTCACAGAGTTTCACCTTTCTTTTCATACAGCATTCTGGAAACCCTGTGTTTGTAAAGTCTGCAAGTGGATATTTGGACCTCTTAGATGCCTTCGTTGGAAACGGGATTTCTTCATATAATGCTAGAGGGAAGAATTCTTAGTAACTTCTTTGTGTTGTGTGTATTCAACTGACAGAGTTGAACCTTCCTTTAGACAGAGCAGATTTGAAAGTCTCTTTTTGTGGAATTTGCAAGTGGAGATTTCAAGCGCTTTGAGGCCAAAAGCAGAAAAGGAAGTATTTTCCTATAAAAACTCGACAGAATCATTCTCAGAAACTGCTCTGTGATGTGTGCGTTCAACTCACAGAGTTTAACTTTTCTTTTCATTCAGCAGTTTGGAAACACTCTGTTTGGAAAGTCTACACGTGGATATTTTGACCTCTTTGAGGCCTTCGTTGGAAACACGTTTTTATCATGTAAGGCTAGACAGAAGAAATCTCAGTAACTTCCTTGAGTTGTGTGTATTCAACTGACAGAGTTGAACCTTCCTTTAGACAGAGCAGATTCGAAACACTCTTTTTCTGCAATTTGCAAGTGGAGACTTCAAGCGCTTTGAGGCCAAAGGCAGAAAAGGAAATATCTTCGTATAAAAACCCGACAGAATCATTCTCAGAAACTACTCTGTGATGTGTGCGTTCAACTCACAGAGTTTAACTTTTCTTTTCATTCAGCAGTTTGGAAACACTCTGTTTGTAAAGTCTGCAAGTGGATATCTTGGCCTCTTAGAGGCCTTCGTTGGAAACGGGTTTTATCATGTAAGGTTAGACAGAGGAATTCCCAGTAACTTCCTTGTGTTGTGTGCATTCAACTCACAGAGTTGAATGATTCTTTACACAGAGCAGATTTGAGACACTCTTTTGGTGGAATTTGTAAGTGGAGAATTCAGATGCTTTGAGGTCAACGGTAGAAAAGGAAATATCTTCGTATAAAAACTAGACAGAATGATTCTCAGAAACTGTTTTGTGATGTGTGCATTCAACTCACAGAGTTTAACCTTTCTTTTCAAAGAGCAGTTAGGAAACACTCTGTTTGTAAAGTCTGCAAGTGGATATTCAGACCTCTTTGAGGCCTTTGTTGGAAACGGGATTTCTTCATATTATGCTAGACAGAAGAATTCTCAGTAACTTCCTTGTGTTGTGTACTTTCAACTCACAGAGTTGAACGATCCTTTACACAGAGCAGATTAGAAACACTCTTTTTGTGGAATTTGCAGGTGGAGATTTCAGCCGCTTTGAGGTCAATGGTAGAAAAGGAAATATGGTCGTATAAAAACTAGACAGAATGATTCTCAGAAACTCCTTTGTGATGTGTGCGTTCAACTCACAGAGTTTAACCTTTCTTTTCACAGAGCAGTTAGGAAACACTCTGTTTGTGAAGCCTGCCAGTGGATATTCGGACCTCTTTGAGGCCTTCGTTGGAAACGGGATTTCTTCATATTATGCTAGACAGAGGAATTCCCAGTAACTTCCTTGTGTTGTGTGCATTCAACTCACAGAGTTGAATGATTCTTTACATAGAGCAGATTTGAGACACTCTTTTGGTGGAATTTGTAAGTGGAGAATTCAGCCGCTTTGAGGTCAATGGTAGAAAAGGAAATATCTTCGTATAAAAACTAGACAGAGAATGATTCTCAGAAACTGTTTTGTGATGTGTGCGTTCAACTCACAGAGTTTAACCTTTCTTTTCAAAGAGCAGTTAGGAAACACTCTGTAAAGTCTGCAAGTGGATATTCAGACCTCTTTGAGGCCTTCGTTGGAAACGGGATTTCTTCATATAATGCTAGAGGGAAGAATTCTTAGTAACTTCTTTGTGTTGTGTGTTTTGAACTGACAGAGTTGAACCTTCCTTTAGACAGAGCAGATTTGAAAGTCTCTTTTTGTGGAATTTGCAAGTGGAGATTTCAAGCACTTTGAGGCCAAAAGCAGAAAAGGAAATATTTTCCTATAAAAACTAGAGAGAATCATTCTCAGAAACTGCTCTGTGATGTGTGTGTTCAACTCACAGAGTTTAACTTTCTTTTCATTCAGCAGTTTGGAAACACTCTGTTTGGAAAGTCTGCACGTGGATATTTTGACCTCTTTGAGGCCTTCGTTGGAAACGGGTTTTTTTCATGTAAGGCTAGACAGAAGAAATCTCAGTAACTTCCTTGTGTTGTGTGTATTCAACTGACAGAGTTGAACCTTCCTTTAGACAGAGCAGATTCGAAACGCTCTTTTTCTGCAATTTGCAAGTGGAGACTTCAAGCGCTTTGAGGCCAAAGGCAGAAAAGGAAATATCTTCGTATAAAAACCCGACAGAATCATTCTCAGAAACTGCTCTGTGATGTGTGCGTTCAACTCACAGAGTTTAACTTTTCTTTTCATTCAGCAGTTTGGAAACACTCTGTTTGTAAAGTCTGCAAGTGGATATCTTGGCCTCTTAGAGGCCTTCGTTGGAAACGCGTTTTTTCATGTAAGGTTAGACAGAGGAATTCCCAGTAACTTCCTTGTGTTGTGTGCATTCAACTCACAGAGTTGAATGATTCTTTACACAGAGCAGATTTGAGACACTCTTTTGGTGGAATTTGTAAGTGGAGAATTCAGCCGCTTTGAGGTCAACGGTAGAAAAGGAAATATCTTCGTATAAAAACTAGAAAGAATGATTCTCAGAAACTGTTTTGTGATGTGTGCGTTCAACTCACAGAGTTTAACCTTTCTTTTCAAAGAGCAGTTAGGAAACACTCTGTTTGTAAAGTCTGCAAGTGGATATTCAGACCTCTTTGAGGCCTTCGTTGGAAACGGGATTTCTTCATATTATGCTAGACAGATGAATTCTCAGTAACTTCCTTGTGTTGTGTGTATTCAACTCACAAGAGTTGAACGATCCTTTACACAGAGCAGATTTGAAACACTGTTTTTCTGGAATTTGCAAGTGGAGATTTCAGCCGCTTTGAGGTCAATGGTAGAAAAGGAAATATCTTCGTATAAAAACTAGACAGAATGATTCTCAGAAACTCCTTTGTGATGTGTGCGTTCAACTCACAGAGTTTAACCTTTCTTTTCACAGAGCAGTTAGGAAACACTCTGTTTGTGAAGCCTGCCAGTGGATATTCGGACCTCTTTGAGGCCTTCGTTGGAAACGGGATTTCTTCATATTATGCTAGACAGAAGATTTCTCAGTAACTTCTTTGGGTTGTGTGTATGCAACTCACAGAGTTCAACCTTCCTTTAGACAGAGCAGATTTGAAACACTCTTTTTGTGGAATTTGCAAGTGGAGATTTCAAGCGCTTCGATGCCAATGGTAGAAAAGGAAATATCTTCGTATAAAAACAAGACAAACTCGTTCCCAGACACTGCGTAGTGATGTGTGTGTTTAACTCACAGAGTTTCACCTTTCTTTTCATACAGCATTCTGGAAACCCTCTGTTTGTAAAGTCTGCAAGTGGATATTTGGACCTCTTAGATGCCTTCGTTGGAAACGGGATTTCTTCATATAATGCTAGAGGGAAGAATTCTTAGTAACTTCTTTGTGTTGTGTGTATTCAACTGACAGAGTTGAACCTTCCTTTAGACAGAGCAGATTTGAAAGTCTCTTTTTGTGGAATTTGCAAGTGGAGATTTCAAGCGCTTTGAGGCCAAAAGCAGAAAAGGAAATATTTTCCTATAAAAACTCGACAGAATCTTTCTCAGAAACTGCTCTGGGATGTGTGCGTTCAACTCACAGAGTTTAACTTTTCTTTTCATTCAGCAGTTTGGAAACACTCTGTTTGGAAAGTCTGCACGTGGATATTTTGACCTCTTTGAGGCCTTCGTTGGAAACGGGTTTTTTTCATGTAAGGCTAGACAGAAGAAATCTCAGTAACTTCCTTGTGTTGTGTGTATTCAACTGACAGAGTTGAACCTTCCTTTAGACAGAGCAGATTCGAAACACTCTTTTTCTGCAATTTGCAAGTGGAGACTTCAAGCGCTTTGAGGCCAAAGGCAGAAAAGGAAATATCTTCGTATAAAAACACGACAGAATCATTCTCAGAAACTGCTCTGTGATGTGTGCGTTCAACTCACAGAGTTTAACTTTTCTTTTCATTCAGCAGTTTGGAAACACTCTGTTTGTAAAGTCTGCAAGTGGATATCTTGGCCTCTTAGAGGCCTTCGTTGGAAACGGGTTTTTTCATGTAAGGTTAGACAGAGGAATTCCCAGTAACTTCCTTGTGTTGTGTGCATTCAACTCACAGAGTTGAATGATTCTTTACACAGAGCAGATTTGAGACACTCTTTTGGTGGAATTTGTAAGTGGAGAATTCAGCCGCTTTGAGGTCAACGGTAGAAAAGGAAATATCTTCGTATAAAAACTAGACAGAATGATTCTCAGAAACTGTTTTGTGATGTGTGCGTTCAACTCACAGAGTTTAACCTTTCTTTTCAAAGAGCAGTTAGGAAACACTCTGTTTGTAAAGTCTGCAAGTGGATATTCAGACCTCTTTGAGGCCTTCGTTGGAAACGGGATTTCTTCATATTATGCTAGACAGATGAATTCTCAGTAACTTCCTTGTGTTGTGTGTATTCAACTCACAGAGTTGAACGATCCTTTACACAGAGCAGATTTGAAACACTGTTTTTCTGGAATTTGCAAGTGGAGATTTCAGCCGCTTTGAGGTCAATGGTAGAAAAGGAAATATCTTCGTATAAAAACTAGACAGAATGATTCTCAGAAACTCCTTTGTGATGTGTGCGTTCAACTCACAGAGTTTAACCTTTCTTTTCACAGAGCAGTTAGGAAACACTCTGTTTGTGAAGCCTGCCAGTGGATATTCGGACCTCTTTGAGGCCTTCGTTGGAAACGGGATTTCTTCATATTATGCTAGACAGAAGATTTCTCAGTAACTTCTTTGTGTTGTGTGTATGCAACTCACAGAGTTCAACCTTCCTTTAGACAGAGCAGATTTGAAACACTCTTTTTGTGGAATTTGCAAGTGGAGATTTCAAGCGCTTCGATGCCAATGGTAGAAAAGGAAATATCTTCGTATAAAAACAAGACAAACTCGTTCCCAGACACTGCGTAGTGATGTGTGTGTTTAACTCACAGAGTTTAACCTTTCTTTTCATACAGCATTCTGGAAACCCTGTGTTTGTAAAGTCTGCAAGTGGATATTTGGACCTCTTAGATGCCTTCGTTGGAAACGGGATTTCTTCATATAATGCTAGAGGGAAGAATTCTTAGTAACTTCTTTGTGTTGTGTGTATTCAACTGACAGAGTTGAACCTTCCTTTAGACAGAGCAGATTTGAAAGTCTCTTTTTGTGGAATTTGCAAGTGGAGATTTCAAGCGCTTTGAGGCCAAAAGCAGAAAAGGAAATATTTTCCTATAAAAACTAGAGAGAATCTTTCTCAGAAACTGCTCTGGGATGTGTGCGTTCAACTCACAGAGTTTAACTTTTCTTTTCATTCAGCAGTTTGGAAACACTCTGTTTGGAAAGTCTGCACGTGGATATTTTGACCTCTTTGAGGCCTTCGTTGGAAACGGGTTTTTTTCATGTAAGGCTAGACAGAAGAAATCTCAAGTAACTTCCTTGTGTTGTGTGTATTCAACTGACAGAGTTGAACCTTCCTTTAGACAGAGCAGATTCGAAACACTCTTTTTCTGCAATTTGCAAGTGGAGACTTCAAGCGCTTTGAGGCCAAAGGCAGAAAAGGAAATATCTTCGTATAAAAACCCGACAGAATCATTCTCAGAAACTGCTCTGTGATGTGTGCGTTCAACTCACAGAGTTTAACTTTTCTTTTCATTCAGCAGTTTGGAAACACTCTGTTTGTAAAGTCTGCAAGTGGATATCTTGGCCTCTTAGAGGCCTTCGTTGGAAACGGGTTTTTTCATGTAAGGTTAGACAGAGGAATTCCCAGTAACTTCCTTGTGTTGTGTGCATTCAACTCACAGAGTTGAATGATTCTTTACACAGAGCAGATTTGAGACACTCTTTTGGTGGAATTTGTAAGTGGAGAATTCAGCCGCTTTGAGGTCAACGGTAGAAAAGGAAATATCTTCGTATAAAAACTAGACAGAATGATTCTCAGAAACTGTTTTGTGATGTGTGCGTTCAACTCACAGAGTTTAACCTTTCTTTTCAAAGAGCAGTTAGGAAACACTCTGTTTGTAAAGTCTGCAAGTGGATATTCAGACCTCTTTGAGGCCTTCGTTGGAAACGGGATTTCTTCATATTATGCTAGACAGATGAATTCTCAGTAACTTCCTTGTGTTGTGTGTATTCAACTCACAGAGTTGAACGATCCTTTACACAGAGCAGATTTGAAACACTGTTTTTCTGGAATTTGCAAGTGGAGATTTCAGCCGCTTTGAGGTCAATGGTAGAAAAAGAAATATCTTCGTATAAAAACTAGACAGAATGATTCTCAGAAACTCCTTTGTGATGTGTGCGTTCAACTCACAGAGTTTAACCTTTCTTTTCACAGAGCAGTTAGGAAACACTCTGTTTGTGAAGCCTGCCAGTGGATATTCGGACCTCTTTGAGGCCTTCGTTGGAAACGGGATTTCTTCATATTATGCTAGACAGAAGATTTCTCAGTAACTTCTTTGTGTTGTGTGTATGCAACTCACAGAGTTCAACCTTCCTTTAGACAGAGCAGATTTGAAACACTCTTTTTGTGGAATTTGCAAGTGGAGATTTCAAGCGCTTCGATGCCAATGGTAGAAAAGGAAATATCTTCGTATAAAAACAAGACAAACTCGTTCCCAGACACTGCGTAGTGATGTGTGTGTTTAACTCACAGAGTTTCACCTTTCTTTTCATACAGCATTCTGGAAACCCTCTGTTTGTAAAGTCTGCAAGTGGATATTTGGACCTCTTAGATGCCTTCGTTGGAAACGGGATTTCTTCATATAATGCTAGAGGGAAGAATTCTTAGTAACTTCTTTGTGTTGTGTGTATTCAACTGACAGAGTTGAACCTTCCTTTAGACAGAGCAGATTTGAAAGTCTCTTTTTGTGGAATTTGCAAGTGGAGATTTCAAGCGCTTTGAGGCCAAAAGCAGAAAAGGAAATATTTTCCTATAAAAACTAGACAGAATCTTTCTCAGAAACTGCTCTGGGATGTGTGCGTTCAACTCACAGAGTTTAACTTTTCTTTTCATTCAGCAGTTTGGAAACACTCTGTTTGGAAAGTCTGCACGTGGATATTTTGACCTCTTTGAGGCCTTCGTTGGAAACGGGTTTTTTTCATGTAAGGCTAGACAGAAGAAATCTCAGTAACTTCCTTGTGTTGTGTGTATTCAACTGACAGAGTTGAACCTTCTTTTAGACAGAGCAGATTCGAAACACTCTTTTTCTGCAATTTGCAAGTGGAGACTTCAAGCGCTTTGAGGCCAAAGGCAGAAAAGGAAATATTCTTCGTATAAAAACCCGACAGAATCATTCTCAGAAACTGCTCTGTGATGTGTGCGTTCAACTCACAGAGTTTAACTTTTCTTTTCATTCAGCAGTTTGGAAACACTCTGTTTGTAAAGTCTGCAAGTGGATATCTTGGCCTCTTAGAGGCCTTCGTTGGAAGCGGGTTTTTTCATGTAAGGTTAGACAGAGGAATTCCCAGTAACTTCCTTGTGTTGTGTGCATTCAACTCACAGAGTTGAATGATTCTTTACACAGAGCAGATTTGAGACACTCTTTTGGTGGAATTTGTTAGTGGAGAATTCAGCCGCTTTGAGGTCAACGGTAGAAAAGGAAATATCTTCGTATAAAAACTAGACAGAATGATTCTCAGAAACTGTTTTGTGATGTGTGCGTTCAACTCACAGAGTTTAACCTTTCTTTTCAAAGAGCAGTTAGGAAACACTCTGTTTGTAAAGTCTGCAAGTGGATATTCAGACCTCTTTGAGGCCTTCGTTGGAAACGGGATTTCTTCATATTATGCTAGACAGATGAATTCTCAGTAACTTCCTTGTGTTGTGTGTATTCAACTCACAGAGTTGAACGATCCTTTACACAGAGCAGATTTGAAACACTGTTTTTCTGGAATTTGCAAGTGGAGATTTCAGCCGCTTTGAGGTCAATGGTAGAAAAGGAAATATCTTCGTATAAAAACTAGACAGAATGATTCTCAGAAACTCCTTTGTGATGTGTGCGTTCAACTCACAGAGTTTAACCTTTCTTTTCACAGAGCAGTTAGGAAACACTCTGTTTGTGAAGCCTGCCAGTGGATATTCGGACCTCTTTGAGGCCTTCGTTGGAAACGGGATTTCTTCATATTATGCTAGACAGAAGATTTCTCAGTAACTTCTTTGTGTTGTGTGTATGCAACTCACAGAGTTCAACCTTCCTTTAGACAGAGCAGATTTGAAACACTCTTTTTGTGGAATTTGCAAGTGGAGATTTCAAGCGCTTCGATGCCAATGGTAGAAAAGGAAATATCTTCGTATAAAAACAAGACAAACTCGTTCCCAGACACTGCGTAGTGATGTGTGTGTTTAACTCACAGAGTTTCACCTTTCTTTTCATACAGCATTCTGGAAACCCTCTGTTTGTAAAGTCTGCAAGTGGATATTTGGACCTCTTAGATGCCTTCGTTGCAAACGGGATTTCTTCATATAATGCTAGAGGGAAGAATTCTTAGTAACTTCTTTGTGTTGTGTGTATTCAACTGACAGAGTTGAACCTTCCTTTAGACAGAGCAGATTTGAAAGTCTCTTTTTGTGGAATTTGCAAGTGGAGATTTCAAGCGCTTTGAGGCCAAAAGCAGAAAAGGAAATATTTTCCTATAAAACCTCGACAGAATCATTCTCAGAAACTGCTCTGTGATGTGTGTGTTCAACTCACAGAGTTTAACTTTCTTTTCATTCAGCAGTTTGGAAACACTCTGTTTGGAAAGTCTGCACGTGGATATTTTGACCTCTTTGAGGCCTTCGTTGGAAACGGGTTTTTTTCATGTAAGGCTAGACAGAAGAAATCTCAGTAACTTCCTTGTGTTGTGTGTATTCAACTGACAGAGTTGAACCTTCCTTTAGACAGAGCAGATTCGAAACACTCTTTTTCTGCAATTTGCAAGTGGAGACTTCAAGCGCTTTGAGGCCAAAGGCAGAAAAGGAAATATCTTCGTATAAAAACCCGACAGAATCATTCTGAGAAACTGCTCTGTGATGTGTGCGTTCAACTCACAGAGTTTAACTTGTCTTTTCATTCAGCAGTTTGGAAACACTCTGTTTGTAAAGTCTGCAAGTGGATATATTGGCCTCCTTGAGGCCTTCGTTGGAAACGGGTTTTTTTCATGTAAGGCTAGACAGAGGAATTCCCAGTAACTTCCTTGTGTTGTGTGCATTCAACTCACAGAGTTGAATGATTCTTTACACAGAGCAGATTTGAGACACTCTTTTGGTGGAATTTGTAAGTGGAGAATTCAGCCGCTTTGAGGTCAACGGTAGAAAAGGAAATATCTTCGTATAAAAACTAGACAGAATGATTCTCAGAAACTGTTTTGTGATGTGTGCGTTCAACTCACAGAGTTTAACCTTTCTTTTCAAAGAGCAGTTAGGAAACACTCTGTTTGTAAAGTCTGCAAGCGGATATTCAGACCTCTTTGAGGCCTTCGTTGGAAACGGGATTTCTTCATATTATGCTAGACAGATGAATTCTCAGTAACTTCCTTGTGTTGTGTGTATTCAACTCACAGAGTTGAACGATCCTTTACACAGAGCAGATTTGAAACACTGTTTTTCTGGAATTTGCAAGTGGAGATTTCAGCCGCTTTGAGGTCAATGGTAGAAAAGGAAATATCTTCGTATAAAAACTAGACAGAATGATTCTCAGAAACTCCTTTGTGATGTGTGCGTTCAACTCACAGGGTTTAACCTTTCTTTTCACAGAGCAGTTAGGAAACACTCTGTTTGTGAAGCCTGCCAGTGGATATTCGGACCTCTTTGAGGCCTTCGTTGGAAACGGGATTTCTTCATATTATGCTAGACAGAAGATTTCTCAGTAACTTCTTTGTGTTGTGTGTATGCAACTCACAGAGTTCAACCTTCCTTTAGACAGAGCAGATTTGAAACACTCTTTTTGTGGAATTTGCAAGTGGAGATTTCAAGCGCTTCGATGCCAATGGTAGAAAAGGAAATATCTTCGTATAAAAACAAGACAAACTCGTTCCCAGACACTGCGTAGTGATGTGTGTGTTTAACTCACAGAGTTTCACCTTTCTTTTCATACAGCATTCTGGAAACCCTCTGTTTGTAAAGTCTGCAAGTGGATATTTGGACCTCTTAGATGCCTTCGTTGCAAACGGGATTTCTTCATATAATGCTAGAGGGAAGAATTCTTAGTAACTTCTTTGTGTTGTGTGTATTCAACTGACAGAGTTGAACCTTCCTTTAGACAGAGCAGATTTGAAAGTCTCTTTTTGTGGAATTTGCAAGTGGAGATTTCAAGCGCTTTGAGGCCAAAAGCAGAAAAGGAAATATTTTCCTATAAAAACTAGACAGAATCATTCCCAGAATCTGCGTAGTGATGTGTGTGTTTAACTCACAGAGTCTAACCTTTCTTTTCATGCAGCATTCTGGGAACACTCTGTTTGTAAAGTCTGCAAGTGGATATTTGGACCTCTTAGATGCCTTCGTTGGAAACGGGATTTCTTCATATAATGCTAGAGGGATGAATTCTTAGTAACTTCTTTGTGTTGTGTGTATTCAACTGACAGAGTTGAACCTTCCTTTAGACAGAGCAGATTCGAAACACTCTTTTTGTGCAATTTGCAAGTGGAGACTTCAAGAGCTTTGAGGCCAAAGGCAGAAAAGTTATTATCTTCGTATAAAAACCAGACAGAATCATTCTCAGAAACTGCTCTGTGATGTGTGCGTTCAACTCACAGAGTTTAACTTTTCTTTTCATTCAGCAGTTTGGAAACACTCTGTTTGTAAAGTCTGCAAGTGGATATCTTGGCCTCTTAGAGGCCTTCGTTGGAAAAGGGTTTTTTCATGTAAGGATAGACAGAGGAATTCCCAGTAACTTCCTTGTGTTGTGTGCATTCAACTCACAGAGTTGAATGATTCTTTACACAGAGCAGATTTGAGACACTCTTTTGGTGGAATTTGCAAGTGGAGATTTCAGCCGCTTTGAGGTCAATGGTAGAAAAGGAAATATCTTCGTATAAAAACTAGACAGAATGATTCTCAGAAACTCCTTTGTGATGTGTGCGTTCAACTCACAGAGTTTAACCTTTCTTTTCACAGAGCAGTTAGGAAACACTCTGTTTGTGAAGCCTGCCAGTGGATATTCGGACCTCTTTGAGGCCTTCGTTGGAAACGGGATTTCTTCATATTATGCTAGACAGAAGATTTCTCAGTAACTTCTTTGTGTTGTGTGTATGCAACTCACAGAGTTCAACCTTCCTTTAGACAGAGCAGATTTGAAACACTCTTTTTGTGGAATTTGCAAGTGGAGATTTCAAGCGCTTCGATGCCAATGGTAGAAAAGGAAATATCTTCGTATAAAAACAAGACAAACTCGTTCCCAGACACTGCGTAGTGATGTGTGTGTTTAACTCACAGAGTTTAACCTTTCTTTTCATACAGCATTCTGGAAACCCTCTGTTTGTAAAGTCTGCAAGTGGATATTTGGACCTCTTAGATGCCTTCGTTGGAAACGGGATTTCTTCATATAATGCTAGAGGGAAGAATTCTTAGTAACTTCTTTGTGTTGTGTGTATTCAACTGACAGAGTTGAACCTTCCTTTAGACAGAGCAGATTTGAAAGTCTCTTTTTGTGGAATTTGCAAGTGGAGATTTCAAGCGCTTTGAGGCCAAAAGCAGAAAAGGAAATATTTTCCTATAAAAACTAGACAGAATCTTTCTCAGAAACTGCTCTGGGATGTGTGCGTTCAACTCACAGAGTTTAACTTTTCTTTTCATTCAGCAGTTTGGAAACACTCTGTTTGGAAAGTCTGCACGTGGATATTTTGACCTCTTTGAGGCCTTCGTTGGAAACGGGTTTTTTTCATGTAAGGCTAGACAGAAGAAATCTCAGTAACTTCCTTGTGTTGTGTGTATTCAACTGACAGAGTTGAACCTTCCTTTAGACAGAGCAGATTCGAAACACTCTTTTTCTGCAATTTGCAAGTGGAGACTTCAAGCGCTTTGAGGCCAAAGGCAGAAAAGGAAATATCTTCGTATAAAAACCCGACAGAATCATTCTCAGAAACTGCTCTGTGATGTGTGCGTTCAACTCACAGAGTTTAACTTTTCTTTTCATTCAGCAGTTTGGAAACACTCTGTTTGTAAAGTCTGCAAGTGGATATCTTGGCCTCTTAGAGGCCTTCGTTGGAAACGGGTTTTTTCATGTAAGGTTAGACAGAGGAATTCCCAGTAACTTCCTTGTGTTGTGTGCATTCAACTCACAGAGTTGAATGATTCTTTACACAGAGCAGATTTGAGACACTCTTTTGGTGGAATTTGTAAGTGGAGAATTCAGCCGCTTTGAGGTCAACGGTAGAAAAGGAAATATCTTCGTATAAAAACTAGAAAGAATGATTCTCAGAAACTGTTTTGTGATGTGTGCTTTCAACTCACAGAGTTTAACCTTTCTTTTCAAAGAGCAGTTAGGAAACACTCTGTTTGTAAAGTCTGCAAGTGGATATTCAGACCTCTTTGAGGCCTTCGTTGGAAACGGGATTTCTTCATATTATGCTAGACAGATGAATTCTCAGTAACTTCCTTGTGTTGTGTGTATTCAACTCACAGAGTTAAACGATCCTTTACACAGAGCAGATTTGAAACACTGTTTTTCTGGAATTTGCAAGTGGAGATTTCAGCCGCTTTGAGGTCAATGGTAGAAAAGGAAATATCTTCGTATAAAAACTAGACAGAATGATTCTCAGAAACTCCTTTGTGATGTGTGCGTTCAACTCACAGAGTTTAACCTTTCTTTTCACAGAGCAGTTAGGAAACACTCTGTTTGTGAAGCCTGCCAGTGGATATTCGGACCTCTTTGAGGCCTTCGTTGGAAACGGGATTTCTTCATATTATGCTAGACAGAAGATTTCTCAGTAACTTCTTTGTGTTGTGTGTATGCAACTCACAGAGTTCAACCTTCCTTTAGACAGAGCAGATTTGAAACACTCTTTTTGTGGAATTTGCAAGTGGAGATTTCAAGCGCTTCGATGCCAATGGTAGAAAAGGAAATATCTTCGTATAAAAACAAGACAAACTCGTTCCCAGACACTGCGTAGTGATGTGTGTGTTTAACTCACAGAGTTTCACCTTTCTTTTCATACAGCATTCTGGAAACCCTGTGTTTGTAAAGTCTGCAAGTGGATATTTGGACCTCTTAGATGCCTTCGTTGGAAACGGGATTTCTTCATATAATGCTAGAGGGAAGAATTCTTAGTAACTTCTTTGTGTTGTGTGTATTCAACTGACAGAGTTGAACCTTCCTTTAGACAGAGCAGATTTGAAAGTCTCTTTTTGTGGAATTTGCAAGTGGAGATTTCAAGCGCTTTGAGGCCAAAAGCAGAAAAGGAAATATTTTCCTATAAAAACTCGACAGAATCTTTCTCAGAAACTGCTCTGGGATGTGTGCGTTCAACTCACAGAGTTTAACTTTTCTTTTCATTCAGCAGTTTGGAAACACTCTGTTTGGAAAGTCTGCACGTGGATATTTTGACCTCTTTGAGGCCTTCGTTGGAAACGGGTTTTTTTCATGTAAGGCTAGACAGAAGAAATCTCAGTAACTTCCTTGTGTTGTGTGTATTCAACTGACAGAGTTGAACCTTCCTTTAGACAGAGCAGATTGGAAACACTCTTTTTCTGCAATTTGCAAGTGGAGACTTCAAGCGCTTTGAGGCCAAAGGCAGAAAAGGAAATATCTTCGTATAAAAACCCGACAGAATCTTTCTCAGAAACTGCTCTGTGATGTGTGCGTTCAACTCACAGAGTTTAACTTTTCTTTTCATTCAGCAGTTTGGAAACACTCTGTTTGTAAAGTCTGCAATTGGATATCTTGGCCTCTTAGAGGCCTTCGTCGGAAACGGGTTTTTTCATGTAAGGATAGACAGAGGAATTCCCAGTAACTTCCTTGTGTTGTGTGCATTCAACAAACAGAGTTGAATGATTCTTTTCACAGAGCAGATTTGAGACACTCTTTTGGTGGAATTTGTAAGTGGAGAATTCAGCCGCTTTGAGGTCAACGGTAGAAAAGGAAATATCTTCGTATAAAAACTAGACAGAATGATTCTCAGAAACTGTTTTGTGATGTGTGCGTTCAACTCACAGAGTTTAACCTTTCTTTTCAAAGAGCAGTTAGGAAACACTCTGTTTGTAAAGTCTGCAAGTGGATATTCAGACCTCTTTGAGGCCTTCGTTGGAAACGGGATTTCTTCATATTATGCTAGACAGATGAATTCTCAGTAACTTCCTTGTGTTGTGTGTATTCAACTCACAGAGTTAAACGATCCTTTACACAGAGCAGATTTGAAACACTGTTTTTCTGGAATTTGCAAGTGGAGATTTCAGCCGCTTTGACGTCAATGGTAGAAAAGGAAATATCTTCGTATAAAAACTAGACAGAATGATTCTCAGAAACTCCTTTGTGATGTGTGCGTTCAACTCACAGAGTTTAACCTTTCTTTTCACAGAGCAGTTAGGAAACACTCTGTTTGTGAAGCCTGCCAGTGGATATTCGGACCTCTTTGAGGCCTTCGTTGGAAACGGGATTTCTTCATATTATGCTAGACAGAAGATTTCTCAGTAACTTCTTTGTGTTGTGTGTATGCAACTCACAGAGTTCAACCTTCCTTTAGACAGAGCAGATTTGAAACACTCTTTTTGTGGAATTTGCAAGTGGAGATTTCAAGCGCTTCGATGCCAATGGTAGAAAAGGAAATATCTTCGTATAAAAACAAGACAAACTCGTTCCCAGACACTGCGTAGTGATGTGTGTGTTTAACTCACAGAGTTTAACCTTTCTTTTCATACAGCATTCTGGAAACCCTCTGTTTGTAAAGTCTGCAAGTGGTTATTTGGACCTCTTAGATGCCTTCGTTGGAAACGGGATTTCTTCATATAATGCTAGAGGGAAGAATTCTTAGTAACTTCTTTGTGTTGTGTGTATTCAACTGACAGAGTTGAACCTTCCTTTAGACAGAGCAGATTTGAAAGTCTCTTTTTGTGGAATTTGCAAGTGGAGATTTCAAGCGCTTTGAGGCCAAAAGCAGAAAAGGAAATATTTTCCTATAAAACCTCGACAGAATCATTCTCAGAAACTGCTCTGTGATGTGTGTGTTCAACTCACAGAGTTTAACTTTCTTTTCATTCAGCAGTTTGGAAACACTCTGTTTGGAAAGTCTGCACGTGGATATTTTGACCTCTTTGAGGCCTTCGTTGGAAACGGGTTTTTTTCATGTAAGGCTAGACAGAAGAAATCTCAGTAACTTCCTTGTGTTGTGTGTATTCAACTGACAGAGTTGAACCTTCCTTTAGACAGAGCAGATTCGAAACACTCTTTTTCTGCAATTTGCAAGTGGAGACTTCAAGCGCTTTGAGGCCAAAGGCAGAAAAGGAAATATCTTCGTATAAAAACCCGACAGAATCATTCTCAGAAACTGCTCTGTGATGTGTGCGTTCAACTCACAGAGTTTAACTTTTCTTTTCATTCAGCAGTTTGGAAACACTCTGTTTGTAAAGTCTGCAAGTGGATATCTTGGCCTCTTAGAGGCCTTCGTTGGAAACGGGTTTTTTCATGTAAGGATAGACAGAGGAATTCCCAGTAACTTCCTTGTGTTGTGTGCATTCAACTCACAGAGTTGAATGATTCTTTACACAGAGCAGATTTGAGACACTCTTTTGGTGGAATTTGTAAGTGGAGAATTCAGCCGCTTTGAGGTCAACGGTAGAAAAGGAAATATCTTCGTATAAAAACTAGACAGAATGATTCTCAGAAACTGTTTTGTGATGTGTGCGTTCAACTCACAGAGTTTAACCTTTCTTTTCAAAGAGCAGTTAGGAAACACTCTGTTTGTAAAGTCTGCAAGTGGATATTCAGACCTCTTTGAGGCCTTCGTTGGAAACGGGATTTCTTCATATTATGCTAGACAGATGAATTCTCAGTAACTTCCTTGTGTTGTGTGTATTCAACTCACAGAGTTGAACGATCCTTTACACAGAGCAGATTTGAAACACTGTTTTTCTGGAATTTGCAAGTGGAGATTTCAGCCGCTTTGAGGTCAATGGTAGAAAAGGAAATATCTTCGTATAAAAACTAGACAGAATGATTCTCAGAAACTCCTTTATGATGTGTGCGTTCAACTCACAGAGTTTAACCTTTCTTTTCACAGAGCAGTTAGGAAACACTCTGTTTGTGAAGCCTGCCAGTGGATATTCGGACCTCTTTGAGGCCTTCGTTGGAAACGGGATTTCTTCATATTATGCTATTCAGAAGATTTCTCAGTAACTTCTTTGTGTTGTGTGTATGCAACTCACAGAGTTCAACCTTCCTTTAGTCATAGCAGATTTGAAACACTCTTTTTGTGGAATTTGCAAGTGGAGATTTCAAGCGCTTCGATGCCAATGGTAGAAAAGGAAATATCTTCGTATAAAAACAAGACAAAATCATTCCCAGAAACTGCGTAGTGATGTGTGTGTTTAACTCACAGACTTTAACCCTTCTTTTCATACAGAACTCTGGAAACCCTCTGTTTGTAAAGTCTGCAAGTGTATATTTGGACCTCTTAGATGTCTTCGTTGGAAATGGGATTTCGTCATATAATGGTAGAGGGAGAATTCTTAGTAACTTCTTTGTGTTGTGTGTATTCAACTGACAGAGTTGAACCTTCCTTTAGACAGAGCAGATTTGAAAGTCTCTTTTTGTGGAATTTGCAAGTGGAGATTTCAAGCGCTTTGAGGCCAAAAGCAGAAAAGGAAATATTTTCCTATAAAAACTCGACAGAATCTTTCTCAGAAACTGCTCTGGGATGTGTGCGTTCAACTCACAGAGTTTAACTTTTCTTTTCATTCAGCAGTTTGGAAACACTCTGTTTGGAAAGTCTGCACGTGGATATTTTGACCTCTTTGAGGCCTTCGTTGGAAACGGGTTTTTTTCATGTAAGGCTAGACAGAAGAAATCTCAGTAACTTCCTTGTGTTGTGTGTATTCAACTGACAGAGTTGAACCTTCCTTTAGACAGAGCAGATTCGAAACACTCTTTTTCTGCAATTTGCAAGTGGAGACTTCAAGCGCTTTGAGGCCAAAGGCAGAAAAGGAAATATCTTCGTATAAAAACCCGACAGAATCATTCTCAGAAACTGCTCTGTGATGTGTGCGTTCAACTCACAGAGTTTAACTTTTCTTTTCATTCAGCAGTTTGGAAACACTCTGTTTGTAAAGTCTGCAAGTGGATATCTTGGCCTCTTAGAGGCCTTCGTTGGAAACGGGTTTTTTCATGTAAGGTTAGACAGAGGAATTCCCAGTAACTTCCTTGTGTTGTGTGCATTCAACTCACAGAGTTGAATGATTCTTTACACAGAGCAGATTTGAGACACTCTTTTGGTGGAATTTGTAAGTGGAGAATTCAGCCGCTTTGAGGTCAACGGTAGAAAAGGAAATATCTTCGTATAAAAACTAGACAGAATGATTCTCAGAAACTGTTTTGTGATGTGTGCGTTCAACTCACAGAGTTTAACCTTTCTTTTCAAAGAGCAGTTAGGAAACACTCTGTTTGTAAAGTCTGCAAGTGGATATTCAGACCTCTTTGAGGCCTTCGTTGGAAACGGGATTTCTTCATATTATGCTAGACAGATGAATTCTCAGTAACTTCCTTGTGTTGTGTGTATTCAACTCACAGAGTTGAACGATCCTTTACACAGAGCAGATTTGAAACACTGTTTTTCTGGAATTTGCAAGTGGAGATTTCAGCCGCTTTGAGGTCAATGGTAGAAAAGGAAATATCTTCGTATAAAAACTAGACAGAATGATTCTCAGAAACTCCTTTGTGATGTGTGCGTTCAACTCACAGGGTTTAACCTTTCTTTTCACAGAGCAGTTAGGAAACACTCTGTTTGTGAAGCCTGCCAGTGGATATTCGGACCTCTTTGAGGCCTTCGTTGGAAACGGGATTTCTTCATATTATGCTAGACAGAAGATTTCTCAGTAACTTCTTTGTGTTGTGTGTATGCAACTCACAGAGTTCAACCTTCCTTTAGACAGAGCAGATTTGAAACACTCTTTTTGTGGAATTTGCAAGTGGAGATTTCAAGCGCTTCGATGCCAATGGTAGAAAAGGAAATATCTTCGTATAAAAACAAGACAAACTCGTTCCCAGACACTGCGTAGTGATGTGTGTGTTTAACTCACAGAGTTTCACCTTTCTTTTCATACAGCATTCTGGAAACCCTGTGTTTGTAAAGTCTGCAAGTGGATATTTGGACCTCTTAGATGCCTTCGTTGGAAACGGGATTTCTTCATATAATGCTAGAGGGAAGAATTCTTAGTAACTTCTTTGTGTTGTGTGTATTCAACTGACAGAGTTGAACCTTCCTTTAGACAGAGCAGATTTGAAAGTCTCTTTTTGTGGAATTTGCAAGTGGAGATTTCAAGCGCTTTGAGGCCAAAAGCAGAAAAGGAAATATTTTCCTATAAAAACTCGACAGAATCTTTCTCAGAAACTGCTCTGGGATGTGTGCGTTCAACTCACAGAGTTTAACTTTTCTTTTCATTCAGCAGTTTGGAAACACTCTGTTTGGAAAGTCTGCACGTGGATATTTTGACCTCTTTGAGGCCTTCGTTGGAAACGGGTTTTTTTCATGTAAGGCTAGACAGAAGAAATCTCAGTAACTTCCTTGTGTTGTGTGTATTCAACTGACAGAGTTGAACCTTCCTTTAGACAGAGCAGATTCGAAACACTCTTTTTCTGCAATTTGCAAGTGGACACTTCAAGCGCTTTGAGGCCAAAGGCAGAAAAGGAAATATCTTCGTATAAAAACCCGACAGAATCATTCTCAGAAACTGCTCTGTGATGTGTGCGTTCAACTCACAGAGTTTAACTTTTCTTTTCATTCAGCAGTTTGGAAACACTCTGTTTGTAAAGTCTGCAAGTGGATATCTTGGCCTCTTAGAGGCCTTCGTTGGAAGCGGGTTTTTTCATGTAAGGATAGACAGAGGAATTCCCAGTAACTTCCTTGTGTTGTGTGCATTCAACTCACAGAGTTGAATGATTCTTTACACAGAGCAGATTTGAGACACTCTTTTGGTGGAATTTGTAAGTGGAGAATTCAGCCGCTTTGAGGTCAACGGTAGAAAAGGAAATATCTTCGTATAAAAACTAGACAGAATGATTCTCAGAAACTGTTTTGTGATGTGTGCTTTCAACTCACAGAGTTTAACCTTTCTTTTCAAAGAGCAGTTAGGAAACACTCTGTTTGTAAAGTCTGCAAGTGGATATTCAGACCTCTTTGAGGCCTTCGTTGGAAACGGGATTTCTTCATATTATGCTAGACAGATGAATTCTCAGTAACTTCCTTGTGTTGTGTGTATTCAACTCACAGAGTTGAACGATCCTTTACACAGAGCAGATTTGAAACACTGTTTTTCTGGAATTTGCAAGTGGAGATTTCAGCCGCTTTGAGGTCAATGGTAGAAAAGGAAATATCTTCGTATAAAAACTAGACAGAATGATTCTCAGAAACTCCTTTGTGATGTGTGCGTTCAACTCACAGAGTTTAACCTTTCTTTTCACAGAGCAGTTAGGAAACACTCTGTTTGTGAAGCCTGCCAGTGGATATTCGGACCTCTTTGAGGCCTTCGTTGGAAACGGGATTTCTTCATATTATGCTAGACAGAAGATTTCTCAGTAACTTCTTTGTGTTGTGTGTATGCAACTCACAGAGTTCAACCTTCCTTTAGACAGAGCAGATTTGAAACACTCTTTTTGTGGAATTTGCAAGTGGAGATTTCAAGCGCTTCGATGCCAATGGTAGAAAAGGAAATATCTTCGTATAAAAACAAGACAAACTCATTCCCAGACACTGCGTAGTGATGTGTGTGTTTAACTCACAGAGTTTCACCTTTCTTTTCATACAGCATTCTGGAAACCCTGTGTTTGTAAAGTCTGCAAGTGGATATTTGGACCTCTTAGATGCCTTAGTTGGAAACGGGATTTCTTCATATAATGCTAGAGGGAAGAATTCTTAGTAACTTCTTTGTGTTGTGTGTATTCAACTGACAGAGTTGAACCTTCCTTTAGACAGAGCAGATTTGAAAGTCTCTTTTTGTGGAATTTGCAAGTGGAGATTTCAAGCGCTTTGAGGCCAAAAGCAGAAAAGGAAATATTTTCCTATAAAAACTCGACAGAATCTTTCTCAGAAACTGCTCTGGGATGTGTGCGTTCAACTCACAGAGTTTAACTTTTCTTTTCATTCAGCAGTTTGGAAACACTCTGTTTGGAAAGTCTGCACGTGGATATTTTGACCTCTTTGAGGCCTTCGTTGGAAACGGGTTTTTTTCATGTAAGGCTAGACAGAAGAAATCTCAGTAAATTCCCTTGTGTTGTGTGTATTCAACTGACAGAGTTGAACCTTCCTTTAGACAGAGCAGATTCGAAACACTCTTTTTCTGCAATTTGCAAGTGGAGACTTCAAGCGCTTTGAGGCCAAAGGCAGAAAAGGAAATATCTTCGTATAAAAACCCGACAGAATCATTCTCAGAAACTGCTCTGTGATGTGTGCGTTCAACTCACAGAGTTTAACTTTTCTTTTCATTCAGCAGTTTGGAAACACTCTGTTTGTAAAGTCTGCAAGTGGATATCTTGGCCTCTTAGAGGCCTTCGTTGGAAACGGGTTTTTTCATGTAAGGTTAGACAGAGGAATTCCCAGTAACTTCCTTGTGTTGTGTGCATTCAACTCACAGAGTTGAATGATTCTTTACACAGAGCAGATTTGAGACACTCTTTTGGTGGAATTTGTAAGTGGAGAATTCAGCCGCTTTGAGGTCAACGGTAGAAAAGGAAATATCTTCGTATAAAAACTAGACAGAATGATTCTCAGAAACTGTTTTGTGATGTGTGCGTTCAACTCACAGAGTTTAACCTTTCTTTTCAAAGAGCAGTTAGGAAACACTCTGTAAAGTCTGCAAGTGGATATTCAGACCTCTTTGAGGCCTTCGTTGGAAACGGGATTTCTTCATATTATGCTAGACAGATGAATTCTCAGTAACTTCCTTGTGTTGTGTGTATTCAACTCACAGAGTTGAACGATCCTTTACACAGAGCAGATTTGAAACACTGTTTTTCTGGAATTTGCAAGTGGAGATTTCAGCCGCTTTGAGGTCAATGGTAGAAAAGGAAATATCTTCGTATAAAAACTAGACAGAATGATTCTCAGAAACTCCTTTGTGATGTGTGCGTTCAACTCACAGAGTTTAACCTTTCTTTTCACAGAGCAGTTAGGAAACACTCTGTTTGTGAAGCCTGCCAGTGGATATTCGGACCTCTTTGAGGCCTTCGTTGGAAACGGGATTTCTTCATATTATGCTAGACAGAAGATTTCTCAGTAACTTCTTTGTGTTGTGTGTATGCAACTCACAGAGTTCAACCTTCCTTTAGACAGAGCAGATTTGAAACACTCTTTTTGTGGAATTTGCAAGTGGAGATTTCAAGCGCTTCGATGCCAATGGTAGAAAAGGAAATATCTTCGTATAAAAACAAGACAAACTCGTTCCCAGACACTGCGTAGTGATGTGTGTGTTTAACTCACAGAGTTTAACCTTTCTTTTCATACAGCATTCTGGAAACCCTGTGTTTGTAAAGTCTGCAAGTGGATATTTGGACCTCTTAGATGCCTTCGTTGGAAACGGGATTTCTTCATATAATGCTAGAGGGAAGAATTCTCAGTAACTTCTTTGTGTTGTCTGTATTCAACTGACAGAGTTGAACCTTCCTTTAGACAGAGCAGATTTGAAAGTCTCTTTTTGTGGAATTTGCAAGTGGAGATTTCAAGCGCTTTGAGGCCAAAAGCAGAAAAGGAAATATTTTCCTATAAAAACTAGACAGAATCATTCTCAGAAACTGCTCTGTGATGTGTGCGTTCAACTCACACAGTTTAACTTTTCTTTTCATTCAGCAGTTTGGAAACACTCTGTTTGGAAAGTCTGCACGTGGATATTTTGACCTCTTTGAGGCCTTCGTTGGAAACGGGTTTTATCATGTAAGGCTAGACAGAGGAAATCTCAGTAACTTCCTTGTGTTGTGTGTATTCAACTGACAGGGTTGAACCTTCCTTTAGACAGAGCAGATTCGAAACACTCTTTTTCTGCAATTTGCAAGTGGAGACTTCAAGCTCTTTGAGGCCAAAGGCAGAAAAGGAAATATCTTCGTATAAAAACCCGACAGAATCATTCTCAGAAACTGCTCTGTGATGTGTGCGTTCAACTCACAGAGTTTAACTTTTCTTTTCATTCAGCAGTTTGGAAACACTCTGTTTGTAAAGTCTGCAAGTGGATATCTTGGCCTCTTAGAGGCCTTCGTTGGAAACGGGTTTTTTCATGTAAGGTTAGACCGAGGAATTCCCAGTAACTTCCTTGTGTTGTGTGCATTCAACTCACAGAGTTGAATGATTCTTTACACAGAGCAGATTTGAGACACTCTTTTGGTGGAATTTGTAAGTGGAGAATTCAGCCGCTTTGAGGTCAACGGTAGAAAAGGAAATATCTTCGTATAAAAACTAGACAGAATGATTCTCAGAAACTGTTTTGTGATGTGTGCGTTCAACTCACAGAGTTTAACCTTTCTTTTCAAAGAGCAGTTAGGAAACACTCTGTTTGTAAAGTCTGCAAGTGGATATTCAGACCTCTTTGAGGCCTTCGTTGGAAACGGGATTTCTTCATATTATGCTAGACAGATGAATTCTCAGTAACTTCCTTGTGTTGTGTGTATTCAACTCACAGAGTTGAACGATCCTTTACACAGAGCAGATTTGAAACACTGTTTTTCTGGAATTTGCAAGTGGAGATTTCAGCCGCTTTGAGGTCAATGGTAGAAAAAGAAATATCTTCGTATAAAAACTAGACAGAATGATTCTCAGAAACTCCTTTGTGATGTGTGCGTTCAACTCACAGAGTTTAACCTTTCTTTTCACAGAGCAGTTAGGAAACACTCTGTTTGTGAAGCCTGCCAGTGGATATTCGGACCTCTTTGAGGCCTTCGTTGGAAACGGGATTTCTTCATATTATGCTAGACAGAAGATTTCTCAGTAACTTCTTTGGGTTGTGTGTATGCAACTCACAGAGTTCAACCTTCCTTTAGAGAGAGCATATTTGAAACACTCTTTTTGTGGAATTTGCAAGTGGAGATTTCAAGCGCTTCGATGCCAATGGTAGAAAAGGAAATATCTTCGTATAAAAACAAGACAAACTCGTTCCCAGACACTGCGTAGTGATGTGTGTGTTTAACTCACAGAGTTTCACCTTTCTTTTCATACAGCATTCTGGAAACCCTCTGTTTGTAAAGTCTGCAAGTGGATATTTGGACCTCTTAGATGCCTTCGTTGGAAACGGGATTTCTTCATATAATGCTAGAGGGAAGAATTCTTAGTAACTTCCTTTGTGTTGTGTGTATTCAACTGACAGAGTTGAACCTTCCTTTAGACAGAGCAGATTTGAAAGTCTCTTTTTGTGGAATTTGCAAGTGGAGATTTCAAGCGCTTTGAGGCCAAAAGCAGAAAAGGAAATATTTTCCTATAAAAACTCGACAGAATCTTTCTCAGAAACTGCTCTGGGATGTGTGCGTTCAACTCACAGAGTTTAACTTTTCTTTTCATTCAGCAGTTTGGAAACACTCTGTTTGGAAAGTCTGCACGTGGATATTTTGACCTCTTTGAGGCCTTCGTTGGAAACGGGTTTTTTTCATGTAAGGCTAGACAGAAGAAATCTCAGTAAATTCCCTTGTGTTGTGTGTATTCAACTGACAGAGTTGAACCTTCCTTTAGACAGAGCAGATTCGAAACACTCTTTTTCTGCAATTTGCAAGTGGAGACTTCAAGCGCTTTGAGGCCAAAGGCAGAAAAGGAAATATCTTCGTATAAAAACCCGACAGAATCATTCTCAGAAACTGCTCTGTGATGTGTGCGTTCAACTCACAGAGTTTAACTTTTCTTTTCATTCAGCAGTTTGGAAACACTCTGTTTGTAAAGTCTGCAAGTGGATATCTTGGCCTCTTAGAGGCCTTCGTTGGAAACGGGTTTTTTCATGTAAGGTTAGACAGAGGAATTCCCAGTAACTTCCTTGTGTTGTGTGCATTCAACTCACAGAGTTGAATGATTCTTTACACAGAGCAGATTTGAGACACTCTTTTGGTGGAATTTGTAAGTGGAGAATTCAGCCGCTTTGAGGTCAACGGTAGAAAAGGAAATATCTTCGTATAAAAACTAGACAGAATGATTCTCAGAAACTGTTTTGTGATGTGTGCGTTCAACTCACAGAGTTTAACCTTTCTTTTCAAAGAGCAGTTAGGAAACACTCTGTAAAGTCTGCAAGTGGATATTCAGACCTCTTTGAGGCCTTCGTTGGAAACGGGATTTCTTCATATAATGCTAGAGGGATGAATTCTCAGTAACTTCCTTGTGTTGTGTGTATTCAACTCACAGAGTTGAACGATCCTTTACACAGAGCAGATTTGAAACACTGTTTTTCTGGAATTTGCAAGTGGAGATTTCAGCCGCTTTGAGGTCAATGGTAGAAAAGGAAATATCTTCGTATAAAAACTAGACAGAATGATTCTCAGAAACTCCTTTGTGATGTGTGCGTTCAACTCACAGAGTTTAACCTTTCTTTTCACAGAGCAGTTAGGAAACACTCTGTTTGTGAAGCCTGCCAGTGGATATTCGGACCTCTTTGAGGCCTTCGTTGGAAACGGGATTTCTTCATATTATGCTAGACAGAAGATTTCTCAGTAACTTCTTTGTGTTGTGTGTATGCAACTCACAGAGTTCAACCTTCCTTTAGACAGAGCAGATTTGAAACACTCTTTTTGTGGAATTTGCAAGTGGAGATTTCAAGCGCTTCGATGCCAATGGTAGAAAAGGAAATATCTTCGTATAAAAACAAGACAAACTCGTTCCCAGACACTGCGTAGTGATGTGTGTGTTTAACTCACAGAGTTTAACCTTTCTTTTCATACAGCATTCTGGAAACCCTCTGTTTGTAAAGTCTGCAAGTGGATATTTGGACCTCTTAGATGCCTTCGTTGGAAACGGGATTTCTTCATATAATGCTAGAGGGAAGAATTCTTAGTAACTTCTTTGTGTTGTGTGTATTCAACTGACAGAGTTGAACCTTCCTTTAGACAGAGCAGATTTGAAAGTCTCTTTTTGTGGAATTTGCAAGTGGAGATTTCAAGCGCTTTGAGGCCAAAAGCAGAAAAGGAAATATTTTCCTATAAAAACTAGACAGAATCTTTCTCAGAAACTGCTCTGGGATGTGTGCGTTCAACTCACAGAGTTTAACTTTTCTTTTCATTCAGCAGTTTGGAAACACCCTGTTTGGAAAGTCTGCACGTGGATATTTTGACCTCTTTGAGGCCTTCGTTGGAAACGGGTTTTTTTCATGTAAGGCTAGACAGAAGAAATCTCAGTAACTTCCTTGTGTTGTGTGTATTCAACTGACAGAGTTGAACCTTCCTTTAGACAGAGCAGATTCGAAACACTCTTTTTCTGCAATTTGCAAGTGGAAACTTCAAGCGCTTTGAGGCCAAAGGCAGAAAAGGAAATATCTTCGTATAAAAACCCGACAGAATCATTCTCAGAAACTGCTCTGTGATGTGTGCGTTCAACTCACAGAGTTTAACTTTTCTTTTCATTCAGCAGTTTGGAAACACTCTGTTTGTAAAGTCTGCAAGTGGATATCTTGGCCTCTTAGAGGCCTTCGTTGGAAACGGGTTTTTTCATGTAAGGTTAGACAGAGGAATTCCCAGTAACTTCCTTGTGTTGTGTGCATTCAACTCACAGAGTTGAATGATTCTTTACACAGAGCAGATTTGAGACACTCTTTTGGTGGAATTTGTAAGTGGAGAATTCAGCTGCTTTGAGGTCAACGGTAGAAAAGGAAATATCTTCGTATAAAAACTAGACAGAATGATTCTCAGAAACTGTTTTGTGATGTGTGCGTTCAACTCACAGAGTTTAACCTTTCTTTTCAAAGAGCAGTTAGGAAACACTCTGTTTGTAAAGTCTGCAAGTGGATATTCAGACCTCTTTGAGGCCTTCGTTGGAAACGGGATTTCTTCATATTATGCTAGACAGATGAATTCTCAGTAACTTCCTTGTGTTGTGTGTATTCAACTCACAGAGTTGAACGATCCTTTACACAGAGCAGATTTGAAACACTGTTTTTCTGGAATTTGCAAGTGGAGATTTCAGCCGCTTTGAGGTCAATGGTAGAAAAGGAAATATCTTCGTATAAAAACTAGACAGAATGATTCTCAGAAACTCCTTTGTGATGTGTGCGTTCAACTCACAGAGTTTAACCTTTCTTTTCACAGAGCAGTTAGGAAACACTCTGTTTGTGAAGCCTGCCAGTGGATATTCGGACCTCTTTGAGGCCTTCGTTGGAAACGGGATTTCTTCATATTATGCTAGACAGAAGATTTCTCAGTAACTTCTTTGTGTTGTGTGTATGCAACTCACAGAGTTCAACCTTCCTTTAGACAGAGCAGATTTGAAACACTCTTTTTGTGGAATTTGCAAGTGGAGATTTCAAGCGCTTCGATGCCAATGGTAGAAAAGGAAATATCTTCGTATAAAAACAAGACAAACTCGTTCCCAGACACTGCGTAGTGATGTGTGTGTTTAACTCACAGAGTTTAACCTTTCTTTTCATACAGCATTCTGGAAACCCTGTGTTTGTAAAGTCTGCAAGTGGATATTTGGACCTCTTAGATGCCTTCGTTGGAAACGGGATTTCTTCATATAATGCTAGAGGGAAGAATTCTTAGTAACTTCTTTGTGTTGTGTGTATTCAACTGACAGAGTTGAACCTTCCTTTAGACAGACCAGATTTGAAAGTCTCTTTTTGTGGAATTTGCAAGTGGAGATTTCAAGCGCTTTGAGGCCAAAAGCAGAAAAGGAAATATTTTCCTATAAAAACTAGACAGAATCATTCTCAGAAACTGCTCTGTGATGTGTGCGTTCAACTCACAGAGTTTAACTTTTCTTTTCATTCAGCAGTTTGGAAAAACTCTGTTTGTAAAGTCTGCCTTGGATACTTTGACCTCTTTGAGGCCTTCGTTGGAAACGGGTTTTTTTCATGTAAGTCTAGACAGAAGAAATCTCAGTAACTTCCTTGTGTTGTGTGTATTCAACTGACAGAGTTGAACCTTCCTTTAGACAGAGCAGATTCGAAACACTCTTTTTCTGCAATTTGCAAGTGGAGACTTCAAGCGCTTTGAGGCCAAAGGCAGAAAAGGAAATATCTTCGTATAAAAACCCGACAGAATCATTCTCAGAAACTGCTCTGTGATGTGTGCGTTCAACTCACAGAGTTTAACTTTTCTTTTCATTCAGCAGTTTGGAAACACTCTGTTTGTAAAGTCTGCAAGTGGATATCTTGGCCTCTTAGAGGCCTTCATTGGAAACGGGTTTTTTCATGTAAGGTTAGACAGAGGAATTCCCAGTAACTTCCTTGTGTTGTGTGCATTCAACTCACAGAGTTGAATGATTCTTTACACAGAGCAGATTTGAGACACACTTTTGGTGGAATTTGTAAGTGGAGAATTCAGCCGCTTTGAGGTCAACGGTAGAAAAGGAAATATCTTCGTATAAAAACTAGACAGAATGATTCTCAGAAACTGTTTTGTGATGTGTGCGTTCAACTCACAGAGTTTAACCTTTCTTTTCAAAGAGCAGTTAGGAAACACTCTGTTTGTAAAGTCTGCAAGTGGATATTCAGACCTCTTTGAAGCCTTCGTTGGAAACGGGATTTCATCATATTATGCTAGACAGATGAATTCTCAGTAACTTCCTTGTGTTGTGTGTATTCAACTCACAGAGTTGAACGATCCTTTACACAGAGCAGATTTGAAACACTGTTTTTCTGGAATTTGCAAGTGGAGATTTCAGCCGCTTTGAGGTCAATGGTAGAAAAGGAAATATCTTCGTATAAAAACTAGACAGAATGATTCTCAGAAACTCCTTTGTGATGTGTGCGTTCAACTCACAGAGTTTAACCTTTCTTTTCACAGAGCAGTTAGGAAACACTCTGTTTGTGAAGCCTGCCAGTGGATATTCGGACCTCTTTGAGGCCTTCGTTGGAAACGGGATTTCTTCATATTATGCTATTCAGAAGATTTCTCAGTAACTTCTTTGTGTTGTGTGTATGCAACTCACAGAGTTCAACCTTCCTTTAGACAGAGCAGATTTGAAACACTCTTTTTGTGGAATTTGCAAGTGGAGATTTCAAGCGCTTCGATGCCAATGGTAGAAAAGGAAATATCTTCGTATAAAAACAAGACAAAATGATTCTCAGAAACTCCTTTGTGATGTGTGCGTTCAACTCACAGAGTTTAACCTTTCTTTTCATACAGCATTCTGGAAACCCTGTGTTTGTAAAGTCTGCAAGTGGATATTTGGACCTCTTAGATGCCTTCGTTGGAAACGGGATTTCTTCATATAATGCTAGAGGGAAGAATTCTTAGTAACTTCTTTGTGTTGTGTGTATTCAACTGACAGAGTTGAACCTTCCTTTAGACAGAGCAGATTTGAAAGTCTCTTTTTGTGGAATTTGCAAGTGGAGATTTCAAGCGCTTTGAGGCCAAAAGCAGAAAAGGAAATATTTTCCTATAAAAACTCGACAGAATCTTTCTCAGAAACTGCTCTGGGATGTGTGCGTTCAACTCACAGAGTTTAACTTTTCTTTTCATTCAGCAGTTTGGAAACACTCTGTTTGGAAAGTCTGCACGTGGATATTTTGACCTCTTTGAGGCCTTCGTTGGAAACGGGTGTTTTTCATGTAAGGCTAGACAGAAGAAATCTCAGTAACTTCCTTGTGTTGTGTGTATTCAACTGACAGAGTTGAACCTTCCTTTAGACAGAGCAGATGCGAAACACTCTTTTTCTGCAATTTGCAAGTGGAGACTTCAAGTGCTTTGAGGCCAAAGGCAGAAAAGGAAATATCTTCGTATAAAAACCCGACAGAATCACTCTCAGAAACTGCTCTGTGATGTGTGCGTTCAACTCACAGAGTTTAACTTTTCTTTTCATTCAGCAGTTTGGAAACACTCTGTTTGTAAAGTCTGCAAGTGGATATCTTGGCCTCTTAGAGGCCTTCGTTGGAAACGGGTTTTTTCATGTAAGGATAGACAGAGGAATTCCCAGTAACTTCCTTGTGTTGTGTGCATTCAACTCACAGAGTTGAATGATTCTTTACACAGAGCAGATTTGAGACACTCTTTTGGTGGAATTTGTAAGTGGAGAATTCAGCCGCTTTGAGGTCAACGGTAGAAAAGGAAATATCTTCGTATAAAAACTAGACAGAATGATTCTCAGAAACTGTTTTGTGATGTGTGCGTTCAACTCACAGAGTTTAACCTTTCTTTTCAAAGAGCAGTTAGGAAACACTCTGTTTGTAAAGTCTGCAAGTGGATATTCAGACCTCTTTGAGGCCTTCGTTGGAAACGGGATTTCTTCATATTATGCTAGACAGATGAATTCTCAGTAACTTCCTTGTGTTGTGTGTATTCAACTCACAGAGTTGAACGATCCTTTACACAGAGCAGATTTGAAACACTGTTTTTCTGGAATTTGCAAGTGGAGATTTCAGCCGCTTTGAGGTCAATGGTAGAAAAGGAAATATCTTCGTATAAAAACTAGACAGAATGATTCTCAGAAACTCCTTTGTGATGTGTGCGTTCAACTCACAGAGTTTAACCTTTCTTTTCACAGAGCAGTTAGGAAACACTCTGTTTGTGAAGCCTGCCAGTGGATATTCGGACCTCTTTGAGGCCTTCGTTGGAAACGGGATTTCTTCATATTATGCTAGACAGAAGATTTCTCAGTAACTTCTTTGTGTTGTGTGTATGCAACTCACAGAGTTCAACCTTCCTTTAGACAGAGCAGATTTGAAACACTCTTTTTGTGGAATTTGCAAGTGGAGATTTCAAGCGCTTCGATGCCAATGGTAGAAAAGGAAATATCTTCGTATAAAAACAAGACAAACTCGTTCCCAGACACTGCGTAGTGATGTGTGTGTTTAACTCACAGAGTTTAACCTTTCTTTTCATACAGCATTCTGGAAACCCTGTGTTTGTAAAGTCTGCAAGTGGATATTTGGACCTCTTAGATGCCTTCGTTGGAAACGGGATTTCTTCATATAATGCTAGAGGGAAGAATTCTTAGTAACTTCTTTGTGTTGTGTGTATTCAACTGACAGAGTTGAACCTTCCTTTAGACAGAGCAGATTTGAAAGTCTCTTTTTGTGGAATTTGCAAGTGGAGATTTCAAGCGCTTTGAGGCCAAAAGCAGAAAAGGAAATATTTTCCTATAAAAACTAGACAGAATCTTTCTCAGAAACTGCTCTGGGATGTGTGCGTTCAACTCACAGAGTTTAACTTTTCTTTTCATTCAGCAGTTTGGAAACACTCTGTTTGGAAAGTCTGCACGTGGATATTTTGACCTCTTTGAGGCCTTCGTTGGAAACGGGTTTTTTTCATGTAAGGCTAGACAGAAGAAATCTCAGTAACTTCCTTGTGTTGTGTGTATTCAACTGACAGAGTTGAACCTTCCTTTAGACAGAGCAGATTCGAAACACTCTTTTTCTGCAATTTGCAAGTGGAGACTTCAAGCGCTTTGAGGCCAAAGGCAGAAAAGGAAATATCTTCGTATAAAAACCCGACAGAATCATTCTCAGAAACTGCTCTGTGATGTGTGCGTTCAACTCACAGAGTTTAACTTTTCTTTTCATTCAGCAGTTTGGAAACACTCTGTTTGTAAAGTCTGCAAGTGGATATCTTGGCCTCTTAGAGGCCTTCGTTGGAAACGGGTTTTTTCATGTAAGGTTAGACAGAGGAATTCCCAGTAACTTCCTTGTGTTGTGTGCATTCAACTCACAGAGTTGAATGATTCTTTACACAGAGCAGATTTGAGACACTCTTTTGGTGGAATTTGTAAGTGGAGAATTCAGCCGCTTTGAGGTCAACGGTAGAAAAGGAAATATCTTCGTATAAAAACTAGACAGAATGATTCTCAGAAACTGTTTTGTGATGTGTGCGTTCAACTCACAGAGTTTAACCTTTCTTTTCAAAGAGCAGTTAGGAAACACTCTGTTTGTAAAGTCTGCAAGTGGATATTCAGACCTCTTTGAGGCCTTCGTTGGAAACGGGATTTCTTCATATTATGCTAGACAGATGAATTCTCAGTAACTTCCTTGTGTTGTGTGTATTCAACTCACAGAGTTGAACGATCCTTTACACAGAGCAGATTTGAAACACTGTTTTTCTGGAATTTGCAAGTGGAGATTTCAGCTGCTTTGAGGTCAATGGTAGAAAAGGAAATATCTTCGTATAAAAACTAGACAGAATGATTCTCAGAAACTCCTTTGTGATGTGTGCGTTCAACTCACAGAGTTTAACCTTTCTTTTCACAGAGCAGTTAGGAAACACTCTGTTTGTGAAGCCTGCCAGTGGATATTCGGACCTCTTTGAGGCCTTCGTTGGAAACGGGATTTCTTCATATTATGCTGGACAGAAGATTTCTCAGTAACTTCTTTGGGTTGTGTGTATGCAACTCACAGAGTTCAACCTTCCTTTAGACAGAGCAGATTTGAAACACTCTTTTTGTGGAATTTGCAAGTGGAGATTTCAAGCGCTTCGATGCCAATGGTAGAAAAGGAAATATCTTCGTATAAAAACAAGACAAACTCGTTCCCAGACACTGCGTAGTGATGTGTGTGTTTAACTCACAGAGTTTAACCTTTCTTTTCATACAGCATTCTGGAAACCCTGTGTTTGTAAAGTCTGCAAGTGGATATTTGGACCTCTTAGATGCCTTCGTTGGAAACGGGATTTCTTCATATAATGCTAGAGGGAAGAATTCTTAGTAACTTCTTTGTGTTGTGTGTATTCAACTGACAGAGTTGAACCTTCCTTTAGACAGAGCAGATTTGAAAGTCTCTTTTTGTGGAATTTGCAAGTGGAGATTTCAAGCGCTTTGAGGCCAAAAGCAGAAAAGGAAATATTTTCCTATAAAAACTCGACAGAATCATTCTCAGAAACTGCTCTGTGATGTGTGTGTTCAACTCACAGAGTTTAACTTTCTTTTCATTCAGCAGTTTGGAAACACTCTGTTTGGAAAGTCTGCACGTGGATATTTTGACCTCTTTGAGGCCTTCGTTGGAAACGGGTTTTTTTCATGTAAGGCTAGACAGAGGAAATCTCAGTAACTTCCTTGTGTTGTGTGTATTCAACTGACAGAGTTGAACCTTCCTTTAGACAGAGCAGATTCGAAACACTCTTTTTCTGCAATTTGCAAGTGGAGACTTCAAGCGCTTTGAGGCCAAAGGCAGAAAAGGAAATATCTTCGTATAAAAACCCGACAGAAATCATTCTCAGAAACTGCTCTGTGATGTGTGCGTTCAACTCACAGAAATTTAACTTTTCTTTTCATTCAGCAGTTTGGAAACACTCTGTTTGTAAAGTCTGCAAGTGGATATCTTGGCCTCTTAGAGGCCTTCGTTGGAAACGGGTTTTTTCATGTAAGGTTAGACAGAGGAATTCCCAGTAACTTCCTTGTGTTGTGTGCATTCAACTCACAGAGTTGAATGATTCTTTACACAGAGCAGATTTGAGACACTCTTTTGGTGGAATTTGTAAGTGGAGAATTCAGCCGCTTTGAGGTCAACGGTAGAAAAGGAAATATCTTCGTATAAAAACTAGACAGAATGATTCTCAGAAACTTTTTTGTGATGTGTGCGTTCAACTCACAGAGTTTAACCTTTCTTTTCAAAGAGCAGTTAGGAAACACTCTGTTTGTAAAGTCTGCAAGTGGATATTCAGACCTCTTTGAGGCCTTCGTTGGAAACGGGATTTCTTCATATTATGCTAGACAGATGAATTCTCAGTAACTTCCTTGTGTTGTGTGTATTCAACTCACAGAGTTAAACGATCCTTTACACAGAGCAGATTTGAAACACTGTTTTTCTGGAATTTGCAAGTGGAGATTTCAGCCGCTTTGAGGTCAATGGTAGAAAAGGAAATATCTTCGTATAAAAACTAGACAGAATGATTCTCAGAAACTCCTTTGTGATGTGTGCGTTCAACTCACAGAGTTTAACCTTTCTTTTCACAGAGCAGTTAGGAAACACTCTGTTTGTGAAGCCTGCCAGTGGATATTCGGACCTCTTTGAGGCCTTCGTTGGAAACGGGATTTCTTCATATTATGCTAGACAGAAGATTTCTCAGTAACTTCTTTGTGTTGTGTGTATGCAACTCACAGAGTTCAACCTTCCTTTAGACAGAGCAGATTTGAAACACTCTTTTTGTGGAATTTGCAAGTGGAGATTTCAAGCGCTTCGATGCCAATGGTAGAAAAGGAAATATCTTCGTATAAAAACAAGACAAACTCGTTCCCAGACACTGCGTAGTGATGTGTGTGTTTAACTCACAGAGTTTAACCTTTCTTTTCATACAGCATTCTGGAAACCCTGTGTTTGTAAAGTCTGCAAGTGGATATTTGGACCTCTTAGATGCCTTCGTTGGAAACGGGATTTCTTCATATAATGCTAGAGGGAAGAATTCTTAGTAACTTCTTTGTGTTGTGTGTATTCAACTGACAGAGTTGAACCTTCCTTTAGACAGAGCAGATTTGAAAGTCTCTTTTTGTGGAATTTGCAAGTGGAGATTTCAAGCGCTTTGAGGCCAAAAGCAGAAAAGGAAATATTTTCCTATAAAAACTCGACAGAATCTTTCTCAGAAACTGCTCTGGGATGTGTGCGTTCAACTCACAGAGTTTAACTTTTCTTTTCATTCAGCAGTTTGGAAACACTCTGTTTGGAAAGTCTGCACGTGGATATTTTGACCTCTTTGAGGCCTTCGTTGGAAACGGGTTTTTTTCATGTAAGGCTAGACAGAAGAAATCTCAGTAACTTCCTTGTGTTGTGTGTATTCAACTGACAGAGTTGAACCTTCCTTTAGACAGAGCAGATTCGAAACACTCTTTTTCTGCAATTTGCAAGTGGAGACTTCAAGCGCTTTGAGGCCAAAGGCAGAAAAGGAAATATCTTCGTATAAAAACCCGACAGAATCATTCTCAGAAACTGCTCTGTGATGTGTGCGTTCAACTCACAGAGTTTAACTTTTCTTTTCATTCAGCAGTTTGGAAACACTCTGTTTGTAAAGTCTGCAAGTGGATATCTTGGCCTCTTAGAGGCCTTCGTTGGAAACGGGTTTTTTCATGTAAGGATAGACAGAGGAATTCCCAGTAACTTCCTTGTGTTGTGTGCATTCAACTCACAGAGTTGAATGATTCTTTACACAGAGCAGATTTGAGACACTCTTTTGGTGGAATTTGTAAGTGGAGAATTCAGCCGCTTTGAGGTCAACGGTAGAAAAGGAAATATCTTCGTATAAAAACTAGACAGAATGATTCTCAGAAACTGTTTTGTGATGTGTGCGTTCAACTCACAGAGTTTAACCTTTCTTTTCAAAGAGCAGTTAGGAAACACTCTGTTTGTAAAGTCTGCAAGTGGATATTCAGACCTCTTTGAGGCCTTCGTTGGAAACGGGATTTCTTCATATTATGCTAGACAGATGAATTCTCAGTAACTTCCTTGTGTTGTGTGTATTCAACTCACAGAGTTGAACGATCCTTTACACAGAGCAGATTTGAAACACTGTTTTTCTGGAATTTGCAAGTGGAGATTTCAGCCGCTTTGAGGTCAATGGTAGAAAAGGAAATATCTTCGTATAAAAACTAGACAGAATGATTCTCAGAAACTCCTTTGTGATGTGTGCGTTCAACTCACAGAGTTTAACCTTTCTTTTCACAGAGCAGTTAGGAAACACTCTGTTTGTGAAGCCTGCCAGTGGATATTCGGACCTCTTTGAGGCCTTCGTTGGAAACGGGATTTCTTCATATTATGCTAGACAGAAGATTTCTCAGTAACTTCTTTGTGTTGTGTGTATGCAACTCACAGAGTTCAACCTTCCTTTAGACAGAGCAGATTTGAAACACTCTTTTTGTGGAATTTGCAAGTGGAGATTTCAAGCGCTTCGATGCCAATGGTAGAAAAGGAAATATCTTCGTATAAAAACAAGACAAACTCGTTCCCAGACACTGCGTAGTGATGTGTGTGTTTAACTCACAGAGTTTAACCTTTCTTTTCATACAGCATTCTGGAAACCCTCTGTTTGTAAAGTCTGCAAGTGGATATTTGGACCTCTTAGATGCCTTCGTTGGAAACGGGATTTCTTCATATAATGCTAGAGGGAAGAATTCTTAGTAACTTCTTTGTGTTGTGTGTATTCAACTGACAGAGTTGAACCTTCCTTTAGACAGAGCAGATTTGAAAGTCTCTTTTTGTGGAATTTGCAAGTGGAGATTTCAAGCGCTTTGAGGCCAAAAGCAGAAAAGGAAATATTTTCCTATAAAAACTAGACAGAATCATTCTCAGAAAACTGCTCTGTGATGTGTGTGTTCAACTCACAGAGTTTAACTTTCTTTTCATTCAGCAGTTTGGAAACACTCTGTTTGGAAAGTCTGCACGTGGATATTTTGACCTCTTTGAGGCCTTCGTTGGAAACGGGTTTTTTTCATGTAAGGCTAGACAGAAGAAATCTCAGTAACTTCCTTGTGTTGTGTGTATTCAACTGACAGAGTTGAACCTTCCTTTAGACAGAGCAGATTCGAAACGCTCTTTTTCTGCAATTTGCAAGTGGAGACTTCAAGCGCTTTGAGGCCAAAGGCAGAAAAGGAAATATCTTCGTATAAAAACCCGACAGAATCATTCTCAGAAACTGCTCTGTGATGTGTGCGTTCAACTCACAGAGTTTAACTTTTCTTTTCATTCAGCAGTTTGGAAACACTCTGTTTGTAAAGTCTGCAAGTGGATATCTTGGCCTCTTAGAGGCCTTCGTTGGAAACGGGTTTTTTCATGTAAGGTTAGACAGAGGAATTCCCAGTAACTTCCTTGTGTTGTGTGCATTCAACTCACAGAGTTGAATGATTCTTTACACAGAGCAGATTTGAGACACTCTTTGGGTGGAATTTGTAAGTGGAGAATTCAGCCGCTTTGAGGTCAACGGTAGAAAAGGAAATATCTTCGTATAAAATCTAGACAGAATGATTCTCAGAAACTGTTTTGTGATGTGTGCGTTCAACTCACAGAGTTTAACCTTTCTTTTCAGAGAGCAGTTAGGAAACACTCTGTAAAGTCTGCAAGTGGATATTCAGACCTCTTTGAGGCCTTCGTTGGAAACGGGATTTCTTCATATTATGCTAGACAGATGAATTCTCAGTAACTTCCTTGTGTTGTGTGTATTCAACTCACAGAGTTGAACGATCCTTTACACAGAGCAGATTTGAAACACTGTTTTTCTGGAATTTGCAAGTGGAGATTTCAGCCGCTTTGAGGTCAATGGTAGAAAAGGAAATATCTTCGTATAAAAACTAGACAGAATGATTCTCAGAAACTCCTTTGTGATGTGTGCGTTCAACTCACAGAGTTTAACCTTTCTTTTCACAGAGCAGTTAGGAAACACTCTGTTTGTGAAGCCTGCCAGTGGATATTCGGACCTCTTTCAGGCCTTCGTTGGAAACGGGATTTCTTCATATTATGCTAGACAGAAGATTTCTCAGTAACTTCTTTGGGTTGTGTGTATGCAACTCACAGAGTTCAACCTTCCTTTAGACAGAGCAGATTTGAAACACTCTTTTTGTGGAATTTGCAAGTGGAGATTTCAAGCGCTTCGATGCCAATGGTAGAAAAGGAAATATCTTCGTATAAAAACAAGACAAACTCGTTCCCAGACACTGCGTAGTGATGTGTGTGTTTAACTCACAGAGTTTCACCTTTCTTTTCATACAGCATTCTGGAAACCCTCTGTTTGTAAAGTCTGCAAGTGGATATTTGGACCTCTTAGATGCCTTCGTTGGAAACGGGATTTCTTCATATAATGCTAGAGGGAAGAATTCTTAGTAACTTCTTTGTGTTGTGTGTATTCAACTGACAGAGTTGAACCTTCCTTTAGACAGAGCAGATTTGAAAGTCTCTTTTTGTGGAATTTGCAAGTGGAGATTTCAAGCGCTTTGAGGCCAAAAGCAGAAAAGGAAATATTTTCCTATAAAAACTAGAGAGAATCTTTCTCAGAAACTGCTCTGGGATGTGTGCGTTCAACTCACAGAGTTTAACTTTTCTTTCCATTCAGCAGTTTGGAAACACTCTGTTTGGAAAGTCTGCACGTGGATATTTTGACCTCTTTGAGGCCTTCGTTGGAAACGGGTTTTTTTCATGTAAGGCTAGACAGAAGAAATCTCAGTAACTTCCTTGTGTTGTGTGTATTCAACTGACAGAGTTGAACCTTCCTTTAGACAGAGCAGATTCGAAACACTCTTTTTCTGCAATTTGCAAGTGGAGACTTCAAGCGCTTTGAGGCCAAAGGCAGAAAAGGAAATATCTTCGTATAAAAACCCGACAGAATCATTCTCAGAAACTGCTCTGTGATGTGTGCGTTCAACTCACAGAGTTTAACTTTTCTTTTCATTCAGCAGTTTGGAAACACTCTGTTTGTAAAGTCTGCAAGTGGATATCTTGGCCTCTTAGAGGCCTTCGTTGGAAACGGGTTTTTTCATGTAAGGTTAGACAGAGGAATTCCCAGTAACTTCCTTGTGTTGTGTGCATTCAACTCACAGAGTTGAATGATTCTTTACACAGAGCAGATTTGAGACACTCTTTTGGTGGAATTTGTAAGTGGAGAATTCAGCCGCTTTGAGGTCAACGGTAGAAAAGGAAATATCTTCGTATAAAAACTAGACAGAATGATTCTCAGAAACTGTTTTGTGATGTGTGCGTTCAACTCACAGAGTTTAACCTTTCTTTTCAAAGAGCAGTTAGGAAACACTCTGTTTGTAAAGTCTGCAAGTGGATATTCAGACCTCTTTGAGGCCTTCGTTGGAAACGGGATTTCTTCATATTATGCTAGACAGATGAATTCTCAGTAACTTCCTTGTGTTGTGTGTATTCAACTCACAGAGTTGAACGATCCTTTACACAGAGCAGATTTGAAACACTGTTTTTCTGGAATTTGCAAGTGGAGATTTCAGCCGCTTTGAGGTCAATGGTAGAAAAGGAAATATCTTCGTATAAAAACTAGACAGAATGATTCTCAGAAACTCCTTTGTGATGTGTGCGTTCAACTCACAGAGTTTAACCTTTCTTTTCACAGAGCAGTTAGGAAACACTCTGTTTGTGAAGCCTGCCAGTGGATATTCGGACCTCTTTGAGGCCTTCGTTGGAAACGGGATTTCTTCATATTATGCTAGACAGAAGATTTCTCAGTAACTTCTTTGGGTTGTGTGTATGCAACTCACAGAGTTCAACCTTCCTTTAGACAGAGCAGATTTGAAACACTCTTTTTGTGGAATTTGCAAGTGGAGATTTCAAACGCTTCGATGCCAATGGTAGAAAAGGAAATATCTTCGTATAAAAACAAGACAAACTCATTCCCAGACACTGCGTAGTGATGTGTGTGTTTAACTCACAGAGTTTAACCTTTCTTTTCATACAACATTCTGGAAACCCTGTGTTTGTAAAGTCTGCAAGTGGATATTTGGACCTCTTAGATGCCTTCGTTGGAAACGGGATTTCTTCATATAATGCTAGAGGGAAGAATTCTTAGTAACTTCTTTGTGTTGTGTGTATTCAACTGACAGAGTTGAACCTTCCTTTAGACAGAGCAGATTTGAAAGTCTCTTTTTGTGGAATTTGCAAGTGGAGATTTCAAGCGCTTTGAGGCCAAAAGCAGAAAAGGAAATATTTTCCTATAAAAACTAGACAGAATCTTTCTCAGAAACTGCTCTGGGATGTGTGCGTTCAACTCACAGAGTTTAACTTTTCTTTTCATTCAGCAGTTTGGAAACACTCTGTTTGGAAAGTCTGCACGTGGATATTTTGACCTCTTTGAGGCCTTCGTTGGAAACGGGTTTTTTTCATGTAAGGCTAGACAGAAGAAATCTCAGTAACTTCCTTGTGTTGTGTGTATTCAACTGACAGAGTTGAACCTTCCTTTAGACAGAGCAGATTCGAAACACTCTTTTTCTGCAATTTGCAAGTGGAGACTTCAAGCGCTTTGAGGCCAAAGGCAGAAAAGGAAATATCTTCGTATAAAAACCCGACAGAATCATTCTCAGAAACTGCTCTGTGATGTGTGCGTTCAACTCACAGAGTTTAACTTTTCTTTTCATTCAGCAGTTTGGAAACACTCTGTTTGTAAAGTCTGCAAGTGGATATCTTGGCCTCTTAGAGGCCTTCGTTGGAAACGGGTTTTTTCATGTAAGGTTAGACAGAGGAATTCCCAGTAACTTCCTTGTGTTGTGTGCATTCAACTCACAGAGTTGAATGATTCTTTACACAGAGCAGATTTGAGACACTCTTTTGGTGGAATTTGTAAGTGGAGAATTCAGCCGCTTTGAGGTCAACGGTAGAAAAGGAAATATCTTCGTATAAAAACTAGACAGAATGATTCTCAGAAACTGTTTTGTGATGTGTGCTTTCAACTCACAGAGTTTAACCTTTCTTTTCAAAGAGCAGTTAGGAAACACTCTGTTTGTAAAGTCTGCAAGTGGATATTCAGACCTCTTTGAGGCCTTCGTTGGAAACGGGATTTCTTCATATTATGCTAGACAGATGAATTCTCAGTAACTTCCTTGTGTTGTGTGTATTCAACTCACAGAGTTGAACGATCCTTTACACAGAGCAGATTTGAAACACTGTTTTTCTGGAATTTGCAAGTGGAGATTTCAGCCGCTTTGAGGTCAATGGTAGAAAAGGAAATATCTTCGTATAAAAACTAGACAGAATGATTCTCAGAAACTCCTTTGTGATGTGTGCGTTCAACTCACAGAGTTTAACCTTTCTTTTCACAGAGCAGTTAGGAAACACTCTGTTTGTGAAGCCTGCCAGTGGATATTCGGACCTCTTTGAGGCCTTCGTTGGAAACGGGATTTCTTCATATTATGCTAGACAGAAGAATTCCCAGTAACTTCTTTGTGTTGTGTGCATTCAACTCACAGAGTTGAACGTTCCTTTAGACAGAGCAGTTTTGAAACACTCCTTTTGTGCAATTTGCAAGTGCAGATTTCAAGTGCTTAAAGGTCAATGGCAGAAAAGGAAATAACTTCGTTTCAAAACTAGACAGTCTCGTTCCCAGACACTGCGTAGTGATGTGTGTGTTTAACTCACAGAGTTTCACCTTTCTTTTCATACAGCATTCTGGAAACCCTCTGTTTGTAAAGTCTGCAAGTGGATATTTGGACCTCTTAGATGCCTTCGTTGCAAACGGGATTTCTTCATATAATGCTAGAGGGAAGAATTCTTAGTAACTTCTTTGTGTTGTGTGTATTCAACTGACAGAGTTGAACCTTCCTTTAGACAGAGCAGATTTGAAAGTCTCTTTTTGTGGAATTTGCAAGTGGAGATTTCAAGCGCTTTGAGGCCAAAAGCAGAAAAGGAAATATTTTCCTATAAAAACTCGACAGAATCTTTCTCAGAAACTGCTCTGGGATGTGTGCGTTCAACTCACAGAGTTTAACTTTTCTTTTCATTCAGCAGTTTGGAAACACTCTGTTTGGAAAGTCTGCACGTGGATATTTTGACCTCTTTGAGGCCTTCGTTGGAAACGGGTTTTTTTCATGTAAGGCTAGACAGAAGAAATCTCAGTAACTTCCTTGTGTTGTGTGTATTCAACTGACAGAGTTGAACCTTCCTTTAGACAGAGCAGATTCGAAACGCTCTTTTTCTGCAATTTGCAAGTGGAGACTTCAAGCGCTTTGAGGCCAAAGGCAGAAAAGGAAATATCTTCGTATAAAAACCAGACAGAATCATTCTCCAGAAACTGCTCTGTGATGTGTGCGTTCAACTCACAGAGTTTAACTTTTCTTTTCATTCAGCAGTTTGGAAACACTCTGTTTGTAAAGTCTGCAAGTGGATATCTTGGCCTCTTAGAGGCCTTCGTTGGAAACGGGTTTTTTCATGTAAGGATAGACAGAGGAATTCCCAGTAACTTCCTTGTGTTGTGTGCATTCAACTCACAGAGTTGAATGATTCTTTACACAGAGCAGATTTGAGACACTCTTTTGGTGGAATTTGTAAGTGGAGAATTCAGCCGCTTTGAGGTCAACGGTAGAAAAGGAAATATCTTCGTATAAAAACTAGACAGAATGATTCTCAGAAACTGTTTTGTGATGTGTGCGTTCAACTCACAGAGTTTAACCTTTCTTTTCAAAGAGCAGTTAGGAAACACTCTGTTTGTAAAGTCTGCAAGTGGATATTCAGACCTCTTTGAGGCCTTCGTTGGAAACGGGATTTCTTCATATTATGCTAGACAGATGAATTCTCAGTAACTTCCTTGTGTTGTGTGTATTCAACTCACAGAGTTGAACGATCCTTTACACAGAGCAGATTTGAAACACTGTTTTTCTGGAATTTGCAAGTGGAGATTTCAGCCGCTTTGAGGTCAATGGTAGAAAAGGAAATATCTTCGTATAAAAACTAGACAGAAATGATTCTCAGAAAACTCCTTTGTGATGTGTGCGTTCAACTCACAGAGTTTAACCTTTCTTTTCACAGAGCAGTTAGGAAACACTCTGTTTGTGAAGCCTGCCAGTGGATATTCGGACCTCTTTGAGGCCTTCGTTGGAAACGGGATTTCTTCATATTATGCTAGACAGAAGATTTCTCAGTAACTTCTTTGTGTTGTGTGTATGCAACTCACAGAGTTCAACCTTCCTTTAGACAGAGCAGATTTGAAACACTCTTTTTGTGGAATTTGCAAGTGGAGATTTCAAGCGCTTCGATGCCAATGGTAGAAAAGGAAATATCTTCGTATAAAAACAAGACAAACTCGTTCCCAGACACTGCGTAGTGATGTGTGTGTTTAACTCACAGAGTTTAACCTTTCTTTTCATACAGCATTCTGGAAACCCTCTGTTTGTAAAGTCTGCAAGTGGATATTTGGACCTCTTAGATGCCTTCGTTGGAAACGGGATTTCTTCATATAATGCTAGAGGGAAGAATTCTTAGTAACTTCTTTGTGTTGTGTGTATTCAACTGACAGAGTTGAACCTTCCTTTAGACAGAGCAGATTTGAAAGTCTCTTTTTGTGGAATTTGCAAGTGGAGATTTCAAGCGCTTTGAGGCCAAAAGCAGAAAAGGAAGTATTTTCCTATAAAAACTAGAGAGAATCATTCTCAGAAACTGCTCTGTGATGTGTGTGTTCAACTCACAGAGTTTAACTTTCTTTTCATTCAGCAGTTTGGAAACACTCTGTTTGGAAACTCTGCACGTGGATATGTTGACCTCTTTGAGGCCTTCGTTGGAAACGGGTTTTTTTCATGTAAGGCTAGACAGAAGAAATCTCAGTAACTTCCTTGTGTTGTGTGTATTCAACTGACAGAGTTGAACCTTCCTTTAGACAGAGCAGATTCGAAACGCTCTTTTTCTGCAATTTGCAAGTGGAGACTTCAAGCGCTTTGAGGCCAAAGGCAGAAAAGGAAATATCTTCGTATAAAAACCCGACAGAATCATTCTCAGAAACTGCTCTGTGATGTGTGCGTTCAACTCACAGAGTTTAACTTTTCTTTTCATTCAGCAGTTTGGAAACACTCTGTTTGTAAAGTCTGCAAGTGGATATCTTGGCCTCTTAGAGGCCTTCGTTGGAAACGGGTTTTTTCATGTAAGGTTAGACAGAGGAATTCCCAGTAACTTCCTTGTGTTGTGTGCATTCAACTCACAGAGTTGAATGATTCTTTACACAGAGCAGATTTGAGACACTCTTTTGGTGGAATTTGTAAGTGGAGAATTCAGCCGCTTTGAGGTCAACGGTAGAAAAGGAAATATCTTCGTATAAAAACTAGACAGAATGATTCTCAGAAACTGTTTTGTGATGTGTGCGTTCAACTCACAGAGTTTAACCTTTCTTTTCAAAGAGCAGTTAGGAAACACTCTGTTTGTAAAGTCTGCAAGTGGATATTCAGACCTCTTTGAGGCCTTCGTTGGAAACGGGATTTCTTCATATTATGCTAGACAGATGAATTCTCAGTAACTTCCTTGTGTTGTGTGTATTCAACTCACAGAGTTGAACGATCCTTTACACAGAGCAGATTTGAAACACTGTTTTTCTGGAATTTGCAAGTGGAGATTTCAGCCGCTTTGAGGTCAATGGTAGAAAAGGAAATATCTTCGTATAAAAACTAGACAGAATGATTCTCAGAAACTCCTTTGTGATGTGTGCGTTCAACTCACAGAGTTTAACCTTTCTTTTCACAGAGCAGTTAGGAAACACTCTGTTTGTGAAGCCTGCCAGTGGATATTCGGACCTCTTTGAGGCCTTCGTTGGAAACGGGATTTCTTCATATTATGCTAGACAGAAGATTTCTCAGTAACTTCTTTGTGTTGTGTGTATGCAACTCACAGAGTTCAACCTTCCTTTAGACAGAGCAGATTTGAAACACTCTTTTTGTGGAATTTGCAAGTGGAGATTTCAAGCGCTTCGATGCCAATGGTAGAAAAGGAAATATCTTCGTATAAAAACAAGACAAACTCGTTCCCAGACACTGCGTAGTGATGTGTGTGTTTAACTCACAGAGTTTCACCTTTCTTTTCATACAGCATTCTGGAAACCCTGTGTTTGTAAAGTCTGCAAGTGGATATTTGGACCTCTTAGATGCCTTCGTTGGAAACGGGATTTCTTCATATAATGCTAGAGGGAAGAATTCTTAGTAACTTCTTTGTGTTGTGTGTATTCAACTGACAGAGTTGAACCTTCCTTTAGACAGAGCAGATTTGAAAGTCTCTTTTTGTGGAATTTGCAAGTGGAGATTTCAAGCGCTTTGAGGCCAAAAGCAGAAAAGGAAATATTTTCCTATAAAAACTCGACAGAATCATTCTCAGAAACTGCTCTGTGATGTGTGTGTTCAACTCACAGAGTTTAACTTTCTTTTCATTCAGCAGTTTGGAAACACTCTGTTTGGAAAGTCTGCACGTGGATATTTTGACCTCTTTGAGGCCTTCGTTGGAAACGGGTTTTTTTCATGTAAGGCTAGACAGAAGAAATCTCAGTAACTTCCTTGTGTTGTGTGTATTCAACTGACAGAGTTGAACCTTCCTTTAGACAGAGCAGATTCGAAACACTCTTTTTCTGCAATTTGCAAGTGGAGACTTCAAGCGCTTTGAGGCCAAAGGCAGAAAAGGAAATATCTTCGTATAAAAACCCGACAGAATCATTCTCAGAAACTGCTCTGTGATGTGTGCGTTCAACTCACAGAGTTTAACTTTTCTTTTCATTCAGCAGTTTGGAAACACTCTGTTTGTAAAGTCTGCAAGTGGATATCTTGGCCTCTTAGAGGCCTTCGTTGGAAACGGGTTTTTTCATGTAAGGTTAGACAGAGGAATTCCCAGTAACTTCCTTGTGTTGTGTGCATTCAACTCACAGAGTTGAATGATTCTTTACACAGAGCAGATTTGAGACACTCTTTTGGTGGAATTTGTAAGTGGAGAATTCAGCCGCTTTGAGGTCAACGGTAGAAAAGGAAATATCTTCGTATAAAAACTAGACAGAATGATTCTCAGAAACTGTTTTGTGATGTGTGCGTTCAACTCACAGAGTTTAACCTTTCTTTTCAAAGAGCAGTTAGGAAGCACTCTGTTTGTAAAGTCTGCAAGTGGATATTCAGACCTCTTTGAGGCCTTCGTTGGAAACGGGATTTCTTCATATTATGCTAGACAGATGAATTCTCAGTAACTTCCTTGTGTTGTGTGTATTCAACTCACAGAGTTGAACGATCCTTTACACAGAGCAGATTTGAAACACTGTTTTTCTGGAATTTGCAAGTGGAGATTTCAGCCGCTTTGAGGTCAATGGTAGAAAAAGAAATATCTTCGTATAAAAACTAGACAGAATGATTCTCAGAAACTCCTTTGTGATGTGTGCGTTCAACTCACAGAGTTTAACCTTTCTTTTCACAGAGCAGTTAGGAAACACTCTGTTTGTGAAGCCTGCCAGTGGATATTCGGACCTCTTTGAGGCCTTCGTTGGAAACGGGATTTCTTCATATTATGCTAGACAGAAGATTTCTCAGTAACTTCTTTGTGTTGTGTGTATGCAACTCACAGAGTTCAACCTTCCTTTAGACAGAGCAGATTTGAAACACTCTTTTTGTGGAATTTGCAAGTGGAGATTTCAAGCGCTTCGATGCCAATGGTAGAAAAGGAAATATCTTCGTATAAAAACAAGACAAACTCGTTCCCAGACACTGCGTAGTGTTGTGTGTGTTTAACTCAGAGAGTTTCACCTTTCTTTTCATACAGCATTCTGGAAACCCTCTGTTTGTAAAGTCTGCAAGTGGATATTTGGACCTCTTAGATGCCTTCGTTGGAAACGGGATTTCTTCATATAATGCTAGAGGGAAGAATTCTTAGTAACTTCTTTGTGTTGTGTGTATTCAACTGACAGAGTTGAACCTTCCTTTAGACAGAGCAGATTTGAAAGTCTCTTTTTGTGGAATTTGCAAGTGGAGATTTCAAGCGCTTTGAGGCCAAAAGCAGAAAAGGAAATATTTTCCTATAAAAACTAGACAGAATCTTTCTCAGAAACTGCTCTGGGATGTGTGCGTTCAACTCACAGAGTTTAACTTTTCTTTCCATTCAGCAGTTTGGAAACACTCTGTTTGGAAAGTCTGCACGTGGATATTTTGACCTCTTTGAGGCCTTCGTTGGAAACGGGTTTTTTTCATGTAAGGCTAGACAGAAGAAATCTCAGTAACTTCCTTGTGTTGTGTGTATTCAACTGACAGAGTTGAACCTTCCTTTAGACAGAGCAGATTCGAAACACTCTTTTTCTGCAATTTGCAAGTGGAGACTTCAAGCGCTTTGAGGCCAAAGGCAGAAAAGGAAATATCTTCGTATAAAAACCCGACAGAATCATTCTCAGAAACTGCTCTGTGATGTGTGCGTTCAACTCACAGAGTTTAACTTTTCTTTTCATTCAGCAGTTTGGAAACACTCTGTTTGTAAAGTCTGCAAGTGGATATCTTGGCCTCTTAGAGGCCTTCGTTGGAAGCGGGTTTTTTCATGTAAGGATAGACAGAGGAATTCCCAGTAACTTCCTTGTGTTGTGTGCATTCAACTCACAGAGTTGAATGATTCTTTACACAGAGCAGATTTGAGACACTCTTTTGGTGGAATTTGTAAGTGGAGAATTCAGCCGCTTTGAGGTCAACGGTAGAAAAGGAAATATCTTCGTATAAAAACTAGACAGAATGATTCTCAGAAACTGTTTTGTGATGTGTGCGTTCAACTCACAGAGTTTAACCTTTCTTTTCAAAGAGCAGTTAGGAAACACTCTGTTTGTAAAGTCTGCAAGTGGATATTCAGACCTCTTTGAGGCCTTCGTTGGAAACGGGATTTCTTCATATTATGCTAGACAGATGAATTCTCAGTAACTTCCTTGTGTTGTGTGTATTCAACTCACAGAGTTGAACGATCCTTTACACAGAGCAGATTTGAAACACTGTTTTTCTGGAATTTGCAAGTGGAGATTTCAGCCGCTTTGAGGTCAATGGTAGAAAAGGAAATATCTTCGTATAAAAACTAGACAGAATGATTCTCAGAAACTCCTTTGTGATGTGTGCGTTCAACTCACAGAGTTTAACCTTTCTTTTCACAGAGCAGTTAGGAAACACTCTGTTTGTGAAGCCTGCCAGTGGATATTCGGACCTCTTTGAGGCCTTCGTTGGAAACGGGATTTCTTCATATTATGCTAGACAGAAGATTTCTCAGTAACTTCTTTGTGTTGTGTATATGCAACTCACAGAGTTCAACCTTCCTTTAGACAGAGCAGATTTGAAACACTCTTTTTGTGGAATTTGCAAGTGGAGATTTCAAGCGCTTCGATGCCAATGGTAGAAAAGGAAATATCTTCGTATAAAAACAAGACAAACTCGTTCCCAGACACTGCGTAGTGATGTGTGTGTTTAACTCACAGAGTTTCACCTTTCTTTTCATACAGCATTCTGGAAACCCTCTGTTTGTAAAGTCTGCAAGTCGATATTTGGACCTCTTAGATGCCTTCGTTGGAAACGGGATTTCTTCATATAATGCTAGAGGGAAGAATTCTTAGTAACTTCTTTGTGTTGTGTGTATTCAACTGACAGAGTTGAACCTTCCTTTAGACAGAGCAGATTTGAAAGTCTCTTTTTGTGGAATTTGCAAGTGGAGATTTCAAGCGCTTTGAGGCCAAAAGCAGAAAAGGAAATATTTTCCTATAAAACCTCGACAGAATCTTTCTCAGAAACTGCTCTGGGATGTGTGCGTTCAACTCACAGAGTTTAACTTTTCTTTTCATTCAGCAGTTTGGAAACACTCTGTTTGGAAAGTCTGCACGTGGATATTTTGACCTCTTTGAGGCCTTCGTTGGAAACGGGTTTTTTTCATGTAAGGCTAGACAGAAGAAATCTCAGTAACTTCCTTGTGTTGTGTGTATTCAACTGACAGAGTTGAACCTTCCTTTAGACAGAGCAGATTCGAAACACTCTTTTTCTGCAATTTGCAAGTGGAGACTTCAAGCGCTTTGAGGCCAAAGGCAGAAAAGGAAATATCTTCGTATAAAAACCCGACAGAATCATTCTCAGAAACTGCTCTGTGATGTGTGCGTTCAACTCACAGAGTTTAACTTTTCTTTTCATTCAGCAGTTTGGAAACACTCTGTTTGTAAAGTCTGCAAGTGGATATCTTGGCCTCTTAGAGGCCTTCGTTGGAAGCGGGTTTTTTCATGTAAGGTTAGACAGAGGAATTCCCAGTAACTTCCTTGTGTTGTGTGCATTCAACTCACAGAGTTGAATGATTCTTTACACAGAGCAGATTTGAGACACTCTTTTGGTGGAATTTGTTAGTGGAGAATTCAGCCGCTTTGAGGTCAACGGTAGAAAAGGAAATATCTTCGTATAAAAACTAGACAGAATGATTCTCAGAAACTGTTTTGTGATGTGTGCGTTCAACTCACAGAGTTTAACCTTTCTTTTCAAAGAGCAGTTAGGAAACACTCTGTTTGTAAAGTCTGCAAGTGGATATTCAGACCTCTTTGAGGCCTTCGTTGGAAACGGGATTTCTTCATATTATGCTAGACAGATGAATTCTCAGTAACTTCCTTGTGTTGTGTGTATTCAACTCACAGAGTTGAACGATCCTTTACACAGAGCAGATTTGAAACACTGTTTTTCTGGAATTTGCAAGTGGAGATTTCAGCCGCTTTGAGGTCAATGGTAGAAAAGGAAATATCTTCGTATAAAAACTAGACAGAATGATTCTCAGAAACTCCTTTGTGATGTGTGCGTTCAACTCACAGAGTTTAACCTTTCTTTTCACAGAGCAGTTAGGAAACACTCTGTTTGTGAAGCCTGCCAGTGGATATTCGGACCTCTTTGAGGCCTTCGTTGGAAACGGGATTTCTTCATATTATGCTAGACAGAAGATTTCTCAGTAACTTCTTTGTGTTGTGTGTATGCAACTCACAGAGTTCAACCTTCCTTTAGACAGAGCAGATTTGAAACACTCTTTTTGTGGAATTTGCAAGTGGAGATTTCAAGCGCTTCGATGCCAATGGTAGAAAAGGAAATATCTTCGTATAAAAACAAGACAAACTCGTTCCCAGACACTGCGTAGTGATGTGTGTGTTTAACTCACAGAGTTTAACCTTTCTTTTCATACAGCATTCTGGAAACCCTGTGTTTGTAAAGTCTGCAAGTGGATATTTGGACCTCTTAGATGCCTTCGTTGGAAACGGGATTTCTTCATATAATGCTAGAGGGAAGAATTCTTAGTAACTTCTTTGTGTTGTGTGTATTCAACTGACAGAGTTGAACCTTCCTTTAGACAGAGCAGATTTGAAACACTCTTTTTGTGGAATTTGCAAGTGGAGATTTCAAGCGCTTTGAGGCCAAAGGCAGAAAAGGAAATATTTTCCTATAAAAACTAGACAGAATCTTTCTCAGAAACTGCTCTGGGATGTGTGCGTTCAACTCACAGAGTTTAACTTTTCTTTTCATTCAGCAGTTTGGAAACACTCTGTTTGGAAAGTCTGCACGTGGATATTTTGACCTCTTTGAGGCCTTCGTTGGAAACGGGTTTTTTTCATGTAAGGCTAGACAGAAGAAATCTCAGTAACTTCCTTGTGTTGTGGGTATTCAACTGACAGAGTTGAACCTTCCTTTAGACAGAGCAGATTCGAAACACTCTTTTTGTGCAATTTGCAAGTGGAGACATCAAGCGCCTTGAGGTCAAAGGCAGAAAAGGAAATATCTTCGTATAAAAACCAGACAGAATCATTCTCAGAAACTGCTCTGTGATGTGTGCGTTCAACTCACAGAGTTTAACTTTTCATTTCATTCAGCAGTTTGGAAACACCCTGTTTGTATGGTCTGCAAGTGGATATATTGCCCTCTTAGAGGACTTCGTTGGAAACGGGTTTTTTTTCATGTAAGGTTAGACAGAGGAATTCCCAGTAACTTCCTTGTGTTGTGTGCATTCAACTCACAGAGTTGAATGATTCTTTACACAGAGCAGATTTGAGACACTCTTTTGGTGGAATTTGTAAGTGGAGAATTCAGCCGCTTTGAGGTCAACGGTAGAAAAGGAAATATCTTCGTATAAAAACTAGACAGAATGATTCTCAGAAACTGTTTTGTGATGTGTGCGTTCAACTCACAGAGTTTAACCTTTCTTTTCAAAGAGCAGTTAGGAAACACTCTGTTTGTAAAGTCTGCAAGTGGATATTCAGACCTCTTTGAAGCCTTCGTTGGAAACGGGATTTCATCATATTATGCTAGACAGATGAATTCTCAGTAACTTCCTTGTGTTGTGTGTATTCAACTCACAGAGTTGAACGATCCTTTACACAGAGCAGATTTGAAACACTGTTTTTCTGGAATTTGCAAGTGGAGATTTCAGCCGCTTTGAGGTCAATGGTAGAAAAGGAAATATCTTCGTATAAAAACTAGACAGAATGATTCTCAGAAACTCCTTTGTGATGTGTGCGTTCAACTCACAGAGTTTAACCTTTCTTTTCACAGAGCAGTTAGGAAACACTCTGTTTGTGAAGCCTGCCAGTGGATATTCGGACCTCTTTGAGGCCTTCGTTGGAAACGGGATTTCTTCATATTATGCTAGACAGAAGATTTCTCAGTAACTTCTTTGTGTTGTGTGTATGCAACTCACAGAGTTCAACCTTCCTTTAGACAGAGCAGATTTGAAACACTCTTTTTGTGGAATTTGCAAGTGGAGATTTCAAGCGCTTCGATGCCAATGGTAGAAAAGGAAATATCTTCGTATAAAAACAAGACAAACTCGTTCCCAGACACTGCGTAGTGATGTGTGTGTTTAACTCACAGAGTTTAACCTTTCTTTTCATACAGCATTCTGGAAACCCTCTGTTTGTAAAGTCTGCAAGTGGATATTTGGACCTCTTAGATGCCTTCGTTGGAAACGGGATTTCTTCATATAATGCTAGAGGGAAGAATTCTTAGTAACTTCTTTGTGTTGTGTGTATTGAACTGACAGAGTTGAACCTTCCTTTAGACAGAGCAGATTTGAAAGTCTCTTTTTGTGGAATTTGCAAGTGGAGATTTCAAGCGCTTTGAGGCCAAAAGCAGAAAAGGAAATATTTTCTTATAAAAACTAGAGAGAATCATTCTCAGAAACTGCTCTGTGATGTGTGTGTTCAACTCACAGAGTTTAACTTTCTTTTCATTCAGCAGTTTGGAAACACTCTGTTTGGAAAGTCTGCACGTGGATATTTTGACCTCTTTGAGGCCTTCGTTGGAAACGGGTTTTTTTCATGTAAGGCTAGACAGAAGAAATCTCAGTAACTTCCTTGTGTTGTGTGTATTCAACTGACAGAGTTGAACCTTCCTTTAGACAGAGCAGATTCGAAACACTCTTTTTCTGCAATTTGCAAGTGGAGACTTCAAGCGCTTTGAGGCCAAAGGCAGAAAAGGAAATATCTTCGTATAAAAACCCGACAGAATCATTCTCAGAAACTGCTCTGTGATGTGTGCGTTCAACTCACAGAGTTTAACTTTTCTTTTCATTCAGCAGTTTGGAAACACTCTGTTTGTAAAGTCTGCAAGTGGATATCTTGGCCTCTTAGAGGCCTTCGTTGGAAACGCGTTTTTTCATGTAAGGTTAGACAGAGGAATTCCCAGTAACTTCCTTGTGTTGTGTGCATTCAACTCACAGAGTTGAATGATTCTTTACACAGAGCAGATTTGAGACACCCTTTTGGTGGAATTTGTAAGTGGAGAATTCAGCCGCTTTGAGGTCAACGGTAGAAAAGGAAATATCTTCGTATAAAAACTAGAAAGAATGATTCTCAGAAACTGTTTTGTGATGTGTGCGTTCAACTCACAGAGTTTAACCTTTCTTTTCAAAGAGCAGTTAGGAAACACTCTGTTTGTAAAGTCTGCAAGTGGATATTCAGACCTCTTTGAGGCCTTCGTTGGAAACGGGATTTCTTCATATTATGCTAGACAGATGAATTCTCAGTAACTTCCTTGTGTTGTGTGTATTCAACTCACAGAGTTGAACGATCCTTTACACAGAGCAGATTTGAAACACTGTTTTTCTGGAATTTGCAAGTGGAGATTTCAGCCGCTTTGAGGTCAATGGTAGAAAAGGAAATATCTTCGTATAAAAACTAGACAGAATGATTCTCAGAAACTCCTTTGTGATGTGTGCGTTCAACTCACAGAGTTTAACCTTTCTTTTCACAGAGCAGTTAGGAAACACTCTGTTTGTGAAGCCTGCCAGTGGATATTCGGACCTCTTTGAGGCCTTCGTTGGAAACGGGATTTCTTCATATTTTGCAAGACAGAAGATTTCTCAGTAACTTCTTTGTGTTGTGTGTATGCAACTCACAGAGTTCAACCTTCCTTTAGAGAGAGCATATTTGAAACACTCTTTTTGTGGAATTTGCAAGTGGAGATTTCAAGCGCTTCGATGCCAATGGTAGAAAAGGAAATATCTTCGTATAAAAACAAGACAAACTCGTTCCCAGACACTGCGTAGTGATGTGTGTGTTTAACTCACAGAGTTTCACCTTTCTTTTCATACAGCATTCTGGAAACCCTCTGTTTGTAAAGTCTGCAAGTGGATATTTGGACCTCTTAGATGCCTTCGTTGGAAACGGGATTTCTTCATATAATGCTAGAGGGAAGAATTCTTAGTAACTTCTTTGTGTTGTGTGTATTCAACTGACAGAGTTGAACCTTCCTTTAGACAGAGCAGATTTGAAAGTCTCTTTTTGTGGAATTTGCAAGTGGAGATTTCAAGCGCTTTGAGGCCAAAAGCAGAAAAGGAAATATTTTCCTATAAAAACTCGACAGAATCTTTCTCAGAAACTGCTCTGGGATGTGTGCGTTCAACTCACAGAGTTTAACTTTTCTTTTCATTCAGCAGTTTGGAAACACTCTGTTTGGAAAGTCTGCACGTGGATATTTTGACCTCTTTGAGGCCTTCGTTGGAAACGGGTTTTTTTCATGTAAGGCTAGACAGAAGAAATCTCAGTAACTTCCTTGTGTTGTGTGTATTCAACTGACAGAGTTGAACCTTCCTTTAGACAGAGCAGATTCGAAACACTCTTTTTCTGCAATTTGCAAGTGGAGACTTCAAGCGCTTTGAGGCCAAAGGCAGAAAAGGAAATATCTTCGTATAAAAACCCGACAGAATCATTCTCAGAAACTGCTCTGTGATGTGTGCGTTCAACTCACAGAGTTTAACTTTTCTTTTCATTCAGCAGTTTGGAAACACTCTGTTTGTAAAGTCTGCAAGTGGATATCTTGGCCTCTTAGAGGCCTTCGTTGGAAACGGGTTTTTTCATGTAAGGTTAGACAGAGGAATTCCCAGTAACTTCCTTGTGTTGTGTGCATTCAACTCACAGAGTTGAATGATTCTATACACAGAGCAGATTTGAGACACTCTTTTGGTGGAATTTGTAAGTGGAGAATTCAGCTGCTTTGAGGTCAACGGTAGAAAAGGAAATATCTTCGTATAAAAACTAGACAGAATGATTCTCAGAAACTGTTTTGTGATGTGTGCGTTCAACTCACAGAGTTTAACCTTTCTTTTCAAAGAGCAGTTAGGAAACACTCTGTTTGTAAAGTCTGCAAGTGGATATTCAGACCTCTTTGAGGCCTTCGTTGGAAACGGGATTTCTTCATATTATGCTAGACAGATGAATTCTCAGTAACTTCCTTGTGTTGTGTGTATTCAACTCACAGAGTTGAACGATCCTTTACACAGAGCAGATTTGAAACACTGTTTTTCTGGAATTTGCAAGTGGAGATTTCAGCCGCTTTGAGGTCAATGGTAGAAAAAGAAATATCTTCGTATAAAAACTAGACAGAATGATTCTCAGAAACTCCCTTTGTGATGTGTGCGTTCAACTCACAGAGTTTAACCTTTCTTTTCACAGAGCAGTTAGGAAACACTCTGTTTGTGAAGCCTGCCAGTGGATATTCGGACCTCTTTGAGGCCTTCGTTGGAAACGGGATTTCTTCATATTATGCTAGACAGAAGATTTCTCAGTAACTTCTTTGTGTTGTGTGTATGCAACTCACAGAGTTCAACCTTCCTTTAGACAGAGCAGATTTGAAACACTCTTTTTGTGGAATTTGCAAGTGGAGATTTCAAGCGCTTCGATGCCAATGGTAGAAAAGGAAATATCTTCGTATAAAAACAAGACAAACTCGTTCCCAGACACTGCGTAGTGATGTGTGTGTTTAACTCACAGAGTTTAACCTTTCTTTTCATACAGCATTCTGGAAACCCTCTGTTTGTAAAGTCTGCAAGTGGATATTTGGACCTCTTAGATGCCTTCGTTGGAAACGGGATTTCTTCATATAATGCTAGAGGGAAGAATTCTTAGTAACTTCTTTGTGTTGTGTGTATTGAACTGACAGAGTTGAACCTTCCTTTAGACAGAGCAGATTTGAAAGTCTCTTTTTGTGGAATTTGCAAGTGGAGATTTCAAGCGCTTTGAGGCCAAAAGCAGAAAAGGAAATATTTTCCTATAAAAACTAGAGAGAATCATTCTCAGAAACTGCTCTGTGATGTGTGTGTTCAACTCACAGAGTTTAACTTTCTTTTCATTCAGCAGTTTGGAAACACTCTGTTTGGAAAGTCTGCACGTGGATATTTTGACCTCTTTGAGGCCTTCGTTGGAAACGGGTTTTTTTCATGTAAGGCTAGACAGAAGAAATCTCAGTAACTTCCTTGTGTTGTGTGTATTCAACTGACAGAGTTGAACCTTCCTTTAGACAGAGCAGATTCGAAACACTCTTTTTCTGCAATTTGCAAGTGGAGACTTCAAGCGCTTTGAGGCCAAAGGCAGAAAAGGAAATATCTTCGTATAAAAACCCGACAGAATCATTCTCAGAAACTGCTCTGTGATGTGTGCGTTCAACTCACAGAGTTTAACTTTTCTTTTCATTCAGCAGTTTGGAAACACTCTGTTTGTAAAGTCTGCAAGTGGATATCTTGGCCTCTTAGAGGCCTTCGTTGGAAACGGGTTTTTTCATGTAAGGTTAGACAGAGGAATTCCCAGTAACTTCCTTGTGTTGTATGCATTCAACTCACAGAGTTGAATGATTCTTTACACAGAGCAGATTTGAGACACTCTTTTGGTGGAATTTGTAAGTGGAGAATTCAGCCGCTTTGAGGTCAACGGTAGAAAAGGAAATATCTTCGTATAAAAACTAGAAAGAATGATTCTCAGAAACTGTTTTGTGATGTGTGCTTTCAACTCACAGAGTTTAACCTTTCTTTTCAAAGAGCAGTTAGGAAACACTCTGTTTGTAAAGTCTGCAAGTGGATATTCAGACCTCTTTGAGGCCTTCGTTGGAAACGGGATTTCTTCATATTATGCTAGACAGATGAATTCTCAGTAACTTCCTTGTGTTGTGTGTATTCAACTCACAGAGTTGAACGATCCTTTACACAGAGCAGATTTGAAACACTGTTTTTCTGGAATTTGCAAGTGGAGATTTCAGCCGCTTTGAGGTCAATGGTAGAAAAGGAAATATCTTCGTATAAAAACTAGACAGAATGATTCTCAGAAACTCCTTTGTGATGTGTGCGTTCAACTCACAGAGTTTAACCTTTCTTTTCACAGAGCAGTTAGGAAACACTCTGTTTGTGAAGCCTGCCAGTGGATATTCGGACCTCTTTGAGGCCTTCGTTGGAAACGGGATTTCTTCATATTATGCTAGACAGAAGATTTCTCAGTAACTTCTTTGTGTTGTGTGTATGCAACTCACAGAGTTCAACCTTCCTTTAGACAGAGCAGATTTGAAACACTCTTTTTGTGGAATTTGCAAGTGGAGATTTCAAGCGCTTCGATGCCAATGGTAGAAAAGGAAATATCTTCGTATAAAAACAAGACAAACTCGTTCCCAGACACTGCGTAGTGATGTGTGTGTTTAACTCACAGAGTTTAACCTTTCTTTTCATACAGCATTCTGGAAACCCTGTGTTTGTAAAGTCTGCAAGTGGATATTTGGACCTCTTAGATGCCTTCGTTGGAAACGGGATTTCTTCATATAATGCTAGAGGGAAGAATTCTTAGTAACTTCTTTGTGTTGTGTGTATTCAACTGACAGAGTTGAACCTTCCTTTAGACAGAGCAGATTTGAAAGTCTCTTTTTGTGGAATTTGCAAGTGGAGATTTCAAGCGCTTTGAGGCCAAAAGCAGAAAAGGAAATATTTTCCTATAAAAACTAGACAGAATCTTTCTCAGAAACTGCTCTGGGATGTGTGCGTTCAACTCACAGAGTTTAACTTTTCTTTTCATTCAGCAGTTTGGAAACACTCTGTTTGGAAAGTCTGCACGTGGATATTTTGACCTCTTTGAGGCCTTCGTTGGAAACGGGTTTTTTTCATGTAAGGCTAGACAGAAGAAATCTCAGTAACTTCCTTGTGTTGTGTGTATTCAACTGACAGAGTTGAACCTTCCTTTAGACAGAGCAGATTCGAAACACTCTTTTTCTGCAATTTGCAAGTGGAGACTTCAAGCGCTTTGAGGCCAAAGGCAGAAAAGGAAATATCTTCGTATAAAAACCCGACAGAATCATTCTCAGAAACTGCTCTGTGATGTGTGCGTTCAACTCACAGAGTTTAACTTTTCTTTTCATTCAGCAGTTTGGAAACACTCTGTTTGTAAAGTCTGCAAGTGGATATCTTGGCCTCTTAGAGGCCTTCGTTGGAAACGGGTTTTTTCATGTAAGGTTAGACAGAGGAATTCCCAGTAACTTCCTTGTGTTGTGTGCATTCAACTCACAGAGTTGAATGATTCTTTACACAGAGCAGATTTGAGACACTCTTTTGGTGGAATTTGTAAGTGGAGAATTCAGCCGCTTTGAGGTCAACGGTAGAAAAGGAAATATCTTCGTATAAAAACTAGACAGAATGATTCTCAGAAACTGTTTTGTGATGTGTGCGTTCAACTCACAGAGTTTAACCTTTCTTTTCAAAGAGCAGTTAGGAAACACTCTGTTTGTAAAGTCTGCAAGTGGATATTCAGACCTCTTTGAGGCCTTCGTTGGAAACGGGATTTCTTCATATTATGCTAGACAGATGAATTCTCAGTAACTTCCTTGTGTTGTGTGTATTCAACTCACAGAGTTGAACGATCCTTTACACAGAGCAGATTTGAAACACTGTTTTTCTGGAATTTGCAAGTGGAGATTTCAGCCGCTTTGAGGTCAATGGTAGAAAAGGAAATATCTTCGTATAAAAACTAGACAGAATGATTCTCAGAAACTCCTTTGTGATGTGTGCGTTCAACTCACAGAGTTTAACCTTTCTTTTCACAGAGCAGTTAGGAAACACTCTGTTTGTGAAGCCTGCCAGTGGATATTCGGACCTCTTTGAGGCCTTCGTTGGAAACGGGATTTCTTCATATTATGCTAGACAGAAGATTTCTCAGTAACTTCTTTGTGTTGTGTGTATACAACTCACAGAGTTCAACCTTCCTTTAGACAGCGCAGATTTGAAACACTCTTTTTGTGGAATTTGCAAGTGGAGATTTCAAGCGCTTCGATGCCAATGGTAGAAAAGGAAATATCTTCGTATAAAAACAAGACAAACTCGTTCCCAGACACTGCGTAGTGATGTGTGTGTTTAACTCACAGAGTTTAACCTTTCTTTTCATACAGCATTCTGGAAACCCTCTGTTTGTAAAGTCTGCAAGTGGATATTTTTACCTCTTAGATGTCTTCGTTGGAAACGGGATTTCTTCATATAATGCTAGAGGGAAGAATTCTTAGTAACTTCTTTGTGTTGTGTGTATTCAACTGACAGAGTTGAACCTTCCTTTAGACAGAGCAGATTTGGAACTCTCTTTTTGTGGAATTTGCAAGTGGAGATTTCAAGCGCTTTGAGGCCAAAAGCAGAAAAGGAAATATTTTCCTATGAAAACTAGACAGAATCATTCTCAGAAACTGCTCTGTGATGTGTGCGTTCAACTCACAGAGTTTAACTTTTCTTTTCATTCAGCAGTTTGGAAACACTCTGTTTGTAAAGTCTGCACGTGGATATTTTGACCTCTTTGAGGCCTTCGTTGGAAACGGGTTTTTTTCATGTAAGGCTAGACAGAAGAAATCTCAGTAACTTCCTTGTGTTGTGCGTATTCAACTGACAGAGTTGAACCTTCCTTTAGACAGAGCAGATTCGAAACACTCTTTTTGTGCAATTTGCAAGTGGAGACTTGGATAGCTTCGAGGATTTCGATGGAAACGGGATTATCTTCATATAAAAAGTAGACGGAAGCCTTCTGGGAAGCGACTTTGTGATGTTTCCATTCAAGTCTCAGAGTTAAACATTCCCTTTCATAGAGCAGGTTTGAAACACTCTTTTTGTAGTATCTGGAAGTGGACATTGGGAGCACTTTGAGGCCTACGGTGGAACAGGAAACTTCTTCCCTTAAAAACTAGACAGAATGATTCTCAGAAACTGTTTTGTGATGTGTGCGTTCAACTCACAGAGTTTAACCTTTCTTTTCAAAGAGCAGTTAGGAAACACTCTGTTTGTAAAGTCTGCAAGTGGATATTCAGACCTACTTTAAAGCCTTCGTTGGAAACGGGATTTCATCATATTATGCTAGACAGATGAATTCTCAGTAACTTCCTTGTGTTGTGTGTATTCAACTCACAGAGTTGAACGATCCTTTACACAGAGCAGATTTGAAACACTGTTTTTCTGGAATTTGCAAGTGGAGATGTCAGCCGCTTTGAGGTCAATGGTAGAAAAGGAAATATCTTCGTATAAAAACTAGACAGAATGATTCTCAGAAACTCCTTTGTGATGTGTGCGTTCAACTCACAGAGTTTAACCTTTCTTTTCACAGAGCAGTTAGGAAACACTCTGTTTGTGAAGCCTGCCAGTGGATATTCGGACCTCTTTGAGGCCTTCGTTGGAAACGGGATTTCTTCATATTATGCTAGACAGAAGATTTCTCAGTAACTTCTTTGTGTTGTGTGTATGCAACTCACAGAGTTCAACCTTCCTTTAGACAGAGCAGATTTGAAACACTCTTTTTGTGGAATTTGCAAGTGGAGATTTCAAGCGCTTCGATGCCAATGGTAGAAAAGGAAATATCTTCGTATAAAAACAAGACAAACTCGTTCCCAGACACTGCGTAGTGATGTGTGTGTTTAACTCACAGAGTTTCACCTTTCTTTTCATACAGCATTCTGGAAACCCTGTGTTTGTAAAGTCTGCAAGTGGATATTTGGACCTCTTAGATGCCTTCGTTGGAAACGGGATTTCTTCATATAATGCTAGAGGGAAGAATTCTTAGTAACTTCTTTGTGTTGTGTGTATTCAACTGACAGAGTTGAACCTTCCTTTAGACAGAGCAGATTTGAAAGTCTCTTTTTGTGGAATTTGCAAGTGGAGATTTCAAGCGCTTTGAGGCCAAAAGCAGAAAAGGAAATATTTTCCTATAAAAACTAGACAGAATCTTTCTCAGAAACTGCTCTGGGATGTGTGCGTTCAACTCACAGAGTTTAACTTTTCTTTTCATTCAGCAGTTTGGAAACACTCTGTTTGGAAAGTCTGCACGTGGATATTTTGACCTCTTTGAGGCCTTCGTTGGAAACGGGTTTTTTTCATGTAAGGCTAGACAGAAGAAATCTCAGTAACTTCCTTGTGTTGTGTGTATTCAACTGACAGAGTTGAACCTTCCTTTAGACAGAGCAGATTCGAAACACTCTTTTTCTGCAATTTGCAAGTGGAGACTTCAAGCGCTTTGAGGCCAAAGGCAGAAAAGGAAATATCTTCGTATAAAAACCCGACAGAATCATTCTCAGAAACTGCTCTGTGATGTGTGCGTTCAACTCACAGAGTTTAACTTTTCTTTTCATTCAGCAGTTTGGAAACACTCTGTTTGTAAAGTCTGCAAGTGGATATCTTGGCCTCTTAGAGGCCTTCGTTGGAAACGGGTTTTTTCATGTAAGGTTAGACAGAGGAATTCCCAGTAACTTCCTTGTGTTGTGTGCATTCAACTCACAGAGTTGAATGATTCTTTACACAGAGCAGATTTGAGACACTCTTTTGGTGGAATTTGTAAGTGGAGAATTCAGCCGCTTTGAGGTCAACGGTAGAAAAGGAAATATCTTCGTATAAAAACTAGACAGAATGATTCTCAGAAACTGTTTTGTGATGTGTGCGTTCAACTCACAGAGTTTAACCTTTCTTTTCAAAGAGCAGTTAGGAAACACTCTGTTTGTAAAGTCTGCAAGTGGATATTCAGACCTCTTTGAGGCCTTCGTTGGAAACGGGATTTCTTCATATTATGCTAGACAGATGAATTCTCAGTAACTTCCTTGTGTTGTGTGTATTCAACTCACAAGAGTTGAACGATCCTTTACACAGAGCAGATTTGAAACACTGTTTTTCTGGAATTTGCAAGTGGAGATTTCAGCCGCTTTGAGGTCAATGGTAGAAAAGGAAATATCTTCGTATAAAAACTAGACAGAATGATTCTCAGAAACTCCTTTGTGATGTGTGCGTTCAACTCACAGAGTTTAACCTTTCTTTTCACAGAGCAGTTAGGAAACACTCTGTTTGTGAAGCCTGCCAGTGGATATTCGGACCTCTTTCAGGCCTTCGTTGGAAACGGGATTTCTTCATATTATGCTAGACAGAAGATTTCTCAGTAACTTCTTCGGGTTGTGTGTATGCAACTCACAGAGTTCAACCTTCCTTTAGACAGAGCAGATTTGAAACACTCTTTTTGTGGAATTTGCAAGTGGAGATTTCAAGCGCTTCGATGCCAATGGTAGAAAAGGAAATATCTTCGTATAAAAACAAGACAAACTCGTTCCCAGACACTGCGTAGTGATGTGTGTGTTTAACTCACAGAGTTTAACCTTTCTTTTCATACAGCATTCTGGAAACCCTCTGTTTGTAAAGTCTGCAAGTGGATATTTGGACCTCTTAGATGCCTTCGTTGGAAACGGGATTTCTTCATATAATGCTAGAGGGAAGAATTCTTAATAACTTCTTTGTGTTGTGTGTATTCAACTGACAGAGTTGAACCTTCCTTTAGACAGAGCAGATTTGAAAGTCTCTTTTTGTGGAATTTGCAAGTGGAGATTTCAAGCGCTTTGAGGCCAAAAGCAGAAAAGGAAATATTTTCCTATAAAAACTAGACAGAATCATTCTCAGAAACTGCTCTGTGATGTGTGTGTTCAACTCACAGAGTTTAACTTTCTTTTCATTCAGCAGTTTGGAAACACTCTGTTTGGAAAGTCTGCACGTGGATATTTTGACCTCTTTGAGGCCTTCGTTGGAAACGGGTTTTTTTCATGTAAGGCTAGACAGAAGAAATCTCAGTAACTTCCTTGTGTTGTGTGTATTCAACTGACAGAGTTGAACCTTCCTTTAGACAGAGCAGATTCGAAACACTCTTTTTCTGCAATTTGCAAGTGGAGACTTCAAGCGCTTTGAGGCCAAAGGCAGAAAAGGAAATATCTTCGTATAAAAACCCGACAGAATCATTCTCAGAAACTGCTCTGTGATGTGTGCGTTCAACTCACAGAGTTTAACTTTTCTTTTCATTCAGCAGTTTGGAAACACTCTGTTTGTAAAGTCTGCAAGTGGATATCTTGGCCTCTTAGAGGCCTTCGTTGGAAACGCGTTTTTTCATGTAAGGTTAGACAGAGGAATTCCCAGTAACTTCCTTGTGTTGTGTGCATTCAACTCACAGAGTTGAATGATTCTTTACACAGAGCTGATTTGAGACACACTTTTGGTGGAATTTGTAAGTGGAGAATTCAGCCGCTTTGAGGTCAACGGTAGAAAAGGAAATATCTTCGTATAAAAACTAGAAAGAATGATTCTCAGAAACTGTTTTGTGATGTGTGCGTTCAACTCAAAGAGTTTAACCTTTGTTTTCAAAGAGCAGTTAGGAAACACTCTGTTTGTAAAGTCTGCAAGTGGATATTCAGACCTCTTTGAAGCCTTCGTTGGAAACGGGATTTCATCATATTATGCTAGACAGATGAATTCTCAGTAACTTCCTTGTGTTGTGTGTATTCAACTCACAGAGTTGAACGATCCTTTACACAGAGCAGATTTGAAACACTGTTTTTCTGGAATTTGCAAGTGGAGATTTCAGCCGCTTTGAGGTCAATGGTAGAAAAGGAAATATCTTCGTATAAAAACTAGACAGAATGATTCTCAGAAACTCCTTTGTGATGTGTGCGTTCAACTCACAGAGTTTAACCTTTCTTTTCACAGAGCAGTTAGGAAACACTCTGTTTGTGAAGCCTGCCAGTGGATATTCGGACCTCTTTGAGGCCTTCGTTGGAAACGGGATTTCTTCATATTATGCTAGACAGAAGATTTCTCAGTAACTTCTTTGTGTTGTGTGTATGCAACTCACAGAGTTCAACCTTCCTTTAGACAGAGCAGATTTGAAACACTCTTTTTGTGGAATTTGCAAGTGGAGATTTCAAGCGCTTCGATGCCAATGGTAGAAAAGGAAATATCTTCGTATAAAAACAAGACAAACTCGTTCCCAGACACTGCGTAGTGATGTGTGTGTTTAACTCACAGAGTTTAACCTTTCTTTTCATACAGCATTCTGGAAACCCTCTGTTTGTAAAGTCTGCAAGTGGATATTTGGACCTCTTAGATGCCTTCGTTGGAAACGGGATTTCTTCATATAATGCTAGAGGGAAGAATTCTTAGTAACTTCTTTGTGTTGTGTGTATTCAACTGACAGAGTTGAACCTTCCTTTAGACAGAGCAGATTTGAAAGTCTCTTTTTGTGGAATTTGCAAGTGGAGATTTCAAGCGCTTTGAGGCCAAAAGCAGAAAAGGAAATATTTTCCTATAAAAACTCGACAGAATCTTTCTCAGAAACTGCTCTGGGATGTGTGCGTTCAACTCACAGAGTTTAACTTTTCTTTTCATTCAGCAGTTTGGAAACACTCTGTTTGGAAAGTCTGCACGTGGATATTTTGACCTCTTTGAGGCCTTCGTTGGAAACGGGTTTTTTTCATGTAAGGCTAGACAGAAGAAATCTCAGTAACTTCCTTGTGTTGTGTGTATTCAACTGACAGAGTTGAACCTTCCTTTAGACAGAGCAGATTCGAAACACTCTTTTTCTGCAATTTGCAAGTGGAGACTTCAAGCGCTTTGAGGCCAAAGGCAGAAAAGGAAATATCTTCGTATAAAAACCCGACAGAATCATTCTCAGAAACTGCTCTGTGATGTGTGCGTTCAACTCACAGAGTTTAACTTTTCTTTTCATTCAGCAGTTTGGAAACACTCTGTTTGTAAAGTCTGCAAGTGGATATCTTGGCCTCTTAGAGGCCTTCGTTGGAAACGGGTTTTTTCATTTAAGGTTAGACAGAGGAATTCCCAGTAACTTCCTTGTGTTGTGTGCATTCAACTCACAGAGTTGAATGATTCTTTACACAGAGCAGATTTGAGACACTCTTTTGGTGGAATTTGTAAGTGGAGAATTCAGCCGCTTTGAGGTCAACGGTAGAAAAGGAAATATCTTCGTATAAAAACTAGACAGAATGATTCTCAGAAACTGTTTTGTGATGTGTGCGTTCAACTCACAGAGTTTAACCTTTCTTTTCAAAGAGCAGTTAGGAAGCACTCTGTTTGTAAAGTCTGCAAGTGGATATTCAGACCTCTTTGAGGCCTTCGTTGGAAACGGGATTTCTTCATATTATGCTAGACAGATGAATTCTCAGTAACTTCCTTGTGTTGTGTGTATTCAACTCACAGAGTTGAACGATCCTTTACACAGAGCAGATTTGAAACACTGTTTTTCTGGAATTTGCAAGTGGAGATTTCAGCCGCTTTGAGGTCAATGGTAGAAAAGGAAATATCTTCGTATAAAAACTAGACAGAATGATTCTCAGAAACTCCTTTGTGATGTGTGCGTTCAACTCACAGAGTTTAACCTTTCTTTTCACAGAGCAGTTAGGAAACACTCTGTTTGTGAAGCCTGCCAGTGGATATTCGGACCTCTTTGAGGCCTTCGTTGGAAACGGGATTTCTTCATATTATGCTAGACAGAAGATTTCTCAGTAACTTCTTTGTGTTGTGTGTATGCAACTCACAGAGTTCAACCTTCCTTTAGACAGAGCAGATTTGAAACACTCTTTTTGTGGAATTTGCAAGTGGAGATTTCAAGCGCTTCGATGCCAATGGTAGAAAAGGAAATATCTTCGTATAAAAACAAGACAAACTCGTTCCCAGACACTGCGTAGTGATGTGTGTGTTTAACTCACAGAGTTTAACCTTTCTTTTCATACAGCATTCTGGAAACCCTGTGTTTGTAAAGTCTGCAAGTGGATATTTGGACCTCTTAGATGCCTTCGTTGGAAACGGGATTTCTTCATATAATGCTAGAGGGAAGAATTCTTAGTAACTTCTTTGTGTTGTGTGTATTCAACTGACAGAGTTGAACCTTCCTTTAGACAGAGCAGATTTGAAAGTCTCTTTTTGTGGAATTTGCAAGTGGAGATTTCAAGCGCTTTGAGGCCAAAAGCAGAAAAGGAAATATTTTCCTATAAAAACTCGACAGAATCTTTCTCAGAAACTGCTCTGGGATGTGTGCGTTCAACTCACAGAGTTTAACTTTTCTTTTCATTCAGCAGTTTGGAAACACTCTGTTTGGAAAGTCTGCACGTGGATATTTTGACCTCTTTGAGGCCTTCGTTGGAAACGGGTTTTTTTCATGTAAGGCTAGACAGAAGAAATCTCAGTAACTTCCTTGTGTTGTGTGTATTCAACTGACAGAGTTGAACCTTCCTTTAGACAGAGCAGATTCGAAACACTCTTTTTCTGCAATTTGCAAGTGGAGACTTCAAGCGCTTTGAGGCCAAAGGCAGAAAAGGAAATATCTTCGTATAAAAACCCGACAGAATCATTCTCAGAAACTGCTCTGTGATGTGTGCGTTCAACTCACAGAGTTTAACTTTTCTTTTCATTCAGCAGTTTGGAAACACTCTGTTTGTAAAGTCTGCAAGTGGATATCTTGGCCTCTTAGAGGCCTTCGTTGGAAACGGGTTTTTTCATGTAAGGTTAGACAGAGGAATTCCCAGTAACTTCCTTGTGTTGTGTGCATTCAACTCACAGAGTTCAATGATTCTTTACACAGAGCAGATTTGAGACACTCTTTTGCTGGAATTTGTAAGTGGAGAATTCAGCCGCTTTGAGGTCAACGGTAGAAAAGGAAATATCTTCGTATAAAAACTAGACAGAATGATTCTCAGAAACTTTTTTGTGATGTGTGCGTTCAACTCACAGAGTTTAACCTTTCTTTTCAAAGAGCAGTTAGGAAACACTCTGTTTGTAAAGTCTGCAAGTGGATATTCAGACCTCTTTGAGGCCTTCGTTGGAAACGGGATTTCTTCATATTATGCTAGACAGATGAATTCTCAGTAACTTCCTTGTGTTGTGTGTATTCAACTCACAGAGTTGAACGATCCTTTACACAGAGCAGATTTGAAACACTGTTTTTCTGGAATTTGCAAGTGGAGATTTCAGCCGCTTTGAGGTCAATGGTAGAAAAGGAAATATCTTCGTATAAAAACTAGACAGAATGATTCTCAGAAACTCCTTTGTGATGTGTGCGTTCAACTCACAGAGTTTAACCTTTCTTTTCACAGAGCAGTTAGGAAACACTCTGTTTGTGAAGCCTGCCAGTGGATATTCGGACCTCTTTGAGGCCTTCGTTGGAAACGGGATTTCTTCATATTATGCTAGACAGAAGATTTCTCAGTAACTTCTTTGTGTTGTGTGTATGCAACTCACAGAGTTCAACCTTCCTTTAGACAGAGCAGATTTGAAACACTCTTTTTGTGGAATTTGCAAGTGGAGATTTCAAGCGCTTCGATGCCAATGGTAGAAAAGGAAATATCTTCGTATAAAAACAAGACAAACTCGTTCCCAGACACTGCGTAGTGATGTGTGTGTTTAACTCACAGAGTTTAACCTTTCTTTTCATACAGCATTCTGGAAACCCTGTGTTTGTAAAGTCTGCAAGTGGATATTTGGACCTCTTAGATGCCTTCGTTGGAAACGGGATTTCTTCATATAATGCTAGAGGGAAGAATTCTTAGTAACTTCTTTGTGTTGTGTGTATTCAACTGACAGAGTTGAACCTTCCTTTAGACAGAGCAGATTTGAAAGTCTCTTTTTGTGGAATTTGCAAGTGGAGATTTCAAGCGCTTTGAGGCCAAAAGCAGAAAAGGAAATATTTTCCTATAAAAACTCGACAGAATCATTCTCAGAAACTGCTCTGTGATGTGTGCGTTCAACTCACAGAGTTTAACTTTTCTTTTCATTCAGCAGTTTGGAAACACTGTTTGGAAAGTCTGCACGTGGATATTTTGACCTCTTTGAGGCCTTCGTTGGAAACGGGTTTTTTTCATGTAAGGCTAGACAGAAGAAATCTCAGTAACTTCCTTGTGTTGTGTGTATTCAACTGACAGAGTTGAACCTTCCTTTAGACAGAGCAGATTCGAAACACTCTTTTTCTGCAATTTGCAAGTGGAGACTTCAAGCGCTTTGAGGCCAAAGGCAGAAAAGGAAATATCTTCGTATAAAAACCCGACAGAATCATTCTCAGAAACTGCTCTGTGATGTGTGCGTTCAACTCACAGAGTTTAACTTTTCTTTTCATTCAGCAGTTTGGAAACACTCTGTTTGTAAAGTCTGCAAGTGGATATCTTGGCCTCTTAGAGGCCTTCGTTGGAAACGGGTTTTTTCATGTAAGGTTAGACAGAGGAATTCCCAGTAACTTCCTTGTGTTGTGTGCATTCAACTCACAGAGTTGAATGATTCTTTACACAGAGCAGATTTGAGACACTCTTTTGGTGGAATTTGTAAGTGGAGAATTCAGCCGCTTTGAGGTCAACGGTAGAAAAGGAAATATCTTCGTATAAAAACTAGACAGAATGATTCTCAGAAACTGTTTTGTGATGTGTGCGTTCAACTCACAGAGTTTAACCTTTCTTTTCAAAGAGCAGTTAGGAAACACTCTGTTTGTAAAGTCTGCAAGTGGATATTCAGACCTCTTTGAGGCCTTCGTTGGAAACGGGATTTCTTCATATTATGCTAGACAGATGAATTCTCAGTAACTTCCTTGTGTTGTGTGTATTCAACTCACAGAGTTGAACGATCCTTTACACAGAGCAGATTTGAAACACTGTTTTTCTGGAATTTGCAAGTGGAGATTTCAGCCGCTTTGAGGTCAATGGTAGAAAAGGAAATATCTTCGTATAAAAACTAGACAGAATGATTCTCAGAAACTCCTTTGTGATGTGTGCGTTCAACTCACAGAGTTTAACCTTTCTTTTCACAGAGCAGTTAGGAAACACTCTGTTTGTGAAGCCTGCCAGTGGATATTCGGACCTCTTTGAGGCCTTCGTTGGAAACGGGATTTCTTCATATTATGCTAGACAGAAGATTTCTCAGTAACTTCTTTGTGTTGTGTGTATGCAACTCACAGAGTTCAACCTTCCTTTAGACAGAGCAGATTTGAAACACTCTTTTTGTGGAATTTGCAAGTGGAGATTTCAAGCGCTTCGATGCCAATGGTAGAAAAGGAAATATCTTCGTAGAAAAACAAGACAAACTCGTTCCCAGACACTGCGTAGTGATGTGTGTGTTTAACTCACAGAGTTTAACCTTTCTTTTCATACAGCATTCTGGAAACCCTGTGTTTGTAAAGTCTGCAAGTGGATATTTGGACCTCTTAGATGCCTTCGTTGGAAACGGGATTTCTTCATATAATGCTAGAGGGAAGAATTCTTAGTAACTTCTTTGTGTTGTGTGTATTCAACTGACAGAGTTGAACCTTCCTTTAGACAGAGCAGATTTGAAAGTCTCTTTTTGTGGAATTTGCAAGTGGAGATTTCAAGCGCTTTGAGGCCAAAAGCAGAAAAGGAAATATTTTCCTATAAAAACTAGACAGAATCTTTCTCAGAAACTGCTCTGGGATGTGTGCGTTCAACTCACAGAGTTTAACTTTTCTTTTCATTCAGCAGTTTGGAAACACTCTGTTTGGAAAGTCTGCACGTGGATATTTTGACCTCTTTGAGGCCTTCGTTGGAAACGGGTTTTTTTCATGTAAGGCTAGACAGAAGAAATCTCAGTAACTTCCTTGTGTTGTGTGTATTCAACTGACAGAGTTGAACCTTCCTTTAGACAGAGCAGATTCGAAACACTCTTTTTCTGCAATTTGCAAGTGGAGACTTCAAGCGCTTTGAGGCCAAAGGCAGAAAAGGAAATATCTTCGTATAAAAACCCGACAGAATCATTCTCAGAAACTGCTCTGTGATGTGTGCGTTCAACTCACAGAGTTTAACTTTTCTTTTCATTCAGCAGTTTGGAAACACTCTGTTTGTAAAGTCTGCAAGTGGATATCTTGGCCTCTTAGAGGCCTTCGTTGGAAACGGGTTTTTTCATGTAAGGTTAGACAGAGGAATTCCCAGTAACTTCCTTGTGTTGTGTGCATTCAACTCACAGAGTTGAATGATTCTTTACACAGAGCAGATTTGAGACACTCTTTTGGTGGAATTTGTAAGTGGAGAATTCAGCCGCTTTGAGGTCAACGGTAGAAAAGGAAATATCTTCGTATAAAAACTAGACAGAATGATTCTCAGAAACTGTTTTGTGATGTGTGCGTTCAACTCACAGAGTTTAACCTTTCTTTTCAAAGAGCAGTTAGGAAACACTCTGTTTGTAAAGTCTGCAAGTGGATATTCAGACCTCTTTGAGGCCTTCGTTGGAAACGGGATTTCTTCATATTATGCTAGACAGATGAATTCTCAGTAACTTCCTTGTGTTGTGTGTATTCAACTCACAGTAGTTGAACGATCCTTTACACAGAGCAGATTTGAAACACTGTTTTTCTGGAATTTGCAAGTGGAGATTTCAGCCGCTTTGAGGTCAATGGTAGAAAAAGAAATATCTTCGTATAAAAACTAGACAGAATGATTCTCAGAAACTCCTTTGTGATGTGTGCGTTCAACTCACAGAGTTTAACCTTTCTTTTCACAGAGCAGTTAGGAAACACTCTGTTTGTGAAGCCTGCCAGTGGATATTCGGACCTCTTTGAGGCCTTCGTTGGAAACGGGATTTCTTCATATTATGCTAGACAGAAGATTTCTCAGTAACTTCTTTGTGTTGTGTGTATGCAACTCACAGAGTTCAACCTTCCTTTAGACAGAGCAGATTTGAAACACTCTTTTTGTGGAATTTGCAAGTGGAGATTTCAAGCGCTTCGATGCCAATGGTAGAAAAGGAAATATCTTCGTATAAAAACAAGACAAA